>NC_000004.12:51419056-51743951 GCF_000001405.40 Homo sapiens | reverse complement strand
TCTCTCTAGATATTATATGTCATCCCGTTTCCAACGAAATCCTCAAAGCTATCCAAATATCCACTTGCAGATTCTACAAAAAGAGTGTTTCAAAACTCCTCTGTCAAAAGGATGGTTCAACACTGTTACATGAGTACACACAACACAAAGAAGTTTCTGAGAATGCTTCTTTCTGGTTTTTATGAGAAGATATTTCCTTTTTCACCATAGGCCTCAAAGCGCTCGAAAGGTCCACTTCCAGGTAGTGCAGAAAGAGTGTTTCAAACCTGCTCTATGAAAGGAAGTGTTCAACTCCATGAGCTGTATGCAAACATCACAGAGAAGTTTCTGAGAATGCTTCTGTTTGATTTTATATGAAGAAATTCCCGTTTCCAACGAAATCTTCAAAGCTATCCTCATATCCACCTGCAGATTCTTCAAAAGGAGTGTTTCCAAATTGCTGTATCAAAACCAAGGTTCAACTCTGTTAGTTGAGGACACACATCACAAATAAGTTTCTGAGAATGCTTCTGTCTTGATTTTATATGAAGATATCCCCTTTCCAACGAATCCCTCTAAGCTATCCAAATATCCACCTGCAGATTCTACAAAAAGAGTGTTTCCAAAATGCTGTATCAAAACAAAGTTTCAACTCTGTTAGTTGAGGACACACATCACAAATAAGTTTCTGAGGATGCTTCTGTCTAGTTTTAATTTGAAGATATTTCCTTTCTCACCATAGGCCTGAAAGCGCTTGAAATGTCCACTTCCAGATAATACAGAATGAGTGTTTCAAACCTGCTCTATCAAAGTGAATGTTCAATTCTGTGACTTCAATCCAAACATCACAAAGTAGTTCCTGAGAATGCTTCTCTCTAGATTTTATATGTAATCCCGCTTCCAACGAAATCCTCAAAGCCATCCGAATATCCACTTTCTGATTCCACAAAAAGACTGTTTTAAAACTGCTCTGTAAAAACAAAAGTTCAAGTCTGTTAGTTGAATACACACATCACAAACAAGTTTCTGAGAATGCTTCTGTCTAGTTTTTATGGGAAGATATTTCCTTTTTCACCATAGGCCTCAAAGCGCTCGAAATGTCCGCTTCCAGATAGTGCAGAAAGAGTGTTTCAAACGTGCTCTATAAAAGGGAATATTCAACTCTGTGACTTGAATGGAAACATCACAAAGCAGTTTCTGAGAATGCTTCCCTCTAGATTTTATATGGAGATATTCCCGTTTCCAACGAAATCTTCAAATCTATCTAAATATCAACTTGCAGATTCTACTCAAGGAATGTTTCCAAAATGCTGTATCCAGGCAATGGTTCAACTCTGTTAATTGAGGACATACAGCACAAAGAAGTTTCTGAGAATGCTTCTGTCTAGATTTTATATGAAGATATCCCGTTTCCAACGAAATCATCAAAGCTATCCAAATGTCCACTTGCAGATTCTACAAAAAGATTGTTTCAAAACTGCTGTGTCAAAAGGAAGGTTCAACTCTGATATTTGAGTACACACATCAAAAAGAAGTTTCTGAGAATGCTTGTTTCTGGTTTTTATGAGAAGATATTTCCTTTTTCACCATAGGCCTCAAAGCGCTGCAAATGTCCACTTCCACATATTACAAAAAGAGTGTTTCAAACCTGCTCTATGAAAGGAAGTTTTCAACTCTATGAGTGGAATGCAAACATCACAGAGAAGTTTCTGAGAATGCATCTGTCTTGAGCTTCTATGAAGAAATTCCCGTTTCCAACGAAATCTTAAAATCTATCCAAATATCCACCTGCAGATCCTACAAAAGGAGTGTTTCCAAAATGCTGTATCAAAACAAAGGTTCAACTGTGTTCGTTTAGGACACACATCACAAATAAGTTTCTGAGAATCCTTCTGTCTAGTTTTTATTTGAAGATATTTCCTTTCTCCCCGTAGGCCTGAAAGCGCTTGAAATGTCCACTTCCAGATACTACAGAAAGAGTGTTTCAAACCTGCACTCTGAAAAGGAATGTTCAATTCTGTGACTTGAATGCAAACATCAGAAAGAAGTTCCTGAGAATGCTTCTCTCTAGATTTTATACGTCATCCCGTTTCCAACGAAATCCACAAAGCTATCCAATTATCCACTTTCAGATTCCACAAAAGAGTGTTTTAAAACTGCTCTGTAAAAAGAAATGTTCAACGCTCTTAGTTGAATACACACATCTCAAACAAGTTTCTGAGAAGGCTTCTGTCTAGTTTTTATGGGAAGATATTTCCTTTTAACCATAGGCCTCAAAGAGCTCGAAATATCCACTTCCAGGTAGTGCCGAAAGAGTGTTTCAAACCTACTCTATAAAAGGGAATATTCAACTCTGTGACTTGAATGCAAACATCACAAAGCAGTTTGCTGAGAATGCTTCCGTCTAGATTTTCTATGAAGATATTCCCGTTTCCAACGAAATCTTCAAAGCTATCTAAATATCAACTTGCAGATTCTACTAAAGGAATGTCTCCAAAATGCTGTATCCAAACAAAGGTTCAGCTCTGTGAATTGAGGACATACAGCACAAAGAAGTTTCTGAGAATGCTCCTGTCTGGATTTTATATGAAGATAACCCGTTTCCAACGAAATCCTCAAAGCTATCCAAATATCCACTTGCAGATTCTACCAAAAGAGTGTTTCAAAACTGCTCTGTCAAAAGGAAGGTTCAACACTGTTACTTGAGTACACACAACACAAAGAAGTTTCTGAGAATGCTTCTTTCTGGTTTTTATGAGAAGATATTTCCTTTTTCACCATAGGCCTCAAAGCGCTCGAAATGTCCGCTTCCAGGTAGTGCAGAAAGAGTGTTTCAAACCTGCTCTATGAAAGGAAGTGTTCAACTCTACTGAGTTGAATGCAAACATCACAGAGATGTTTCCGAGAATGCTTCTGTCTTGATTTTATATGAAGATATTCCGGTTTCCAACGAAATCTTCAAAGCTATCCAAATATCCACCTGCAGATTCTACAAAAGGAGTGTTTCCAAAATGCTGTATCAAAACAAAGGTTCAACTCTGTTAGTTGAGGACACACATCACAAATAAGTTTCTGAGAATGCTTCTGTCTAGTTTTTATTTGAAGGTATTTCCTTTCTCTCCATAGGCCTGAAAGCGCTTGAAATGCCCACTTCCAGATACTAGAGAAAGAGTGTTTCAAACCTGCTCTATGAAAGGGAATGTTCAATTCTGTGACTTGAATGCAAACATCACAAAGAAGTTCCTGAGAATGCTTCTCTCTAGATATTATATGTCATCCCGTTTCCAACGAAATCCTCAAAGCTATCCAAATATCCACTTGCAGATTCTACAAAAAGAGTGTTTCAAAACTGCTCTGTCAAAAGGATGGTTCAACACTGTTACATGAGTACACACAACACAAAGAAGTTTCTGAGAATGCTTCTTTCTGGTTTCTATGAGAAGATATTTCCTTTTTCACCATAGGACTCAAAGCGCTCGAAATGTCCTCTTCCAGGTAGTGCAGAAAGAGTGTTTCAAACCGGCTCTATGAAAGGAAGTGTTCAACTCCATGAACTGAATGCAAACATCACTGAGAAGTTTCTGAGAATGCTTCTGTTTGATTTTATATGAAGAAATTTCCGTTTCCAACGAAATCTTCAAAGCTATCCACATATCCACCGGCAGATTCTTCAAAAGGAGTGTTTCCAAAATGCTGTATCAAAACCAAGGTTCAACTCTGTTAGTTGAGGACACACATCACAAATAAGTTTCTGAGAATGCTTCTGTCTAGATTTTATATGAGGATATCCCCTTTCCAACGAATCCCTCTAAGCTATCCAAACATCCACCTGCAGATTCTACAAAAAGAGTGTTTCCAAAATACTGTATCAAAACAAAGTTTCAACTCTGTTAGTTGAGGACACACATCACAAATAAGTTTCTGAGGATGCTTCTGTCTAGTTTTTATTCGAAGATATTTCCTTTCTCACCATAGGCCTGAAAGCGCTTGAAATGTCCACTTCCAGATACTACAGAATGAGTGTTTCAAACCTGCTCTATCAAAGTGAATGTTCAATTCTGTGAGTTCAATGCAAACATCACAAAGAAGTTCCTGAGAATGCTTCTCTCTAGATTTTATATGTAATCCCGCTTCCAACGAAATCCTCAAAGCCATCCGAATATCCACTTTCTGATTCCACAAAAAGATTGTTTTAAAACTGCTCTGTAAAAACAAAAGTTCAAGTCTGTTAGTTGAATACACACATCACAAACAAGTTTCTGAGAATGCTTCTGTCTAGTTTTTATGGGAAGATATTTCCTTTTTCACCATAGGCCTCAAAGCGCTCGAAATGTCCACTTCCAGATAGCGCAGAAAGAGTGTTTCAAACGTGCTCTATAAAAGGGAATATTCAACTCTGTGACTTGAATGGAAACATCACAAAGCAGTTTTCTGAGAATGCTTCCCTCTAGATTTTATATGGAGATATTCCCTTTTCCAACGAAATCTTCAAATCTATCTAAATATCAACTTGCAGATTCTACTCAAGGAATGTTTCCAAAATGCTGTATCCAAGCAATGGTTCAACTCTGTTAATTGAGGACATACAGCACAAAGAAGTTTCTGAGAATGCTTCTGTCTAGATTTTATATGAAGATATCCCGTTTCCAACGAAATCCTCAAAGCTATCCAAATATCCACTTGCAGATTCTACAAAAAGATTGTTTCAAAACTGCTGTGTCAAGAGGAAGGTTCAACTCTGTTACTTGAGTACACACATCAAAAAGAAGTTTCTGAGAATGCTTGTTTCTGGTTTTTATGAGAAGATATTTCCTTTTTCACCATAGGCCTCAAAGCGCTGCAAATGTCCACTTCCAAATATTACAAAAAGAGTGTTTCAAACCTGCTCTATGAAAGGAAGTTTTCAACTCTATGAGTGGAATGCAAACATCACAGAGAAGTTTCTGAGAATGCATCTGTCTTGAGCTTCTATGAAGAAATTCCCGTTTCCAACGAAATCTTAAAATCTATCCAAATATCCACCTGCAGATCCTACAAAAGGAGTGTTTCCAAAATGCTGTATCAAAACAAAGGTTCAACTGTGTTCGTTTAGGACACACATCACAAATAAGTTTCTGAGAATCCTTCTGTCTAGTTTTTATTTGAAGATATTTCCTTTCTCCCCATAGGCCTGAAAGCGCTTGAAATGTCCACTTCCAGATACTACAGAAAGAGTGTTTCAAACCTGCACTATGAAAAGGAATGTTCAATTCTGTGACTTGAATGCAAACATCAGAAAGAAGTTCCTGAGAATGCTTCTCTCTAGATTTTATACGTCATCCCGTTTCCAACGAAATCCACAAAGCTACCCAATTATCCACTTTCAGATTCCACAAAAAGAGTGTTTTAAAATTGCTCTGTAACAGAAATGTTCAACTCTGTTAGTTGAATACACACATCACAAACAAGTTTCTGAGACGGCTTCTGTCTAGTTTTTATGGGAAGATATTTCCTTTTAACCATAGGCCTCAAAGAGCTCGAAATATCCACTTCCAGGTAGTGCCGAAAGAGTGTTTCAAACCTACTCTATAAAAGGGAATATTCAACTCTGTGACTTGAATGCAAACATCACAAAGCAGTTTCTGAGAATGCTTCCGTCTAGATTTTTTATGAAGATATTCCCGTTTCCAACGAAATCTTCAAAGCTATCTAAATATCAACTTGCAGATTCTACTAAAGGAATGTTTCCAAAATGCTGTATCCAAACAAAGGTTCAACTCTGTGAATTGAGGACATACAGCACAAAGAAGTTTCTGAGAATGCTCCTGTCTGGATTTTATATGAAGATAACCCGTTTCCAACGAAATCCTCAAAGCTATCCAAATATCCACTTGCAGATTCTACCAAAAGAGTGTTTCAAAACTGCTCTGTCAAAAGGAAGGTTCAACACTGTTACTTGAGTACACACAACACAAAGAAGTTTCTGAGAATGCTTCTTTCTGGTTTTTATGAGAAGATATTTCCTTTTTCACCATAGGCCTCAAAGCGCTCGAAATGTCCGCTTCCAGGTAGTGCAGAAAGAGTGTTTCAAACCTGCTCTATGAAAGGAAGTGTTCAACTCTACTGAGTTGAATGCAAACATCACAGAGATGTTTCCGAGAATGCTTCTGTCTTGATTTTATATGAAGATATTCCGGTTTCCAACGAAATCTTCAAAGCTATCCAAATATCCACCTGCAGATTCTACAAAAGGAGTGTTTCCAAAATGCTGTATCAAAACAAAGGTTCAACTCTGTTAGTTGAGGACACACATCACAAATAAGTTTCTGAGAATGCTTCTGTCTAGTTTTTATTTGAAGGTATTTCCTTTCTCTCCATAGGCCTGAAAGCGCTTGAAATGCCCACTTCCAGATACTAGAGAAAGAGTGTTTCAAACCTGCTCTATGAAAGGGAATGTTCAATTCTGTGACTTGAATGCAAACATCACAAAGAAGTTCCTGAGAATGCTTCTGTCTAGATTTAATATGAAGATAACCCGTTTCCAACGAAATCCTCAAAGCTATCCAAATATCCACTTGCAGATTCTACAAAAAAAGTGTTTCAAAACTGCTCTGTCAAAAGGATGGTTCAACACTGTTACATGAGTACACACAACACAAAGAAGTTTCTGAGAACTCTTCTTTCTGGTTTCTATGAGAAGATATTTCCTTTTTCACCATAGGACTCAAAGCGCTCGAAATGTCCTCTTCCAGGTAGTGCAGAAAGAGTGTTTCAAACCGGCTCTATGAAGGGAAGTGTTCAACTCCATGAACTGAATGCAAACATCACTGAGAAGTTTCTGAGAATGCTTCTGTTTGATTTTATATGAAGAAATTCCCGTTTCCAACGAAATCTTCAGAGCTATCCACATATCCACCTGCAGATTCTACAAAAGGAGTGTTTCCAAAATGCTGTATCAAAACCAAAGTTCAACTCTGTTAGTTGAGGACACACATCACAAATAAGTTTCTGAGAATGCTTCTGTCTAGATTTTATATGAATTTATCCCCTTTCCAACGAATCCCTCTAAGCTATCCAAATATCCACCTGCAGATTCTACAAAAAGAGTGTTTCCAAAATGCTGTATCAAAACAAAGTTTCAACTCTGTTAGTTGAGGACACACATCACAAATAAGTTTCTGAGGATGCTTCTGTCTAGTTTTAATTTGAAGATATTTCCTTTCTCACCATAGGCCTGAAAGCGCTTGAAATGTCCACTTCCAGATACTACAGCATGAGTGTTTCAAACCTGCTCTATCATAGTGAATGTTCAATTCTGTGACTTCAATGCAAACATCACAAAGTAGTTCCTGAGAATGCTTCTCTCTAGATTTTATATGTAATCCCGCTTCCAACGAAATCCTCAGAGCCATCCGAATATCCACTTTCTGATTCCACAAAAAGAGTGTTTTAAAACGGCTCTGTAAAAACAAAAGTTCAACTCTGTTAGTTGAATACACACATCACAAACAAGTTTCTGAGAATGCTTCCGTCTAGTTTTTACGGGAAGATATTTCCTTTTTCACCATAGACCACAAAGCGCTCGAAATCTCCACTTCCAGGGAGTGCAGAAAGAGTGTTTCAAACCTGCTCTATAAAAGAATATTTAACTCTGTGACTTGAATGCAAACATCACAGAGCAGTTTCTGACAATGCTTCCGTCTAGATTTTTTATGAAGATATTCCCGTTTCCAACGAAATCTTCAAAGCTATCTAAATATCAACTTGCAGATTCTACTAAAGGAATGTTTCCAAAATGCTGTATCCAAACAAAGGTTCAACTCTGTGAATTGAGGACATACAGCACAAAGAAGTTTCTGAGAATGCTCCTGTCTGGATTTTATAGGAAGATAACCCGTTTCCAACGAAATCCTCAAAGCTATCCAAATATCCACTTGCAGATTCTACCAAAAGAGTGTTTCAAAACTGCTCTGTCAAAAGGAAGGTTCAACACTGTTACTTGAGTACACACAACACAAAGAAGTTTCTGAGAATGCTTCTTTCTGGTTTTTATGAGAAGATATTTCCTTTTTCACCATAGGCCTCAAAGCGCTCGAAATGTCCGCTTCCAGGTAGTGCAGAAAGAGTGTTTCAAACCTGCTCTATGAAAGGAAGTGTTCAACTCTACTGAGTTGAATGCAAACATCACAGAGATGTTTCCGAGAATGCTTCTGTCTTGATTTTATATGAAGATATTCCGGTTTCCAACGAAATCTTCAAAGCTATCCAAATATCCACCTGCAGATTCTACAAAAGGAGTGTTTCCAAAATGCTGTATCAAAACAAAGGTTCAACTCTGTTAGTTGAGGACACACATCACAAATAAGTTTACTGAGAATGCTTTCTGTCTAGTTTTTATTTGAAGGTATTTCCTTTCTCTCCATAGGCCTGAAAGCGCTTGAAATGCCCACTTCCAGATACTAGAGAAAGAGTGTTTCAAACCTGCTCTATGAAAGGGAATGTTCAATTCTGTGACTTGAATGCAAACATCACAAAGAAGTTCCTGAGAATGCTTCTCTCTAGATATTATATGTCATCCCGTTTCCAACGAAATCCTCAAAGCTATCCAAATATCCACTTGCAGATTCTACAAAAAGAGTGTTTCAAAACTGCTCTGTCAAAAGGATGGTTCAACACTGTTACATGAGTACACACAACACAAAGAAGTTTCTGAGAATGCTTCTTTCTGGTTTTTATGAGAGGATATTTCCTTTTTCACCATAGGCCTCAAAGCGCTCGAAATGTCCACTTCCAGGTAGTGCAGAAAGAGTGTTTCAAACCTGCTCTATGAAAGGAAGTGTTCAACTCCATGAGCTGAATGCAAACATCACAGAGAAGTTCCTGAGAATGCTTCTGTTTGATTTTATATGAAGAAATTCCCGTTTCCAACGAAATCTTCAGAGCTATCCACATATCCACCTGCAGATTCTACAAAAGGAGTGTTTCCAAAATGCTGTATCAAAACCAAGGTTCAACTCTGTTAGTTGAGGACACACATCACAAATAAGTTTCTGAGAATGCTTCTGTCTAGATTTTATATGAATTTATCCCCTTTCCAACGAATCCCTCTAAGCTATCCAAGTATCCACCTGCAGATTCTACAAAAAGAGTGTTTCCAAAATGCTGTATCAAAACAAAGTTTCAACTCTGTTAGTTGAGGACACACATCACAAATAAGTTTCTGAGGATGCTTCTGTCTAGTTTTTATTCGAAGATATTTCCTTTCTCACCATAGGCCTGAAAGCGCTTGAAATGTCCACTTCCAGATCCTACAGAATGAGTGTTTCAAACCTGCTCTATCAAAGTGAATGTTCAATTCTGTGACTTCAATGCAAACATCACAAAGAAGTTCCTGAGAATGCTTCTCTCTACATTTTATATGTAATCCCGCTTCCAACGAAATCCTCAAAGCCATCCGAATATCCACTTTCTGATTCCACAAAAAGATTGTTTTAAAACTGCTCTGTAAAAACAAAAGTTCAAGTCTGTT
Source organism: Homo sapiens (assembly GCF_000001405.40). NCBI lineage: Eukaryota > Metazoa > Chordata > Mammalia > Primates > Hominidae > Homo > Homo sapiens. Next base: position 51,734,464 of record NC_000004.12, on the reverse strand, counting down.
AGTTGAATACACACATCACAAACAAGTTTCTGAGAATGCTTCTGTCTAGTTTTTATGGGAAGATATTTCCTTTTTCACCATAGGCCTCAAAGCGCTCGAAATGTCCGCTTCCAGATAGTGCAGAAAGAGTGTTTCAAACGTGCTCTATAAAAGGGAATATTCAACTCTGTGACTTGAATGGAAACATCACAAAGCAGTTTCTGAGAATGCTTCCCTCTAGATTTTATATGGAGATATTCCCTTTTCCAACGAAATCTTCAAATCTATCTAAATATCAACTTGCAGATTCTACTCAAGGAATGTTTCCAAAATGCTGTATCCAGGCAATGGTTCAACTCTGTTAATTGAGGACATACAGCACAAAGAAGTTTCTGAGAATGCTTCTGTCTAGATTTTATATGAAGATATCCCGTTTCCAACGAAATCCTCAAAGCTATCCAAATATCCACTTGCAGATTCTACAAAAAGATTGTTTCAAAACTGCTGTGTCAAAAGGAAGGTTCAACTCTGTTACTTGAGTACACACATCAAAAAGAAGTTTCTGAGAATGCTTGTTTCTGGTTTTTATGAGAAGATATTTCCTTTTTCACCATAGGCCTCAAAGCGCTGCAAATGTCCACTTCCAAATATTACAAAAAGAGTGTTTCTAACCTGCTCTATGAAAGGAAGTTTTCAACTCTATGAGTGGAATGCAAACATCACAGAGAAGTTTCTGAGAATGCATCTGTCTTGAGTTTCTATGAAGAAATTCCCGTTTCCAACGAAATCTTAAAATCTATCCAAATATCCACCTGCAGATTCTACAAAGGGAGTGTTTCCAAAATGCTGTATCAAAACAAAGGTTCAACTGTGTTCGTTTAGGACACACATCACCAATAAGTTTCTGAGAATCCTTCTGTCTAGTTTTTATTTGAAGATATTTCCTTTCTCCCCATAGGCCTGAAAGCGCTTGAAATGTCCACTTCCAGATAGTACAGAAAGAGTGTTTCAAACCTGCACTATGAAAAGGAATGTTCAATTCTGTGACTTGAATGGAAACATCAGAAAGAAGTTCCTGAGAATGCTTCTCTCTAGAATTTATACGTCATCCCGTTTCCAACGAAATCCACAAAGCTATCCAATTATCCACTTTCAGATTCCACAAAAAGAGTGTTTTAAAATTGCTCTGTAACAGAAATGTTCAACTCTGGTAGTTGAATACACACATCACAAACAAGTTTCTGAGACGGCTTCTGTCTAGTTTTTATGGGAAGATATTTCCTTTTAACCATAGGCCTCAAAGAGCTCGAAATATCCACTTCCAGGTAGTGCCGAAAGAGTGTTTCAAACCTACTCTATAAAAGGGAATATTCAACTCTGTGACTTGAATGCAAACATCACAAAGCAGTTTCTGAGAATGCTTCCGTCTAGATTTTATATGAAGATATTCCCGTTTCCAACGAAATCTTCAAAGCTATCTAAATATCAACTTGCAGATTCTACTAAAGGAATGTTTCCAAAATGCTGTATCCAAGCAATGGTTCAACTCTGTTAATTGAGGACATACAGCACAAAGAAGTTTCTGAGAATGCTCCTGTCTGGATTTTATAGGAAGATAACCCGTTTCCAACGAAATCCTCAAAGCTATCCAAATATCCACTTGCAGATTCTACCAAAAGAGTGTTTCAAAACTGCTCTGTCAAAAGGAAGGTTCAACACTGTTACTTGAGTACACACAACACAAAGAAGTTTCTGAGAATGCTTCTTTCTGGTTTTTATGAGAAGATATTTCCTTTTTCACCATAGGCCTCAAAGCGCTCGAAATGTCCGCTTCCAGGTAGTGCAGAAAGAGTGTTTCAAACCTGCTCTATGAAAGGAAGTGTTCAACTCTACTGAGTTGAATGCAAACATCACAGAGATGTTTCCGAGAATGCTTCTGTCTTGATTTTATATGAAGATATTCCGGTTTCCAACGAAATCTTCAAAGCTATCCAAATATCCACCTGCAGATTCTACAAAAGGAGTGTTTCCAAAATGCTGTATCAAAACAAAGGTTCAACTCTGTTAGTTGAGGACACACATCACAAATAAGTTTCTGAGAATGCTTCTGTCTAGTTTTTATTTGAAGGTATTTCCTTTCTCTCCATAGGCCTGAAAGCGCTTGAAATGCCCACTTCCAGATACTAGAGAAAGAGTGTTTCAAACCTGCTCTATGAAAGGGAATGTTCAATTCTGTGACTTGAATGCAAACATCACAAAGAAGTTCCTGAGAATGCTTCTCTCTAGATATTATATGTCATCCCGTTTCCAACGAAATCCTCAAAGCTATCCAAATATCCACTTGCAGATTCTACAAAAAGAGTGTTTCAAAACTGCTCTGTCAAAAGGATGGTTCAACACTGTTACATGAGTACACACAACACAAAGAAGTTTCTGAGAATGCTTCTTTCTGGTTTCTATGAGAAGATATTTCCTTTTTCACCATAGGCCTCAAAGCGCTCGAAATGTCCTCTTCCAGGTAGTGCAGAAAGAGTGTTTCAAACCTGCTCTATGAAAGGAAGTGTACAACTCCATGAGCTGAATGCAAACATCACTGAGAAGTTTCTGAGAATGCTTCTGTTTGATTTTATATGAAGAAATTCCCGTTTCCAACGAAATCTTCAGAGCTATCCACATATCCACCTGCAGATTCTACAAAAGGAGTGTTTCCAAAATGCTGTATCAAAACCAAGGTTCAACTCTGTTAGTTGAGGACACACATCACAAATAAGTTTCTGAGAATGCTCTGTCTAGATTTTATATGAAGATATCCCCTTTCCAACGAATCCCTCTAAGCTATCCAAATATCCACCTGCAGATTCTACAAAAAGAGTGTTTCCAAAATGCTGTATCAAAACAAAGTTTCAACTCTGTTAGTTGAGGACACACATCACAAATAAGTTTCTGAGGATGCTTTCTGTCTAGTTTTTATTCGAAGATATTTCCTTTCTCACCATAGGCCTGAAAGCGCTTGAAATGTCCACTTCCAGATCCTACAGAATGAGTGTTTCAAACCTGCTCTATCAAAGTGAATGTTCAATTCTGTGACTTCAATGCAAACATCACAAAGAAGTTCCTGAGAATGCTTCTCTCTAGATTTTATACGTAATCCCGCTTCCAACGAAATCCTCAGAGCCATCCGAATATCCACTTTCTGATTCCACAAAAAGAGTGTTTTAAAACGGCTCTGTAAAAACAAAAGTTCAACTCTGTTAGTTGAATACACACATCACAAACAAGTTTCTGAGAATGCTTCTGTCTAGTTTTTATGGGACGATATTTCCTTTTTCACCATAGGCCTCAAAGCGCTCGAAATGTCCACTTCCAGATAGTGCAGAAAGAGTGTTTCAAACGTGCTCTATAAAAGGGAATATTCAACTCTGTGACTTGAATGGAAACATCACAAAGCAGTTTCTGAGAATGCTTCCGTCTAGATTTTATATGAAGATATTCCCGTTTCCAACGAAATCTTCAAATATATCTAAATATCAACTTGCAGATTCTACTAAAGGAATATTTCCAAAATGCTGTATCCAAGCAATGGTTCAACTCTGTTAATTGAGGACATACAGCACAAAGAAGTTTCTGAGAATGCTTCTGTCTAGATTTTATATGAAGATATCCCGTTTCCAACGAAATCCTCAAAGCTATCCAAATATCCACTTGCAGATTCTACAAAAAGATTGTTTCAAAACTGCTGTGTCAAAAGGAAGGTTCAACTCTGTTACTTGAGTACACACATCAAAAAGAAGTTTCTGAGAATGCTTGTTTCTGGTTTTTATGAGAAGATATTTCCTTTTTCACCATAGGCCTCAAAGCGCTGCAAATGTCCACTTCCAAATATTACAAAAAGAGTGTTTCAAACCTGCTCTATGAAAGGAAGTTTTCAACTCTGTGAGTGGAATGCAAACATCACAGAGAAGTTTCTGAGAATGCATCTGTCTTGAGCTTCTATGAAGAAATTCCCGTTTCCAACGAAATCTTAAAATCTATCCAAATATCCACCTGCAGATCCTACAAAAGGAGTGTTTCCAAAATGCTGTATCAAAACAAAGGTTCAACTGTGTTCGTTTAGGACACACATCACAAATAAGTTTCTGAGAATCCTTCTGTCTAGTTTTTATTTCAAGATATTTCCTTTCTCCCCATAGGCTTGAAAGCGCTTGAAATGTCCACTTCCAGATACTACAGAGTGTTTCAAACCTGCACTATGAAAAGGAATGTTCAATTCTGTGACTTGAATGCAAACATCAGAAAGAAGTTCCTGAGAATGCTTCTCTCTAGATTTTATACGTCATCCCGTTTCCAACGAAATCCACAAAGCTATCCAATTATCCACTTTCAGATTCCACAAAAAGAGTGTTTTAAAATTGCTCTGTAACAGAAATGTTCAACTCTGTTAGTTGAATACACACATCACAAACAAGTTTCTGAGACGGCTTCTGTCTAGTTTTTATGGGAAGATATTTCCTTTTAACCATAGGCCTCAAAGAGCTCGAAATATCCACTTCCAGGTAGTGCCGAAAGAGTGTTTCAAACCTACTCTATAAAAGGGAATATTCAACTCTGTGACTTGAATGCAAACATCACAAAGCAGTTTCTGAGAATGCTTCCGTCTAGATTTTCTATGAAGATATTCCCGTTTCCAACGAAATCTTCAAAGCTATCTAAATATCAACTTGCAGATTCTACTAAAGGAATGTCTCCAAAATGCTGTATCCAAACAAAGGTTCAGCTCTGTGAATTGAGGACATACAGCACAAAGAAGTTTCTGAGAATGCTCCTGTCTGGATTTTATAGGAAGATAACCCGTTTCCAACGAAATCCTCAAAGCTATCCAAATATCCACTTGCAGATTCTACCAAAAGAGTGTTTCAAAACTGCTCTGTCAAAAGGAAGGTTCAACACTGTTACTTGAGTACACACAACACAAAGAAGTTTCTGAGAATGCTTCTTTCTGGTTTTTATGAGAAGATATTTCCTTTTTCACCATAGGCCTCAAAGCGCCCGAAATGTCCGCTTCCAGGTAGTGCAGAAAGAGTGTTTCAAACCTGCTCTATGAAAGGAAGTGTTCAACTCTACTGAGTTGAATGCAAACATCACAGAGATGTTTCCGAGAATGCTTCTTTCTTGATTTTATATGAAGATATTTCCGTTTCCAACAAAATCTTCAAAGCTATCCAAATATCCACCCGCAGATTCTACAAAAACAGTGTTTCCAAAATGCTGTATCAAAACAAAGGTTCAACTCTGTTAGTTGGGGACACACATCACTAATAAGTTTCTGAGAATGTTTCTGTCTAGTTTTTATTTGAAGGTATTTCCTTTCTCTCCATAGGCCTGAAAGCGCTTGAAATGCCCACTTCCAGATACTAGAGAAAGAGTGTTTCAAACCTGCTCTATGAAAGGGAATGTTCAATTCTGTGACTTGAATGCAAACATCACAAAGAAGTTCCTGAGAATGCTTCTGTCTAGATTTAATATGAAGATAACCCGTTTCCAACGAAATCCTCAAAGCTATCCAAATATCCACTTGCAGATTCTACAAAAAGAGTGTTTCAAAACTGCTCTGTCAAAAGGATGGTTCAACACTGTTACATGAGTACACACAACACAAAGAAGTTTCTGAGAACGCTTCTTTCTGGTTTCTATGAGAAGATATTTCCTTTTTCACCATAGGACTCAAAGCGCTCGAAATGTCCTCTTCCAGGTAGTGCAGAAAGAGTGTTTCAAACCTGCTCTATGAAAGGAAGTGTACAACTCCATGAGCTGAATGCAAACATCACTGAGAAGTTTCTGAGAATGCTTCTGTTTGATTTTATATGAAGAAATTCCCGTTTCCAACGAAATCTTCAGAGCTATCCACATATCCACCTGCAGATTCTACAAAAGGAGTGTTTCCAAAATGCTGTATCAAAACCAAGGTTCAACTCTGTTAGTTGAGGACACACATCACAAATAAGTTTCTGAGAATGCTTCTGTCTAGATTTTATATGAAGATATCCCCTTTCCAACGAATCCCTCTAAGCTATCCAAATATCCACCTGCAGATTCTACAAAAAGAGTGTTTCCAAAATGCTGTATCAAAACAAAGTTTCAACTCTGTTAGTTGAGGACACACATCACAAATAAGTTTCTGAGGATGCTTCTGTCTAGTTTTTATTCGAAGATATTTCCTTTCTCACCATAGGCCTGAAAGCGCTTGAAATGTCCACTTCCAGATACTACAGAATGAGTGTTTCAAACCTGCTCTATCAAAGTGAATGTTCAATTCTGTGACTTCAATGCAAACATCAGAAAGAAGTTCCTGAGAATGCTTCTCTCTAGATTTTATATGTAATCCCGCTTCCAACGAAATCCTCAGAGCCATCCGAATATCCACTTTCTGATTCCACAAAAAGAGTGTTTTAAAACGGCTCTGTAAAAACAAAAGTTCAACTCTGTTAGTTGAATACACACATCACAAACAAGTTTCTGAGAATGCTTCTGTCTAGTTTTTATGGGAAGATATTTCCTTTTTCACCATAGGCCTCAAAGCGCTCGAAATGTCCGCTTCCAGATAGTGCAGAAAGAGTGTTTCAAACGTGCTCTATAAAAGGGAATATTCAACTCTGTGACTTGAATGGAAACATCACAAAGCAGTTTCTGAGAATGCTTCCCTCTAGATTTTATATGGAGATATTCCCTTTTCCAACGAAATCTTCAAATCTATCTAAATATCAACTTGCAGATTCTACTCAAGGAATGTTTCCAAAATGCTGTATCCAAGCAATGGTTCAACTCTGTTAATTGAGGACATACAGCACAAAGAAGTTTCTGAGAATGCTTCTGTCTAGATTTTATATGAAGATATCCCGTTTCCAACGAAATCCTCAAAGCTATCCAAATATCCACTTGCAGATTCTACAAAAAGATTGTTTCAAAACTGCTGTGTCAAAAGGAAGGTTCAACTCTGTTACTTGAGTACACACATCAAAAAGAAGTTTCTGAGAATGCTTGTTTCTGGTTTTTATGAGAAGATATTTCCTTTTTCACCATAGGCCTCAAAGCGCTGCAAATGTCCACTTCCAAATATTACAAAAAGAGTGTTTCAAACCTGCTCTATGAAAGGAAGTTTTCAACTCTATGAGTGGAATGCAAACATCACAGAGAAGTTTCTGAGAATGCATCTGTCTTGAGTTTATATGAAGAAATTCCCGTTTCCAATGAAATCTTAAAATCTATCCAAATATCCACCTGCAGATTCTACAAAAGGAGTGTTTCCAAAATGCTGTATCAAAACAAAGGTTCAACTGTGTTCGTTTAGGACACACATCACAAATAAGTTTCTGAGAATCCTTCTGTCTAGTTTTTATTTGAAGATATTTCCTTTCTCCCCGTAGGCCTGAAAGCGCTTGAAATGTCCACTTCCAGATACTACAGAAAGAGTGTTTCAAACCTGCACTCTGAAAAGGAATGTTCAATTCTGTGACTTGAATGCAAACATCAGAAAGAAGTTCCTGAGAATGCTTCTCTCTAGATTTTAAACGTAATCCCGTTTCCAACGAAATCCACTAAGCTATCCAATTATCCACTTTCAGATTCCACCAAAAGAGTGTTTTAAAACTGCTCTGTAAAAAGAAATGTTCAACGCTCTTAGTTGAATACACACATCTCAAACAAGTTTCTGAGAAGGCTTCTGTCTAGTTTTTATGGGAAGATATTTCCTTTTAACCATAGGCCTCAAAGAGCTCGAAATATCCACTTCCAGGTAGTGCCGAAAGAGTGTTTCAAACCTACTCTATAAAAGGGAATATTCAACTCTGTGACTTGAATGCAAACATCACAAAGCAGTTTCTGAGAATGCTTCCGTCTAGATTTTATATGAAGATATTCCCGTTTCCAACGAAATCTTCAAATCTATCTAAATATCAACTTGCAGATTCTACTAAAGGAATGTTTCCAAAATGCTGTATCCAAGCAATGGTTCAACTCTGTGAATTGAGGACATACAGCACAAAGAAGTTTCTGAGAATGCTCCTGTCTGGATTTTATATGAAGATAACCCGTTTCCAACGAAATCCTCAAAGCTATCCAAATATCCACTTGCAGATTCTACCAAAAGAGTGTTTCAAAACTGCTCTGTCAAAAGGAAGGTTCAACACTGTTACTTGAGTACACACAACACAAAGAAGTTTCTGAGAATGCTTCTTTCTGGTTTTTATGAGAAGATATTTCCTTTTTCACCATAGGCCTCAAAGCGCTCGAAATGTCCGCTTCCAGGTAGTGCAGAAAGAGTGTTTCAAACCTGCTCTATGAAAGGAAGTGTTCAACTCTACTGAGTTGAATGCAAACATCACAGAGATGTTTCCGAGAATGCTTCTGTCTTGATTTTATATGAAGATATTCCGGTTTCCAACGAAATCTTCAAAGCTATCCAAATATCCACCTGCAGATTCTACAAAAGGAGTGTTTCCAAAATGCTGTATCAAAACAAAGGTTCAACTCTGTTAGTTGAGGACACACATCACAAATAAGTTTCTGAGAATGCTTCTGTCTAGTTTTTATTTGAAGGTATTTCCTTTCTCTCCATAGGCCTGAAAGCGCTTGAAATGCCCACTTCCAGATACTAGAGAAAGAGTGTTTCAAACCTGCTCTATGAAAGGGAATGTTCAATTCTGTGACTTGAATGCAAACATCACAAAGAAGTTCCTGAGAATGCTTCTCTCTAGATATTATATGTCATCCCGTTTCCAACGAAATCCTCAAAGCTATCCAAATATCCACTTGCAGATTCTACAAAAAGAGTGTTTCAAAACTCCTCTGTCAAAAGGATGGTTCAACACTGTTACATGAGTACACACAACACAAAGAAGTTTCTGAGAATGCTTCTTTCTGGTTTCTATGAGAAGATATTTCCTTTTTCACCATAGGACTCAAAGCGCTCGAAATGTCCTCTTCCAGGTAGTGCAGAAAGAGTGTTTCAAACCTGCTCTATGAAAGGAAGTGTTCAACTCCATGAGCTGAATGCAAACATCACTGAGAAGTTTCTAAGAATGCTTCTGTTTGATTTTATATGAAGAAATTCCCGTTTCCAACGAAATCTTCAAAGCTATCCACATATCCACCTGCAGATTCTACAAAAGAAGTGTTTCCAAAATGCTGTATCAAAACGAAGGTTCAACTCTGTTAGTTGAGGACACACATCACAAATAAGTTTCTGAGAATGCTTCTGTCTAGATTTTATATGAAGATATCCCCTTTCCAACGAATCCCTCTAAGCTATCAAAATATCCACCTGCAGATTCTACAAAAAGAGTGTTTCCAAAATGCTGTATCAAAACAAAGTTTCAACTCTGTTAGTTGAGGACACACATCACAAATAAGTTTCTGAGGATGCTTCTGTCTAGTTTTTATTCGAAGATATTTCCTTTCTCACCATAGGCCTGAAAGCGCTTGAAATGTCCACTTCCAGATACTACAGAATGAGTGTTTCAAACCTGCTCTATCAAAGTGAATGTTCAATTCTGTGACTTCAATGCAAACATCACAAAGAAGTTCCTGAGAATGCTTCTCTCTAGATTTTATACGTAATCCCGCTTCCAACGAAATCCTCAGAGCCATCCGAATATCCACTTTCTGATTCCACAAAAAGAGTGTTTTAAAACGGCTCTGTAAAAACAAAAGTTCAACTCTGTTAGTTGAATACACACATCACAAACAAGTTTCTGAGAATGCTTCCATCTAGTTTTTATGGGAAGATATTTCCTTTTTCACCATAGGCCTCAAAGCGCTCGAAATCTCCACTTCCAGGGAGTGCAGAAAGAGTGTTTCGAACCTGCTCTGTAAAAGATTATTTAACTCTGTGACTTGAATGCAAACATCACAAAGCAGTTTCTGACAATGCTTCCGTCTAGATTTTATATGAAGATATTCCCGTTTCCAACGAAATCTTCAAATCTATCTAAATATCAACTTGCAGATTCTACTAAAGGAATGTTTCCAAAATGCTGTATCCAAGCAATGGTTCAACTCTGTTAATTGAGGACATACAGCACAAAGAAGTTTCTGAGAATGCTTCTGTCTAGATTTTATATGAAGATATCCCGTTTCCAACGAAATCCTCAAAGCTATCCAAATATCCACTTGCAGATTCTACAAAAAGATTGTTTCAAAACTGCTGTGTCAAAAGGAAGGTTCAACTCTGTTACTTGAGTACACACATCAAAAAGCAGTTTCTGAGAATGCTTGTTTCTGGTTTTTATGAGAAGATATTTCCTTTTTCACCATAGGCCTCAAAGCGCTGCAAATGTCCACTTCCAAATATTACAGAAAGAGTGTTTCAAACCTGCTCTATGAAAGGAAGTTTTCAACTCTATGAGTGGAATGCAAACATCACAGAGAAGTTTCTGAGAATGCATCCGTCTTGAGTTTCTATGAAGAAATTCCCGTTTCCAACGAAATCTTAAAATCTATCCAAATATCCACCTGCAGATTCTACAAAAGGAGTGTTTCCAAAATGCTGTATCAAAACAAAGGTTCAACTGTGTTCGTTTAGGACACACATCACAAATAAGTTTCTGAGAAGCCTTCTGTCTAGTTTTTATTTGAAGATATTTCCTTCCTCCCCAGAGGCCTGAAAGCGCTTGAAATGTCCCCTTCCAGATACTACAGAAAGAGTGTTTCAAACCTGCACTATGAAAAGGAATGTTCAATTCTGTGACTTGAATGCAAACATCAGAAAGAAGTTCCTGAGAATGTTTCTCCCTAGATTTTATTCGTAATCCCGTTTCCAACGAAATCCACAAAGCTATCCAGTTATCCACTTTCAGATTCCACAAAAAGATTGTTTTAAAACTGCTCTGTAAAAAGAAATGTTCAACGCTCTTAGTTGAATACACACATCTCAAACAAGTTTCTGAGAAGGCTTCTGTCTAGTTTTTATGGGAAGATATTTCCTTTTAACCATAGGCCTCAAAGAGCTCGAAATATCCACTTCCAGGTAGTGCCGAAAGAGTGTTTCAAACCTACTCTATAAAAGGGAATATTCAACTCTGTGACTTGAATGCAAACATCACAAAGCAGTTTCTGAGAATGCTTCCGTCTAGATTTTCTATGAAGATATTCCCGTTTCCAACGAAATCTTCAAAGCTATCTAAATATCAACTTGCAGATTCTACTAAAGGAATGTCTCCAAAATGCTGTATCCAAACAAAGGTTCAGCTCTGTGAATTGAGGACATACAGCACAAAGAAGTTTCTGAGAATGCTCCTGTCTGGATTTTATAGGAAGATAACCCGTTTCCAACGAAATCCTCAAAGCTATCCAAATATCCACTTGCAGATTCTACCAAAAGAGTGTTTCAAAACTACTCTGTCAAAAGGAAGGTTCAACACTGTTACTTGAGTACACACAACACAAAGAAGTTTCTGAGAATGCTTCTTTCTGGTTTTTATGAGAAGATATTTCCTTTTTCACCATAGGCCTCAAAGCGCTCGAAATGTCCACTTCCATGGTAGTGCAGAAAGAGTGTTTCAAACCTGCTCTATGAAAGGAAGTGTTCAACTCCATGAGCTGAATGCAAACATCACAGAGAAGTTTCTGAGAATGCTTCTGTCTTGATTTTATATGAAGATATTCCGGTTTCCAACGAAATCTTCAAAGCTATCCAAATATCCACCTGCAGATTCTACAAAAGGAGTGTTTCCAAAATGCTGTATCAAAACAAAGGTTCAACTCTGTTAGTTGAGGACACACATCACAAATAAGTTTCTGAGAATGCTTCTGTCTAGTTTTTATTTGAAGGTATTTCCTTTCTCTCCATAGGCCTGAAAGCGCTTGAAATGCCCACTTCCAGATACTAGAGAAAGAGTGTTTCAAACCTGCTCTATGAAAGGGAATGTTCAATTCTGTGACTTGAATGCAAACATCACAAAGAAGTTCCTGAGAATGCTTCTCTCTAGATATTATATGTCATCCCGTTTCCAACGAAATCCTCAAAGCTATCCAAATATCCACTTGCAGATTCTACAAAAAGAGTGTTTCAAAACTGCTCTGTCAAAAGGATGGTTCAACACTGTTACATGAGTACACACAACACAAAGAAGTTTCTGAGAATGCTTCTTTCTGGTTTTTATGAGAGGATATTTCCTTTTTCACCATAGGCCTCAAAGCGCTCGAAATGTCCACTTCCAGGTAGTGCAGAAAGAGTGTTTCAAACCTGCTCTATGAAAGGAAGTGTTCAACTCCATGAGCTGAATGCAAACATCACAGAGAAGTTCCTGAGAATGCTTCTATTTGATTTTATATGAAGAAATACCCGTTTCCAACGAAATCTTCAGAGCTATCCACATATCCACCTGCAGATTCTACAAAAGGAGTGTTTCCAAAATGCTGTATCAAAACCAAGGTTCAACTCTGTTAGTTGAGGACACACATCACAAATAAGTTTCTGAGAATGCTTCTGTCTAGATTTTATATGAAGATATCCCCTTTCCAACGAATCCCTCTAAGCTATCCAAGTATCCACCTGCAGATTCTACAAAAAGAGTGTTTCCAAAATGCTGTATCAAAACAAAGTTTCAACTCTGTTAGTTGAGGACACACATCACAAATAAGTTTCTGAGGATGCTTCTGTCTAGTTTTAATTTGAAGATATTTCCTTTCTCCCCATAGGCCTGAAAGCGCTTGAAATGTCCACTTCCAGATACTACAGAATGAGTGTTTCAAACCTGCTCTATAAAAGTGAATGTTCAATTCTGTGACTTCAATGCAAACATCACAAAGTAGTTCCTGAGAATGCTTCTCTCTAGATTTTATATGTAATCCCGCTTCCAACGAAATCCTCAGAGACATCCGAATATCCACTTTCAGAATCCACAAAAAGAGTGTTTTAAAACTGCTCTGTAAAAACAAAAGTTCAAGTCTGTTAGTTGAATACACACATCACAAACAAGTTTCTGAGAATGCTTCTGTCTAGTGTTTATGGGAAGATATTTCCTTTTTCACCATAGGCCTCAAAGCGCTCGAAATGTCCACTTCCAAGAAGTCCGGAAAGAGTGTTTCAAACCTGCTCTATAAAAGCAAATATTCAACTCTATGACTTGAATGCAAACATCACAAAGCAGTTTCTGAGAATGCTTCCGTCTAGATTTTATATGAAGATATTCCCGTTTCCAACGAAATCTTCAAATCTATCTAAATATCAACTTGCAGATTCTACTAAAGGAATGTTTCCAAAATGCTGTGTCCAAGCAATGGTTCAACTCTGTTAATTGAGGACATACAGCACAAAGAAGTTTCTGAGAATGCTTCTGTCTAGATTTTATATGAAGATATCCCGTTTCCAACGAAATCCTCAAAGCTATCCAAATATCCACTTGCAGATTCTACAAAAAGATTGTTTCAAAACTGCTGTGTCAAAAGGAAGGTTCAACTCTGTTACTTGAGTACACACATCAAAAAGAAGTTTCTGAGAATGCTTGTTTCTGGTTTTTATGAGAAGATATTTCCTTTTTCACCATAGGCCTCAAAGCGCTGCAAATGTCCACTTCCAAATATTACAAAAAGAGTGTTTCAAACCTGCTCTATGAAAGGAAGTTTTCAACTCTATGAGTGGAATGCAAACATCACAGAGAAGTTTCTGAGAATGCATCTGTCTTGAGTTTATATGAAGAAATTCCCGTTTCCAACGAAATCTTAAAATCTATCCAAATATCCACCTGCAGATTCTACAAAGGGAGTGTTTCCAAAATGCTGTATCAAAACAAAGGTTCAACTGTGTTCGTTTAGGACACACATCACCAATAAGTTTCTGAAAATCCTTCTGTCTAGTTTTTATTTGAAGATATTTCCTTTCTCCCCATAGGCCTGAAAGCGCTTGAAATGTCCACTTCCAGATACTACAGAAAGAGTGTTTCAAACCTGCACTATGAAAAGGAATGTTCAATTCTGTGACTTGAATGCAAACATCAGAAAGAAGTTCCTGAGAATGCTTCTCTCTAGATTTTACATGAAATCCCGCTTCCAGCGAAATCCTCAAAGCCATCCGAATATCCACTTTCTGATTCCACAAAAAGATTGTCTTAAAACTGCTCCGTAAAAACAAAAGTTCAAGTCTGTTAGTTGAATACACACATCATAAACAAGTTTCTGAGAATGCTTCTGTCTAGTTTTTATGGGAAGATATTTCCTTTTTCACCATAGGCCTCAAAGCGCTCGAAATGTCCACTTCCAGATAGTGCAGAAAGAGTGTTTCAAACGTGCTCTATAAAAGAGAATATTCAACTCTGTGACTTGAATGGAAACATCACAAAGCAGTTTCTGAGAATGCCTCCCTCTAGATTTTATATGGAGATATTCCCTTTTCCAACGAAATCTTCAAATCTATCTAAATATCAACTTGCAGATTCTACTCAAGGAATGTTTCCAAAATGCTGTATCCAAGCAATGGTTCAACTCTGTTAATTGAGGACATACAGCACAAAGAAGTTTCTGAGAATGCTTCTGTCTAGATTTTATATGAAGATATCCCGTTTCCAACGAAATCCTCAAAGCTATCCAAATATCCACTTGCAGATTCTACAAAAAGATTGTTTCAAAACTGCTGTGTCAAGAGGAAGGTTCAACTCTGTTACTTGAGTACACACATCAAAAAGAAGTTTCTGAGAATGCTTGTTTCTGGTTTTTATGAGAAGATATTTCCTTTTTCACCATAGGCCTCAAAGCGCTGCAAATGTCCACTTCCAAATATTACAAAAAGAGTGTTTCAAACCTGCTCTATGAAAGGAAGTTTTCAACTCTATGAGTGGAATGCAAACATCACAGAGAAGTTTCTGAGAATGCATCTGTCTTGAGTTTATATGAAGAAATTCCCGTTTCCAACGAAATCTTAAAATCTATCCAAATATCCACCTGCAGATTCTACAAAGGGAGTGTTTCCAAAATGCTGTATCAAAACAAAGGTTCAACTGTGTTCGTTTAGGACACACATCACCAATAAGTTTCTGAGAATCCTTCTGTCTAGTTTTTATTTGAAGATATTTCCTTTCTCCCCATAGGCCTGAAAGCGCTGGAAATGTCCACTTCCAGATACTACAGAAAGAGTGTTTCAAACCTGCACTATGAAAAGGAATGTTCAATTCTGTGACTTGAATGCAAACATCAGAAACAAGTTCCTGAGAATGCTTCTCTCTAGACTTTATACGTCATCCCGTTTCCAACGAAATCCACAAAGCTATCCAATTATCCACTTTCAGGTTCCACAAAAAGAGTGTTTTAAAATTGCTCTGTAAAAAGAAATGTTCAACGCTCTTAGTTGAATACACACATCTCAAACAAGTTTCTGAGAAGGCTTCTGTCTAGTTTTTATGGGAAGATATTTCCTTTTAACCATAGGCCTCAAAGAGCTCGAAATATCCACTTCCAGGTAGTGCCGAAAGAGTGTTTCAAACCTACTCTATAAAAGGGAATATTCAACTCTGTGACTTGAATGCAAACATCACAAAGCAGTTTCTGAGAATGCTTCCGTCTAGATTTTCTATGAAGATATTCCCGTTTCCAACGAAATCTTCAAAGCTATCTAAATATCAACTTGCAGATTCTACTAAAGGAATGTCTCCAAAATGCTGTATCCAAACAAAGGTTCAGCTCTGTGAATTGAGGACATACAGCACAAAGAAGTTTCTGAGAATGCTCCTGTCTGGATTTTATATGAAGATAACCCGTTTCCAACGAAATCCTCAAAGCTCTCCAAATATCCACTTGCAGATTCTACCAAAAGAGTGTTTCAAAACTGCTCTGTCAAAAGGAAGGTTCAACACTGTTACTTGAGTACACACAACACAAAGAAGTTTCTGAGAATGCTTCTTTCTGGTTTTTATGAGAAGATATTTCCTTTTTCACCATAGGCCTCAAAGCGCTCGAAATGTCCACTTCCAGGTAGTGCAGAAAGAGTGTTTCAAACCTGCTCTATGAAAGGAAGTGTTCAACTCTACTGAGTTGAATGCAAACATCACAGAGATGTTTCCGAGAATGCTTCTGTCTTGATTTTATATGAAGATATTCCGGTTTCCAACGAAATCTTCAAAGCTATCCAAATATCCACCTGCAGATTCTACAAAAGGAGTGTTTCCAAAATGCTGTATCAAAACAAAGGTTCAACTCTGTTAGTTGAGGACACACATCACAAATAAGTTTCTGAGAATGCTTCTGTCTAGTTTTTATTTGAAGGTATTTCCTTTCTCTCCATAGGCCTGAAAGCGCTTGAAATGCCCACTTCCAGATACTAGAGAAAGAGTGTTTCAAACCTGCTCTATGAAAGGGAATGTTCAATTCTGTGACTTGAATGCAAACATCACAAAGAAGTTCCTGAGAATGCTTCTCTCTAGATATTATATGTCATCCCGTTTCCAACGAAATCCTCAAAGCTATCCAAATATCCACTTGCAGATTCTACAAAAAGAGTGTTTCAAAACTGCTCTGTCAAAAGGATGGTTCAACACTGTTACATGAGTACACACAACACAAAGAAGTTTCTGAGAATGCTTCTTTCTGGTTTTTATGAGAGGATATTTCCTTTTTCACCATAGGCCTCAAAGCGCTCGAAATGTCCACTTCTAGGTAGTGCAGAAAGAGTGTTTCAAACCTGCTCTATGAAAGGAAGTGTTCAACTCCATGAGCTGAATGCAAACATCACAGAGAAGTTTCTGAGAATGCTTCTGTTTGATTTTATATGAAGAAATTCCCGTTTCCAACGAAATCTTCAAAGCTATCCACATATCCACCTGCAGATTCTTCAAAAGGAGTGTTTCCAAAATGCTGTATCAAAACCAAGGTTCAACTCTGTTAGTTGAGGACACACATCACAAATAAGTTTCTGAGAATGCTTCTGTCTAGATTTTATATGAAGATATCCCCTTTCCAACGAATCCCTCTAAGCTATCCAAGTATCCACCTGCAGATTTTACAAAAAGAGTGTTTCCAAAATGCTGTATCAAAACAAAGTTTCAACTCTGTTAGTTGAGGACACACATCACAAATAAGTTTCTGAGGATGCTTCTGTCTAGTTTTTATTCGAAGATATTTCCTTTCTCACCATAGGCCTGAAAGCGCTTGAAATGTCCACTTCCAGATACTACAGAATGAGTGTTTCAAACCTGCTCTATGAAAGGGAATGTTCAATTCTGTGACTTGAATGCAAACATCACAAAGAAGTTCCTGAGAATGCTTCTCTCTAGATTTTATACGTAATCCCGCTTCCAACGAAATCCTCAGAGCCATCCGAATATCCACTTTCTGATTCCACAAAAAGAGTGTTTTAAAACGGCTCTGTAAAAACAAAAGTTCAACTCTGTTAGTTGAATACACACATCACAAACAAGTTTCTGAGAATGCTTCCGTCTAGTTTTTATGGGAAGATATTTCCTTTTTCACCATAGGCCTCAAAGCGCTCGAAATCTCCACTTCCAGGGAGTGCAGAAAGAGTGTTTCAAACCTGCTCTGTAAAAGAATATTTAACTCTGTGACTTGAATGCAAACATCACAAAGCAGTTTCTGACAATGCTTCCGTCTAGATTTTTTATGAAGATATTCCCGTTTCCAACGAAATCTTCAAAGCTATCTAAATATCAACTTGCAGATTCTACTAAAGGAATGTTTCCAAAATGCTGTATCCAAACAAAGGTTCAACTCTGTGAATTGAGGACATACAGCACAAAGAAGTTTCTGAGAATGCTCCTGTCTGGATTTTATAGGAAGATAACCCGTTTCCAACGAAATCCTCAAAGCTCTCCAAATATCCACTTGCAGATTCTACCAAAAGAGTGTTTCAAAACTGCTCTGTCAAAAGGAAGGTTCAACACTGTTACTTGAGTACACACAACACAAAGAAGTTTCTGAGAATGCTTCTTTCTGGTTTTTATGAGAAGATATTTCCTTTTTCACCATAGGCCTCAAAGCGCTCGAAATGTCCGCTTCCAGGTAGTGCAGAAAGAGTGTTTCAAACCTGCTCTATGAAAGGAAGTGTTCAACTCTACTGAGTTGAATGCAAACATCACAGAGATGTTTCCGAGAATGCTTCTGTCTTGATTTTATAGGAAGATATTCCGGTTTCCAACGAAATCTTCAAAGCTATCCACATATCCACCTGCAGATTCTACAAAAGGAGTGTTTCCAAAATGCTGTATCAAAACAAAGGTTCAACTCTGTTAGTTGAGGACACACATCACAAATAAGTTTCTGAGAATGCTTCTGTCTAGTTTTTATTTGAAGGTATTTCCTTTCTCTCCATAGGCCTGAAAGCGCTTGAAATGCCCACTTCCAGATACTAGAGAAAGAGTGTTTCAAACCTGCTCTATGAAAGGGAATGTTCAATTCTGTGACTTGAATGCAAACATCACAAAGAAGTTCCTGAGAATGCTTCTGTCTAGATTTAATATGAAGATAAACCATTTCCAACGAAATCCTCAAAGCTATCCAAATATCCACTTGCAGATTCTACAAAAAGAGTGTTTCAAAACTGCTCTGTCAAAAGGATGGTTCAACACTGTTACATGAGTACACACAACACAAAGAAGTTTCTGAGAATGCTTCCTTCTGGTTTTTATGAGAAGATATTTCCTTTTTCACCATAGGCCTCAAAGCGCTCGAAATGTCCGCTTCCAGGTAGTGCAGAAAGAGTGTTTCAAACCTGCTCTATGAAAGGAAGTGTTCAACTCCATGAGCTGAATGCAAACATCACAGAGAAGTTTCTGAGAATGCTTCTGTTTGATTTTATATGAAGAAATTCCCGTTTCCAACGAAATCTTCAGAGCTATCCACATATCCACCTGCAGATTCTACAAAAGGAGTGTTTCCAAAATGCTGTATCAAAACCAAAGTTCAACTCTGTTAGTTGAGGACACACATCACAAATAAGTTTGCTGAGAATGCTTCTGTCTAGATTTTATATGAAGATATCCCCTTTCCAACGAATCCCTCTAAGCTATCCAAATAGCCACCTGCAGATTCTACAAAAGGAGTGTTTCCAAAAGCCTGTATCAAAACAAAGTTTCAACTCTGTTAGTTGAGGACACACATCACAAATAACTTTCTGAGGATGCTTCTGTCTAGTTTTTATTTGAAGATATCTCCTTTCTCACCATAGGCCTGAAAGCGCTTGAAATGTCCACTTCCAGATACTACAGAATGAGTGTTTCAAACCTGCTCTATAAAAGTGAATGTTCAATTCTGTGACTTGAATGCAAACATCACAAAGAAGTTCCTGAGAATGCTTCTCTCTAGATTTTATATGTAATCCCGCTTCCAACGAAATCCTCAAAGCCATCCGAATATCCACTTTCTGATTCCACAAAAAGAGTGTTTTAAAACGGCTCTGTAAAAACAAAAGTTCAACTCTGTTAGTTGAATACACCCATCACAAACAAGTTTCTGAGAATGCTTCTGTCTAGTTTTTATGGGAAGATATTTCCTTTTTCACCATAGGCCTCAAAGCGCTCGAAATGTCCACTTCCAGATAGCGCAGAAAGAGTGTTTCAAACGTGCTCTATAAAAGGGAATATTCAACTCTGTGACTTGAATGGAAACATCACAAAGCAGTTTCTGAGAATGCTTCCCTCTAGATTTTATATGGAGATATTCCGTTTTCGAACGAAATCTTCAAATCTATCTAAATATCAACTTGCAGATTCTACTCAAGGAATGTTTCCAAAATGCTGTATGCAAGCAATGGTTCAACTCTGTTAATTGAGGTCATACAGCACAAAGAAGTTTCTGAGAATGCTTCTGTCTAGATTTTATATGAAGATATCCCGTTTCCAACGAAATCCTCAAAGCTATCCAAATATCCACTTGCAGATTCTACAAAAAGATTGTTTCAAAACTGCTGTGTCAAAAGGAAGGTTCAACTCTGTTACTTGAGTACACACATCAAAAAGAAGTTTCTGAGAATGCTTGTTTCTGGTTTTTATGAGAAGATATTTCCTTTTTCACCATAGGCCTCAAAGCGCTGCAAATGTCCACTTCCAAATATTACAAAAAGAGTGTTTCAAACCTGCTCTATGAAAGGAAGTTTTCAACTCTATGAGTGGAATGCAAACATCACAGAGAAGTTTCTGAGAATGCATCTGTCTTGAGCTTCTATGAAGAAATTCCCGTTTCCAACGAAATCTTAAAATCTATCCAAATATCCACCTGCAGATCCTACAAAAGGAGTGTTTCCAAAATGCTGTATCAAAACAAAGGTTCAACTGTGTTCGTTTAGGACACACATCACAAATAAGTTTCTGAGAATCCTTCTGTCTAGTTTTTATTTGAAGATATTTCCTTTCTCCCCGTAGGCCTGAAAGCGCTTGAAATGTCCACTTCCAGATACTACAGAAAGAGTGTTTCAAACCTGCACTCTGAAAAGGAATGTTCAATTCTGTGACTTGAATGCAAACATCAGAAAGAAGTTCCTGAGAATGCTTCTCTCTAGATTTTATACGTCATCCCGTTTCCAACGAAATCCACAAAGCTATCCAATTATCCACTTTCAGATTCCACAGAAAGAGTGTTTTAAAATTGCTCTGTAACAGAAATGTTCAACTCTGGTAGTTGAATACACACATCACAAACAAGTTTCTGAGACGGCTTCTGTCTAGTTTTTATGGGAAGATATTTCCTTTTAACCATAGGCCTCAAAGAGCTCGAAATATCCACTTCCAGGTAGTGCCGAAAGAGTGTTTCAAACCTACTCTATAAAAGGGAATATTCAACTCTGTGACTTGAATGCAAACATCACAAAGCAGTTTCTGAGAATGCTTCCGTCTAGATTTTCTATGAAGATATTCCCGTTTCCAACGAAATCTTCAAAGCTATCTAAATATCAACTTGCAGATTCTACTAAAGGAATGTCTCCAAAATGCTGTATCCAAACAAAGGTTCAGCTCTGTGAATTGAGGACATACAGCACAAAGAAGTTTCTGAGAATGCTCCTGTCTGGATTTTATATGAAGATAACCCGTTTCCAACGAATTCCTCAAAGCTCTCCAAATATCCACTTGCAGATTCTACCAAAAGAGTGTTTCAAAACTGCTCTGTCAAAAGGAAGGTTCAACACTGTTACTTGAGTACACACAACACAAAGAAGTTTCTGAGAATGCTTCTTTCTGGTTTTTATGAGAAGATATTTCCTTTTTCACCATAGGCCTCAAAGCGCTCGAAATGTCCGCTTCCAGGTAGTGCAGAAAGAGTGTTTCAAACCTGCTCTATGAAAGGAAGTGTTCAACTCTACTGAGTTGAATGCAAACATCACAGAGATGTTTCCGAGAATGCTTCTGTCTTGATTTTATATGAAGATATTCCGGTTTCCAACGAAATCTTCAAAGCTATCCAAATATCCACCTGCAGATTCTACAAAAGGAGTGTTTCCAAAATGCTGTATCAAAACAAAGGTTCAACTCTGTTAGTTGAGGACACACATCACAAATAAGTTTCTGAGAATGCTTCTGTCTAGTTTTTATTTGAAGGTATTTCCTTTCTCTCCATAGGCCTGAAAGCGCTTGAAATGCCCACTTCCAGATACTAGAGAAAGAGTGTTTCAAACCTGCTCTATGAAAGGGAATGTTCAATTCTGTGACTTGAATGCAAACATCACAAAGAAGTTCCTGAGAATGCTTCTGTCTAGATTTAATATGAAGATAACCCGTTTCCAACGAAATCCTCAAAGCTATCCAAATATCCACTTGCAGATTCTACAAAAAGAGTGTTTCAAAACTGCTCTGTCAAAAGGATGGTTCAACACTGTTACATGAGTACACACAACACAAAGAAGTTTCTGAGAACGCTTCTTTCTGGTTTCTATGAGAAGATATTTCCTTTTTCACCATAGGACTCAAAGCGCTCGAAATGTCCTCTTCCAGGTAGTGCAGAAAGAGTGTTTCAAACCGGCTCTATGAAAGGAAGTGTTCAACTCCATGAGCTGAATGCAAACATCACTGAGAAGTTTCTGAGAATGCTTCTGTTTGATTTTATATGAAGAAATTCCCATTTCCAACGAAATCTTCAGAGCTATCCACATATCCACCTGCAGATTCTACAAAAGGAGTGTTTCCAAAATGCTGTATCAAAACCAAGGTTCAACTCTGTTAGTTGAGGACACACATCACAAATAAGTTTCTGAGAATGCTTCTGTCTAGATTTTATATGAAGATATCCCCTTTCCAACGAATCCCTCTAAGCTATCCAAATATCCACCTGCAGATTCTACAAAAAGAGTGTTTCCAAAATGCTGTATCAAAACAAAGTTTCAACTCTGTTAGTTGAGGACACACATCACAAATAAGTTTCTGAGGATGCTTCTGTCTAGTTTTTATTCGAAGATATTTCCTTTCTCACCATAGGCCTGAAAGCGCTTGAAA
This sequence comes from Homo sapiens, assembly GCF_000001405.40. Classification (NCBI taxonomy): domain Eukaryota; kingdom Metazoa; phylum Chordata; class Mammalia; order Primates; family Hominidae; genus Homo; species Homo sapiens. Next base: position 51,712,070 of record NC_000004.12, on the reverse strand, counting down.
TGTCCACTTCCAGATACTACAGAATGAGTGTTTCAAACCTGCTCTATCAAAGTGAATGTTCAATTCTGTGACTTCAATGCAAACATCACAAAGAAGTTCCTGAGAATGCTTCTCTCTAGATTTTATATGTAATCCCGCTTCCAACGAAATCCTCAGAGCCATCCGAATATCCACTTTCTGATTCCACAAAAAGAGTGTTTTAAAACGGCTCTGTAAAAACAAAAGTTCAACTCTGTTAGTTGAATACACACATCACAAACAAGTTTCTGAGAATGCTTCCGTCTAGTTTTTATGGGAAGATATTTCCTTTTTCACCATAGGCCTCAAAGCGCTCGAAATCTCCACTTCCAGGGAGTGCAGAAAGAGTGTTTCAAACCTGCTCTGTAAAAGAATATTTAACTCTGTGACTTGAATGCAAACATCACAAAGCAGTTTCTGACAATGCTTCCGTCTAGATTTTTTATGAAGATATTCCCGTTTCCAACGAAATCTTCAAAGCTATCTAAATATCAACTTGCAGATTCTACTAAAGGAATGTTTCCAAAATGCTGTATCCAAACAAAGGTTCAACTCTGTGAATTGAGGACATACAGCACAAAGAAGTTTCTGAGAATGCTTCTGTCTAGATTTAATATGAAGATAACCCGTTTCCAACGAAATCCTCAAAGCTATCCAAATATCCACTTGCAGATACTACAAAAAGAGTGTTTCAAAACTGCTCTGTCAAAAGGATGGTTCAACACTGTTACATGAGTACACACAACACAAAGAAGTTTCTGAGAACGCTTCTTTCTGGTTTTTATGAGAAGATATTTCCTTTTTCACCATAGGCCTCAAAGCGCTCGAAACGTCCACTTCCTGGTAGTGCAGAAAGAGTGTTTCAAAGCTGCTCTCTGAAAGGAAGTGTTCAACTCCATGAGCTGAATGGAAACATCACAGAGAAGTTTCTGAGAATGCTTCTGTTTGATTTTATATGAAGAAATTCCCGTTTCCAACGAAATCTTCAAAGCTATCCACATATCCACCTGCAGATTCTACAAAAGGAGTGTTTCCAAAATGCTGTATCAAAACCAAGGTTCAACTCTGTTAGTTGAGGACACACATCACAAATAACTTTCTGAGAATGCTTCTGTCTAGATTTTATATGAATTTATCCCCTTTCCAACGAATCCCTCTAAGCTATCCAAGTATCCACCTGCAGATTCTACAAAAAGAGTGTTTCCAAAATGCTGTATCAAAACAAAGTTTCAACTCTGTTAGTTGAGGACACACATCACAAATAAGTTTCTGAGGATGCTTCTGTCTAGTTTTTATTCGAAGATATTTCCTTTCTCACCATAGGCCTGAAAGCGCTTGAAATGTCCACTTCCAGATACTACAGAATGAGTGTTTCAAACCTGCTCTATCAAAGTGAATGTTCAATTCTGTGACTTCAATGCAAACATCAGAAAGAAGTTTCTGAGAATGCTTCTCTCTAGATTTTATATGTAATCCCGCTTCCAACGAAATCCTCAGAGCCATCCGAATATCCACTTTCTGATTCCACAAAAAGAGTGTTTTAAAACTGCTCTGTAGAAACAAAAGTTCAACTCAGTTGAATACACACATCACAAACAAGTTTCTGAGAATGCTTCCGTCTAGTTTTTATGGGAAGATATTTCCTTTTTCACCATAGGCCTCAAAGCGCTCGAAATCGCCACTTCCAGGGAGTGCAGAAAGAGTGTTTCAAACCTGCTCTGTAAAAGAATATTTAACTCTGTGACTTGAATGCAAACATCACAGAGCAGTTTCTGACAATGCTTCCCTCTAGATTTTATATGGAGATATTCCCTTTTCCAACGAAATCTTCAAATCTATCTAAATATCAACTTGCAGATTCTACTCAAGGAATGTTTCCAAAATGCTGTATCCAGGCAATGGTTCAACTCTGTTAATTGAGGACATACAGCACAAAGAAGTTTCTGAGAATGCTTCTGTCTAGATTTTATATGAAGATATCCCGTTTCCAACGAAATCCTCAAAGCTATCCAAATATCCACTTGCAGATTCTACAAAAAGATTGTTTCAAAACTGCTGTGTCAAAAGGAAGGTTCAACTCTGTTACTTGAGTACACACATCAAAAAGTAGTTTCTGAGAATGCTTGTTTCTGGTTTTTATCAGAAGATATTTCCTTTTTCACCATAGGCCTCAAAGCGCTGCAAATGTCCACTTCCAAATATTACAAAAAGAGTGTTTCAAACCTGTTCTATGAAAGGAAGTTTTCAACTCTATGAGTGGAATGCAAACATCACAGAGAAGTTTCTGAGAATGCATCTGTCTTGAGTTTATATGCAGAAATTCCCGTTTCCAACGAAATCTTAAAATCTATCCAAATATCCACCTGCAGATCCTACAAAAGGAGTGTTTCCAAAATGCTGTATCAAAACAAAGGTTCAACTGTGTTCGTTTAGGACACACATCACAAATAAGTTTCTGAGAATCCTTCTGTCTAGTTTTTATTTGAAGATATTTCCTTTCTCCCCATAGGCCTGAAAGCGCTTGAAATGTCCACTTCCAGAAACTACAGAAAGAGTGTTTCAAACCTGCACTCTGAAAAGGAATGTCAATTCTGTGACTTGAATGCAAACATCAGAAAGAAGTTCCTGAGAATGCTTCTCTCTAGATTTTATACGTCATCCCGTTTCCAACGAAATCCACAAAGCTATCCAATTATCCACTTTCAGATTCCACAAAGAGTGTTTTAAAATTGCTCTGTAACAGAAATGTTCAACTCTGTTAGTTGAATACACACATCACAAACAAGTTTCTGAGACGGCTTCTGTCTAGTTTTTATGGGAAGATATTTCCTTTTAACCATAGGCCTCAAAGAGCTCGAAATATCCACTTCCAGGTAGTGCCGAAAGAGTGTTTCAAACCTACTCTATAAAAGGGAATATTCAACTCTGTGACTTGAATGCAAACATCACAAAGCAGTTTCTGAGAATGCTTCCGTCTAGATTTTCTATGAAGATATTCCCGTTTCCAACGAAATCTTCAAAGCTATCTAAATATCAACTTGCAGATTCTACTAAAGGAATGTCTCCAAAATGCTGTATCCAAACAAAGGTTCAGCTCTGTGAATTGAGGACATACAGCACAAAGAAGTTTCTGAGAATGCTCCTGTCTGGATTTTATATGAAGATAACCCGTTTCCAACGAAATCCTCAAATCTCTCCAAATATCCACTTGCAGATTCTACCAAAAGTGTGTTTCAAAACTGCTCTGTCAAAAGGAAGGTTCAACACTGTTACTTGAGTACACACAACACAAAGAAGTTTCTGAGAATGCTTATCTTTCTGGTTTTTATGAGAAGATATTTCCTTTTTCACCATAGGCCTCAAAGCGCCCGAAATGTCCGCTTCCAGGTAGTGCAGAAAGAGTGTTTCAAACCTGCTCTATGAAAGGAAGTGTTCAACCCTACTGAGTTGAATGCAAACATCACAGAGATGTTTCCGAGAATGCTTCTGTCTTGATTTTATAGGAAGATATTCCGGTTTCCAACGAAATCTTCAAAGCTATCCACATATCCACCTGCAGATTCTACAAAAGGAGTGTTTCCAAAATGCTGTATCAAAACAAAGGTTCAACTCTGTTAGTTGAGGACACACATCACAAATAAGTTTCTGAGAATGCTTCTGTCTAGTTTTTATTTGAAGGTATTTCCTTTCTCTCCATAGGCCTGAAAGCGCTTGAAATGCCCACTTCCAGATACTAGAGAAAGAGTGTTTCAAACCTGCTCTATGAAAGGGAATGTTCAATTCTGTGACTTGAATGCAAACATCACAAAGAAGTTCCTGAGAATGCTTCTCTCTAGATATTATATGTCATCCCGTTTCCAACGAAATCCTCAAAGCTATCCAAATATCCACTTGCAGATTCTACAAAAAGAGTGTTTCAAAACTCCTCTGTCAAAAGGATGGTTCAACACTGTTACATGAGTACACACAACACAACGAAGTTTCTGAGAATGCTTCTTTCTGGTTTCTATGAGAAGATATTTCCTTTTTCACCATAGGACTCAAAGCGCTCGAAATGTCCTCTTCCAGGTAGTGCAGAAAGAGTGTTTCAAACCTGCTCTATGAAAGGAAGTGTACAACTCCATGAGCTGAATGCAAACATCACTGAGAAGTTTCTGAGAATGCTTCTGTTTGATTTTATATGAAGAAATTCCCGTTTCCAATGAAATCTTCAGAGCTATCCACATATCCACCTGCAGATTCTACAAAAGGAGTGTTTCCAAAATGCTGTATCAAAACCAAGGTTCAACTCTGTTAGTTGAGGACACACATCACAAATAAGTTTCTGAGAATGCTTCTGTCTAGATTTTATATGAAGATATCCCCTTTCCAACGAATCCCTCTAAGCTATCCAAATATCCACCTGCAGATTCTACAAAAAGAGTGTTTCCAAAATGCTGTATCAAAACAAAGTTTCAACTCTGTTAGTTGAGGACACACATCACAAATAAGTTTGAGGATGCTTCTGTCTAGTTTTTATTCGAAGATATTTCCTTTCTCACCATAGGCCTGAAAGCGCTTGAAATGTCCACTTCCAGATCCTACAGAATGAGTGTTTCAAACCTGCTCTATCAAAGTGAATGTTCAATTCTGTGACTTCAATGCAAACATCACAAAGAAGTTCCTGAGAATGCTTCTCTCTAGATTTTATATGTAATCCCGCTTCCAACGAAATCCTCAGAGCCATCCGAATATCCACTTTCTGATTCCACAAAAAGAGTGTTTTAAAACGGCTCTGTAAAAACAAAAGTTCAACTCTGTTAGTTGAATACACACATCACAAACAAGTTTCTGAGAATGCTTCTGTCTAGTTTTTATGGGAAGATATTTCCTTTTTCACCATAGGCCTCAAAGCGCTCGAAATGTCCACTTCCAGATAGTGCAGAAAGAGTGTTTCAAACGTGCTCTATAAAAGGGAATATTCAACTCTGTGACTTGAATGGAAACATCACAAAGCAGTTTCTGAGAATGCTTCCGTCTAGATTTTATATGAAGATATTCCCGTTTCCAACGAAATCTTCAAATCTATCTAAATATCAACTTGCAGATTCTACTAAAGGAATGTTTCCAAAATGCTGTATCCAAGCAATGGTTCAACTCTGTTAATTGAGGACATACAGCACAAAGAAGTTTCTGAGAATGCTTCTGTCTAGATTTTATATGAAGATATCCCGTTTCCAACGAAATCCTCAAAGCTATCCAAATATCCACTTGCAGATTCTACAAAAAGATTGTTTCAAAACTGCTGTGTCAAAAGGAAGGTTCAACTCTGTTACTTGAGTACACACATCAAAAAGAAGTTTCTGAGAATGCTTGTTTCTGGTTTTTATGAGAAGATATTTCCTTTTTCACCATAGGCCTCAAAGCGCTGCAAATGTCCACTTCCAAATATTACAAAAAGAGTGTTTCAAACCTGCTCTATGAAAGGAAGTTTTCAACTCTATGAGTGGAATGCAAACATCACAGAGAAGTTTCTGAGAATGCATCTGTCTTGAGTTTATATGAAGAAATTCCCGTTTCCAATGAAATCTTAAAATCTATCCAAATATCCACCTGCAGATTCTACAAAAGGAGTGTTTCCAAAATGCTGTATCAAAACAAAGGTTCAACTGTGTTCGTTTAGGACACACATCACAAATAAGTTTCTGAGAATCCTTCTGTCTAGTTTTTATTTGAAGATATTTCCTTTCTCCCCATAGGCCTGAAAGTGCTTGAAATGTCCACTTCCAAATACTACAGAAAGAGTGTTTCAAACCTGCACTATGAAAAGGAATGTTCAATTCTGTGACTTGAATGGAAACATCAGAAAGAAGTTCCTGAGAATGCTTCTCTCTAGATTTTATACGTCATCCCGTTTCCAACGAAATCCACAAAGCTATCCAATTATCCACTTTCAGATTCCACAAAAAGAGTGTTTTAAAACTGCTCTGTAAAAAGAAATGTTCAACGCTCTTAGTTGAATACACACATCTCAAACAAGTTTACTGAGAAGGCTTTCTGTCTAGTTCTTATGGGAAGATATTTCCTTTTAACCATAGGCCTCAAAGAGCTCGAAATATCCACTTCCAGGTAGTGCCGAAAGAGTGTTTCAAACCTACTCTATAAAAGGGAATATTCAACTCTGTGACTTGAATGCAAACATCACAAAGCAGTTTATGAGAATGCTTCCGTCTAGATTTTCTATGAAGATATTCCCGTTTCCAACGAAATCTTCAAAGCTATCTAAATATCAACTTGCAGATTCTACTAAAGGAATGTCTCCAAAATGCTGTATCCAAACAAAGGTTCAGCTCTGTGAATTGCGGACATACAGCACAAAGAAGTTTCTGAGAATGCTCCTGTCTGGATTTTATAGGAAGATAACCCGTTTCCAACGAAATCCTCAAAGCTATCCAAATATCCACTTGCAGATTCTACCAAAAGAGTGTTTCAAAACTGCTCTGTCAAAAGGAAGGTTCAACACTGTTACTTGAGTACACACAACACAAAGAAGTTTCTGAGAATGCTTCTTTCTGGTTTTTATGAGAAGATATTTCCTTTTTCACCATAGGCCTCAAAGCGCTCGAAATGTCCGCTTCCAGGTAGTGCAGAAAGAGTGTTTCAAACCTGCTCTATGAAAGGAAGTGTTCAACTCTACTGAGTTGAATGCAAACATCACAGAGATGTTTCCGAGAATGCTTCTGTCTTGATTTTATATGAAGATATTCCGGTTTCCAACGAAATCTTCAAAGCTATCCAAATATCCACCTGCAGATTCTACAAAAGGAGTGTTTCCAAAATGCTGTATCAAAACAAAGGTTCAACTCTGTTAGTTGAGGACACACATCACAAATAAGTTTCTGAGAATGCTTCTGTCTAGTTTTTATTTGAAGGTATTTCCTTTCTCTCCATAGGCCTGAAAGCGCTTGAAATGCCCACTTCCAGATACTAGAGAAAGAGTGTTTCAAACCTGCTCTATGAAAGGGAATGTTCAATTCTGTGACTTGAATGCAAACATCACAAAGAAGTTCCTGAGAATGCTTCTGTCTAGATTTAATATGAAGATAACCCGTTTCCAACGAAATCCTCAAAGCTATCCAAATATCCACTTGCAGATTCTACAAAAAGAGTGTTTCAAAACTGCTCTGACAAAAGGATGGTTCAACACTGTTACATGAGTACACACAACACAAAGAAGTTTCTGAGAACCCTTCTTTCTGGTTTCTATGAGAAGATATTTCCTTTTTCACCATAGGACTCAAAGCGCTCGAAATGTCCTCTTCCAGGTAGTGCAGAAAGAGTGTTTCAAACCGGCTCTATGAAAGGAAGTGTTCAACTCCATGAACTGAATGCAAACATCACTGAGAAGTTTCTGAGAATGCTTCTGTTTGATTTTATATGAAGAAATTCCCGTTTCCAACGAAATCTTCAGAGCTATCCACATATCCACCTGCAGATTCTACAAAAGGAGTGTTTCCAAAATGCTGTATCAAAACCAAGGTTCAACTCTGTTAGTTGAGGACACACATCACAAATAAGTTTCTGAGAATGCTTCTGTCTAGATTTTATATGAAGATATCCCCTTTCCAACGAATCCCACTAAGCTATCCAAATATCCACCTGCAGATTCTACAAAAAGAGTGTTTCCAAAATGCTGTATCAAAACAAAGTTTCAACTCTGTTAGTTGAGGACACACATCACAAATAAGTTTCTGAGGATGCTTCTGTCTAGTTTTTATTCGAAGATATTTCCTTTCTCACCATAGGCCTGAAAGCTCTTGAAATGTCCACTTCCAGATACTACAGAATGAGTGTTTCAAACCTGCTCTATCAAAGTGAATGTTCAATTCCGTGACTTCAATGCAAACATCAGAAAGAAGTTGCCTGAGAATGCTTCTCTCTAGCATTTTATATGTAATCCCGCTTCCAACGAAATCCTCAAAGCCATCCGAATATCCACTTTCTGATTCCACAAAAAGATTGTTTTAAAACTGCTCTGTAAAAACAAAAGTTCAAGTCTGTTAGTTGAATACACACATCACAAACAAGTTTCTGAGAATGCTTCCGTCTAGTTTTTATGGGAAGATATTTCCTTTTTCACCATAGGCCTCAAAGCGCTCGAAATCGCCACTTCCAGGGAGTGCAGAAAGAGTGTTTCAAACCTGCTCTGTAAAAGAATATTTAACTCTGTGACTTGAATGCAAACATCACAGAGCAGTTTCTGACAATGCTTCCGTCTAGATTTTATATGAAGATATTCCCGTTTCCAACGAAATCTTCAAATCTATCTAAATATCAACTTGCAGATTCTACTAAAGGAATGTTTCCAAAATGCTGTATCCAAGCAATGGTTCAACTCTGTTAATTGAGGACATACAGCACAAAGAAGTTTCTGAGAATGCTTCTGTCTAGATTTTATATGAAGATATCCCGTTTCCAACGAAATCCTCAAAGCTATCCAAATATCCACTTGCAGATTCTACAAAAAGATTGTTTCGAAACTGCTGTGTCAAGAGGAAGGTTCAACTCTGTTACTTGAGTACACACATCAAAAAGAAGTTTCTGAGAATGCTTGTTTCTGGTTTTTATGAGAAGATATTTCCTTTTTCACCATAGGCCTCAAAGCGCTGCAAATGTCCACTTCCAAATATTACAAAAAGAGTGTTTCAAACCTGCTCTATGAAAGGAAGTTTTCAACTCTATGAGTGGAATGCAAACATCACAGAGAAGTTTCCTGAGAATGCATCTGTCTTGAGTTTATATGAAGAAATTCCCGTTTCCAACGAAATCTTAAAATCTATCCAAATATCCACCTGCAGATTCTACAAAAGGAGTGTTTCCAAAATGCTGTATCAAAACAAAGGTTCAACTGTGTTCTTTTAGGACACACATCACAAATAAGTTTCTGAGAATCCTTCTGTCTAGTTTTTATTTCAAGATATTTCCTTTCTCCCCATAGGCCTGAAAGCGCTTGAAATGTCCACTTCCAGATACTACAGAGTGTTTCAAAACTGCACTATGAAAAGGAATGTTCAATTCTGTGACTTGAATGTAAACATCAGAAAGAATTTCCTGAGAATGCTTCTCTCTAGTATTTTAAACGTAATCCCGTTTCCAACGAAATCCACAAAGCTATCCAATTATCCACTTTCAGATTCCACCAAAAGACTGTTTTAAAACTGCTCTGTAAAAAGAAATGTTCAACGCTCTTAGTTGAATACACACATCTCAAACAAGTTTCTGAGAAGGCTTCTGTCTAGTTTTTATGGGAAGATATTATCTTTTTCACCATAGGCCTCAAAGCGCTCCAAATGTACACCTCCATGTAGTTCAGAAAGAGTGTTACAAACCTGCTCTATAAAAGGGAATATTCAACTCGGTGACTTGAATGCAAACATCACAAAGCAGTTTCTGAGAATGCTTCCGTCTAGATTTTTTATGAAGATATTCCCGTTTCCAACGAAATCTTCAAAGCTATCTAAATATCAACTTGCAGATTCTACTAAAGGAATGTTTCCAAAATGCTGTATCCAAACAAAGGTTCAACTCTGTGAATTGAGGACATACAGCACAAAGAAGTTTCTGAGAATGCTCCTGTCTGGATTTTATAGGAAGATAACCCGTTTCCAACGAAATCCTCAAAGCTATCCAAATATCCACTTGCAGATTCTACCAAAAGAGTGTTTCAAAACTGCTCTGTCAAAAGGAAGGTTCAACACTGTTACTTGAGTACACACAACACAAAGAAGTTTCTGAGAATGCTTCTTTCTGGTTTTTATGAGAAGATATTTCCTTTTTCACCATAGGCCTCAAAGCGCTCGAAATGTCCGCTTCCAGGTAGTGCAGAAAGAGTGTTTCAAACCTGCTCTATGAAAGGAAGTGTTCAACTCTACTGAGTTGAATGCAAACATCACAGAGATGTTTCCGAGAATGCTTCTGTCTTGATTTTATATGAAGATATTCCGGTTTCCAACGAAATCTTCAAAGCTATCCAAATATCCACCTGCAGATTCTACAAAAGGAGTGTTTCCAAAATGCTGTATCAAAACAAAGGTTCAACTCTGTTAGTTGAGGACACACATCACAAATAAGTTTCTGAGAATGCTTCTGTCTAGTTTTTTATTTGAAGGTATTTCCTTTCTCTCCATAGGCCTGAAAGCGCTTGAAATGCCCACTTCCAGATACTAGAGAAAGAGTGTTTCAAACCTGCTCTATGAAAGGGAATGTTCAATTCTGTGACTTGAATGCAAACATCACAAAGAAGTTCCTGAGAATGCTTCTCTCTAGATTTTATATGTCATCCCGCTTCCAACGAAATCCTCAAAGCTATCCAAACTTCCACTTTCAGATTCCACAAAAAGAGTGTTTTAAAACTGCTCTTTAAAGGAAATGTTCAACTCTCCTAGTTGAACACACACATCTCAAACAAGTTTCTGAGAAGGCTTCCGTCTAGTTTTTATGGGAAGATATTTCCTTTTTCACCATAGGCCTCAAAACGCTCGAAATGTCCACTTCCAGGAAGTCCGGAAAGAGTGTTTCAAACCTGCTCTATAAAAGCGAATATTCAACTCTGTGACTTGAATGCAAACATCACAAAGCAGTTTCTGAGAATGCTTCCATCTAGATTTTATATGAAGATATTCCCGTTTCCAACGAAATCTTCAAAGCTATCTAAATATCAACTTGCAGATTCTACTAAAGGAATGTTTCCAAAATGTTGTATCCAAGCAATGGTTCAACTCTGTTAATTGAGGACATACAGCACAAAGAAGTTTCTGAGAATGCTCTGTCTGGATTTTATATGAAGATATCCCGTTTCCAACGAACTCCTCAAATCTATCCAAATATCCACTTGCAGATTCTACAAAAAGATTGTTTCAAAACTGCTGGGTCAATAGGAAGTTTCAACTCTGTTACTTGAGTACACACATCAAAAAGAAGTTTCTGAGAATGCTCTGTTTCTGGTTTTTATGAGAAGATATTTCCTTTTTCACCATAGGCCTCAAAGCGCTGCAAATGTCCACTTCCAAATATTACAAAAAGAGTGTTTCAAACCTGCTCTATGAAAGGAAGTTTTCAACTCTATGAGTGGAATGCAAACATCACAGAGAAGTTTCTGAGAATGCATCTGTCTTGAGTTTATATGAAGAAATTCCCGTTTCCAACGAAATCTTAAAATCTATCCAAATATCCACCTGCAGATTCTACAAAGGGAGTGTTTCCAAAATGCTGTATCAAAACAAAGGTTCAACTGTGTTCGTTTAGGACACACATCACCAATAAGTTTCTGAGAATCCTTCTGTCTAGTTTTTATTTGAAGATATTTCCTTTCTCCCCACAGGCCTGAAAGCGCTTGAAATGTCCACTTCCAGATACTACAGAAAGAGTGTTTCAAACCTGCACTATGAAAAGGAATGTTCAATTCTGTGACTTGAATGCAAACATCAGAAAGAAGTTCCTGAGAATGCTTCTCTCTAGATTTTATACGTAATCCCGTTTCCAACGAAATCCACAAAGCTATCCAATTATCCACTTTCAGATTCCACAAAAAGAGTGTTTTAAAACTGCTCTGTAAAAAGAAATGTTCAACACTCTTAGTTGAATACACACATCTCAAACAAGTTTCTGAGAAGGCTTCCGTCTAGTTTTTATGGGAAGATATTTCCTTTTTCACCATAGGCCTCAAAGCGCTCGAAATCTCCACTTCCAGGGAGTGCAGAGTGTTTCAAACCTGCTCTGTAAAAGAATATTTAACTCTGTGACTTGAATGCAAACATCACAAAGCAGTTTCTGACAATGCTTCCGTCTAGATTTTTTATGAAGATATTCCCGTTTCCAACGAAATCTTCAAAGCTATCTAAATATCAACTTGCAGATTCTACTAAAGGAATGTTTCCAAAATGCTGTATCCAAACAGAGGTTCAACTCTGTGAATTGAGGACATACAGCACAAAGAAGTTTCTGAGAATGCTCCTGTCTGGATTTTATATGAAGATAACCCGTTTCCAACGAAATCCTCAAAGCTATCCAAATATCCACTTGCAGATTCTACCAAAAGAGTGTTTCAAAACTGCTCTGTCAAAAGGAAGGTTCAACACTGTTACTTGAGTACACACAACACAAAGAAGTTTCTGAGAATGCTTCTTTCTGGTTTTTATGAGAAGATATTTCCTTTTTCACCATAGGCCTCAAAGCGCTCGAAATGTCCGCTTCCAGGTAGTGCAGAAAGAGTGTTTCAAACCTGCTCTATGAAAGGAAGTGTTCAACTCTACTGAGTTGAATGCAAACATCACAGAGATGTTTCCGAGAATGCTTCTGTCTTGATTTTATATGAAGATATTCCGGTTTCCAACGAAATCTTCAAAGCTATCCAAATATCCACCTGCAGATTCTACAAAAGGAGTGTTTCCAAAATGCTGTATCAAAACAAAGGTTCAACTCTGTTAGTTGAGGACACACATCACAAATAAGTTTCTGAGAATGCTTCTGTCTAGTTTTTATTTGAAGGTATTTCCTTTCTCTCCATAGGCCTGAAAGCGCTTGAAATGCCCACTTCCAGATACTAGAGAAAGAGTGTTTCAAACCTGCTCTATGAAAGGGAATGTTCAATTCTGTGACTTGAATGCAAACATCACAAAGAAGTTCCTGAGAATGCTTCTCTCTAGATATTATATGTCATCCCGTTTCCAACGAAATCCTCAAAGCTATCCAAATATCCACTTGCAGATTCTACAAAAAGAGTGTTTCAAAACTGCTCTGTCAAAAGGATGGTTCAACACTGTTACATGAGTACACACAACACAACGAAGTTTCTGAGAATGCTTCTTTCTGGTTTCTATGAGAAGATATTTCCTTTTTCACCATAGGACTCAAAGCGCTCGAAATGTCCTCTTCCAGGTAGTGCAGAAAGAGTGTTTCAAACCTGCTCTATGAAAGGAAGTGTACAACTCCATGAGCTGAATGCAAACATCACTGAGAAGTTTCTGAGAATGCTTCTGTTTGATTTTATATGAAGAAATTCCCGTTTCCAACGAAATCTTCAGAGCTATCCACATATCCACCTGCAGATTCTACAAAAGGAGTGTTTCCAAAATGCTGTATCAAAACCAAGGTTCAACTCTGTTAGTTGAGGACACACATCACAAATAAGTTTCTGAGAATGCTTCTGTCTAGATTCTATATGAAGATATCCCCTTTCCAACGAATCCCTCTAAGCTATCCAAATATCCACCTGCAGATTCTACAAAAAGAGTGTTTCCAAAATGCTGTATCAAAACAAAGTTTCAACTCTGTTAGTTGAGGACACACATCACAAATAAGTTTGAGGATGCTTCTGTCTAGTTTTAATTTGAAGATATTTCCTTTCTCCCCATAGGCCTGAAAGCACTTGAAATGTCCACTTCCAGATACTACAGAATGAGTGTTTCAAACCTGCTCTATCAAAGTGAATGTTCAATTCTGTGACTTCAATGCAAACATCACAAAGTAGTTCCTGAGAATGCTTCTCTCTAGATTTTATACGTAATCCCGCTTCCAACGAAATCCTCAGAGCCATCCGAATATCCACTTTCTGATTCCACAAAAAGAGTGTTTTAAAACGGCTCTGTAAAAACAAAAGTTCAACTCTGTTAGTTGAATACACACATCACAAACAAGTTTCTGAGAATGCTTCCGTCTAGTTTTTATGGGAAGATATTTCCTTTTTCACCATAGGCCTCAAAGCGCTCGAAATCTCCACTTCCAGGTAGTGCAGAAAGAGTGTTTCAAACCTGCTCTATAAAAGACTATTTAACTCTGTGACTTGAATGCAAACATCACAAAGCAGTTTCTGACAATGCTTCCGTCTAGATTTTATATGAAGATATTCCTGTTTCCAACGAAATCTTCAAATCTATCTAAATATCAACTTGCAGATTCTACTAAAGGAATGTTTCCAAAATGCTGTATCCAAGCAATGGTTCAACTCTGTTAATTGAGGACATACAGCACAAAGAAGTTTCTGAGAATGCTTCTGTCTAGATTTTATATGAAGATATCCCGTTTCCAACGAAATCCTCAAAGCTATCCAAATATCCACTTGCAGATTCTACAAAAAGATTGTTTCAAAACTGCTGTGTCAAAAGGAAGGTTCAACTCTGTTACTTGAGTACACACATCAGAAAGAAGTTTCTGAGAATGCTTGTTTCTGGTTTTTATGAGAAGATATTTCCTTTTTCACCATAGGCCTCAAAGCGCTGCAAATGTCCACTTCCAAATATTACAAAAAGAGTGTTTCAAACCTGCTCTATGAAAGGAAGTTTTCAACTCTATGAGTGGAATGCAAACATCACAGAGAAGTTTCTGAGAATGCATCTGTCTTGAGTTTATATGAAGAAATTCCCGTTTCCAATGAAATCTTAAAATCTATCCAAATATCCACCTGCAGATTCTACAAAAGGAGTGTTTCCAAAATGCTGTATCAAAACAAAGGTTCAACTGTGTTCGTTTAGGACACACATCACAAATAAGTTTCTGAGAATCCTTCTGTCTAGTTTTTATTTGAAGATATTTCCTTTCTCCCCGTAGGCCTGAAAGCGCTTGAAATGTCCACTTCCAGATACTACAGAAAGAGTGTTTCAAACCTGCACTCTGAAAAGGAATGTTCAATTCTGTGACTTGAATGCAAACATCAGAAAGAAGTTCCTGAGAATGCTTCTCTCTAGATTTTATACGTCATCCCGTTTCCAACGAAATCCACAAAGCTATCCAATTATCCACTTTCAGATTCCACAAAAGAGTGTTTTAAAACTGCTCTGTAAAAAGAAATGTTCAATGCTCTTAGTTGAATACACACATCTCAAACAAGTTTCTGAGAAGGCTTCTGTCTAGTTTTTATGGGAAGATATTTCCTTTTAACCATAGGCCTCAAAGAGCTCGAAATATCCACTTCCAGGTAGTGCCGAAAGAGTGTTTCAAACCTACTCTATAAAAGGGAATATTCAACTCTGTGACTTGAATGCAAACATCACAAAGCAGTTTCTGAGAATGCTTCCGTCTAGATTTTCTATGAAGATATTCCCGTTTCCATCGAAATCTTCAAAGCTATCTAAATATCAACTTGCAGATTCTACTAAAGGAATGTCTCCAAAATGCTGTATCCAAACAAAGGTTCAGCTCTGTGAATTGAGGACATACAGCACAAAGAAGTTTCCTGAGAATGCTCCTGTCTGGATTTTATAGGAAGATAACCTGTTTCCAACGAAATCCTCAAAGCTCTCCAAATATCCACTTGCAGATTCTACCAAAAGAGTGTTTCAAAACTGCTCTGTCAAAAGGAAGGTTCAACACTGTTACTTGAGTACACACAACACAAAGAAGTTTCTGAGAATGCTTCTTTCTGGTTTTTATGAGAAGATATTTCCTTTTTCACCATAGGCCTCAAAGCGCTCGAAATGTCCGCTTCCAGGTAGTGCAGAAAGAGTGTTTCAAACCTGCTCTATGAAAGGAAGTGTTCAACTCTACTGAGTTGAATGCAAACATCACAGAGATGTTTCCGAGAATGCTTCTGTCTTGATTTTATATGAAGATATTCCGGTTTCCAACGAAATCTTCAAAGCTATCCAAATATCCACCTGCAGATTCTACAAAAGGAGTGTTTCCAAAATGCTGTATCAAAACAAAGGTTCAACTCTGTTAGTTGAGGACACACATCACAAATAAGTTTCTGAGAATGCTTCTGTCTAGTTTTTATTTGAAGGTATTTCCTTTCTCTCCATAGGCCTGAAAGCGCTTGAAATGCCCACTTCCAGATACTAGAGAAAGAGTGTTTCAAACCTGCTCTATGAAAGGGAATGTTCAATTCTGTGACTTGAATGCAAACATCACAAAGAAGTTCCTGAGAATGCTTCTCTCTAGATATTATATGTCATCCCGTTTCCAACGAAATCCTCAAAGCTATCCAAATATCCACTTGCAGATTCTACAAAAAGAGTGTTTCAAAACTGCTCTGTCAAAAGGATGGTTCAACACTGTTACATGAGTACACACAACACAAAGAAGTTTCTGAGAATGCTTCTTTCTGGTTTCTATGAGAAGATATTTCCTTTTTCACCATAGGACTCAAAGCGCTCGAAATGTCCTCTTCCAGGTAGTGCAGAAAGAGTGTTTCAAACCGGCTCTATGAAAGGAAGTGTTCAACTCCATGAACTGAATGCAAACATCACTGAGAAGTTTCTGAGAATGCTTCTGTTTGATTTTATATGAAGAAATTCCCGTTTCCAACGAAATCTTCAAAGCTATCCACATATCCACCTGCAGATTCTACAAAAGGAGTGTTTCCAAAATGCTGTATCAAAACCAAGGTTCAACTCTGTTAGTTGAGGACACACATCACAAATAAGTTTCTGAGAATGCTTCTGTCTAGATTCTATATGAAGATATCCCCTTTCCAACGAATCCCTCTAAGCTATCCAAATATCCACCTGCAGATTCTACAAAAAGAGTGTTTCCAAAATGCTGTATCAAAACAAAGTTTCAACTCTGTTAGTTGAGGACACACATCACAAATAAGTTTGAGGATGCTTCTGTCTAGTTTTAATTTGAAGATATTTCCTTTCTCCCCATAGGCCTGAAAGCGCTTGAAATGTCCACTTCCAGATACTACAGCATGAGTGTTTCAAACCTGCTCTATCAAAGTGAATGTTCAATTCTGTGACTTCAATGCAAACATCACAAAGTAGTTCCTGAGAATGCTTCTCTCTAGATTTTATATGTAATCCCGCTTCCAACGAAATCCTCAAAGCCATCCGAATATCCACTTTCTGATTCCACAAAAAGATTGTTTTAAAACTGCTCTGTAAAAACAAAAGTTCAAGTCTGTTAGTTGAATACACACATCACAAACAAGTTTCTGAGAATGCTTCTGTCTAGTTTTTATGGGAAGATATTTCCTTTTTCACCATAGGCCTCAAAGCGCTCGAAAGGTCCACTTCCAGATAGTGCAGAAAGAGTGTTTCAATCGTGCTCTATAAAAGAGAATATTCAACTCTCTGACTTGAATGGAAACATCACAAAGCAGTTTCTGAGAATGCTTCCGTCTAGATTTTCTATGAAGATATTCCCGTTTCCAACGAAATCTTCAAAGCTATCTAAATATCAACTTGCAGATTCTACTCAAGGAATGTTTCCAAAATGCTGTATCCAAGCAATGGTTCAACTCTGTTAATTGAGGACATACAGCACAAAGAAGTTTCTGAGAATGCTCCTGTCTGGATTTTATATGAAGATAACCCGTTTCCAATGAAATCCTCAAAGCTATCCAAATATCCACTTGCAGATTCTACCAAAAGAGTGTTTCAAAACTGCTCTGTCAAAAGGAAGGTTCAACACTGTTACTTGAGTACACACAACACAAAGAAGTTTCTGAGAATGCTTCTTTCTGGTTTTTATGAGAAGATATTTCCTTTTTCACCATAGGCCTCAAAGAGCTCGAAATGTCCGCTTCCAGGTAGGGCAGAAAGAGTGTTTCAAACCTGCTCTATGAAAGGAAGTGTTCAACTCTACTGAGTTGAATGCAAACATCACAGAGATGTTTCCGAGAATGCTTCTGTCTTGATTTTATATGAAGATATTCCGGTTTCCAACGAAATCTTCAAAGCTATCCAAATATCCACCTGCAGATTCTACAAAAGGAGTGTTTCCAAAATGCTGTATCAAAACAAAGGTTCAACTCTGTTAGTTGAGGACACACATCACAAATAAGTTTCTGAGAATGCTTCTGTCTAGTTTTTATTTGAAGGTATTTCCTTTCTCTCCATAGGCCTGAAAGCGCTTGAAATGCCCACTTCCAGACACTAGAGAAAGAGTGTTTCAAACCTGCTCTATGAAAGGGAATGTTCAATTCTGTGACTTGAATGCAAACATCACAAAGAAGTTCCTGAGAATGCTTCTATCTAGATATTATATGTCATCCCGTTTCCAACGAAATCCTCAAAGCTATCCAAATATCCACTTGCAGATTCTACAAAAAGAGTGTTTCAAAACTCCTCTGTCAAAAGGATGGTTCAACACTGTTACATGAGTACACACAACACAAAGAAGTTTCTGAGAATGCTTCTTTCTGGTTTCTATGAGAAGATATTTCCTTTTTCACCATAGGACTCAAAGCGCTCGAAATGTCCTCTTCCAGGTAGTGCAGAAAGAGTGTTTCAAACCTGCTCTATGAAAGGAAGTGTTCAACTCCATGAGCTGAATGCAAACATCACTGAGAAGTTTCTGAGAATGCTTCTGTTTGATTTTATATGAAGAAATTCCCGTTTCCAACGAAATCTTCAAAGCTATCCACATATCCACCTGCAGATTGTACAAAAGGAGTGTTTCCAAAATGCTGTATCAAAACCAAGGTTCAACTCTGTTAGTTGAGGACACAAATCACAATTAAGTTTCTGAGAATGCTTCTGTCTAGATTTTATATGAAGATATCCCCTTTCCAACGAATCCCTCTAAGCTATCCAAATATCCACCTGCAGATTCTACAAAAAGAGTGTTTCCAAAATGCTGTATCAAAACAAAGTTTCAACTCTGTTAGTTGAGGACACACATCACAAATAAGTTTCTGAGGATGCTTCTGTCTAGTTTTAATTTGAAGATATTTCCTTTCTCCCCATAGGCCTGAAAGCGCTTGAAATGTCCACTTCCAGATACTACAGAATGAGTGTTTCAAACCTGCTCTATCAAAGTGAATGTTCAATTCTGTGACTTCAATGCAAACATCACAAAGTAGATCCTGAGAATGCTTCTCTCTAGATTTTATACGTAATCCCGCTTCCAACGAAATCCTCAGAGCCATCCGAATATCCACTTTCTGATTCCACAAAAAGAGTGTTTTAAAACGGCTCTGTAAAAACAAAAGTTCAACTCTGTTAGTTGAATACACACATCACAAACAAGTTTCTGAGAATGCTTCCGTCTAGTTTTTATGGGAAGATATTTCCTTTTTCACCATAGGCCTCAAAGCGCTCGAAATCTCCACTTCCAGGGAGTGCAGAAAGAGTGTTTCAAACCTGCTCTATAAAAGAATATTTAACTCTGTGACTTGAATGCAAACATCACAGAGCAGTTTCTGACAATGCTTCCGTCTAGATTTTTTATGAAGATATTCCCGTTTCCAACGAAATCTTCAAAGCTATCTAAATATCAACTTGCAGATTCTACTAAAGGAATGTTTCCAAAATGCTGTATCCAAACAAAGGTTCAACTCTGTGAATTGAGGACATACAGCACAAAGAAGTTTCTGAGAATGCTCCTGTCTGGATTTTATAGGAAGATAACCCGTTTCCAACGAAATCCTCAAAGCTATCCAAATATCCACTTGCAGATTCTACCAAAAGAGTGTTTCAAAACTGCTCTGTCAAAAGGAAGGTTCAACACTGTTACTTGAGTACACACAACACAAAGAAGTTTCTGAGAATGCTTCTTTCTGGTTTTTATGAGAAGATATTTCCTTTTTCACCATAGGCCTCAAAGCGCCCGAAATGTCCGCTTCCAGGTAGGGCAGAAAGAGTGTTTCAAACCTGCTCTATGAAAGGAAGTGTTCAACTCTACTGAGTTGAATGCAAACATCACAGAGATGTTTCCGAGAATGCTTCTGTCTTGATTTTATATGAAGATATTCCGGTTTCCAACGAAATCTTCAAAGCTATCCAAATATCCCCCTGCAGATTCTACAAAAGGAGTGTTTCCAAAATGCTGTATCAAAACAAAGGTTCAACTCTGTTAGTTGAGGACACACATCACAAATAAGTTTCTGAGAATGCTTCTGTCTAGTTTTTATTTGAAGGTATTTCCTTTCTCTCCATAGGCCTGAAAGCGCTTGAAATGCCCACTTCCAGATACTAGAGAAAGAGTGTTTCAAACCTGCTCTATGAAAGGGAATGTTCAATTCTGTGACTTGAATGCAAACATCACAAAGAAGTTCCTGAGAATGCTTCTCTCTAGATATTATATGTCATCCCGTTTCCAACGAAATCCTCAAAGCTATCCAAATATCCACTTGCAGATTCTACAAAAAGAGTGTTTCAAAACTCCTCTGTCAAAAGGATGGTTCAACACTGTTACATGAGTACACACAACACAAAGAAGTTTCTGAGAATGCTTCTTTCTGGTTTTTATGAGAGGATATTTCCTTTTTCACCATAGGCCTCAAAGCGCTCGAAATGTCCACTTCCAGGTAGTGCAGAAAGAGTGTTTCAAACCTGCTCTATGAAAGGAAGTGTTCAACTCCATGAGCTGAATGCAAACATCACAGAGAAGTTCCTGAGAATGCTTCTGTTTGATTTTATATGAAGAAATTCCCGATTCCAACGAAATCTTCAAAGCTATCCACATATCCACCTGCAGATTCTACAAAAGGAGTGTTTCCAAAATGCTGTATCAAAACCAAGGTTCAACTCTGTTAGTTGAGGGCACACATCACAAATAAGTTTCTGAGAATGCTTCTGTCTAGATTTTATATGAAGATTTCCCCTTTCCAACGAATCCCTCTAAGCTATCCAAATAGCCACCTGCAGATTCTACAAAAGGAGTGTTTCCAAAAGGCTGTATCAAAACAAAGTTTCAACTCTGTTAGTTGAGGACACACATCACAAATAAGTTTCTGAGGATGCTTCGGTCTAGTTTTTATTTGAAGATATTTCCTTTCTCACCATAGGCCTGAAAGCGCTTGAAATGTCCACTTCCAGATACTACAGAATGAGTGTTTCAAACCTGCTCTATAAAAGTGAATGTTCAATTCTGTGACTTCAATGCAAACATCACAAAGAAGTTCCTGAGAATGCTTCTCTCTAGATTTTATACGTAATCCCGCTTCCAACGAAATCCTCAGAGCCATCCGAATATCCACTTTCTGATTCCACAAAAAGAGTGTTTTAAAACGGCTCTGTAAAAACAAAAGTTCAACTCTGTTAGTTGAATACACACATCACAAACAAGTTTCTGAGAATGCTTCTGTCTAGTTTTTATGGGAAGATATTTCCTTTTTCACCATAGGCCTCAAAGCGCTCGAAATGTCCACTTCCAGATAGTGCAGAAAGAGTGTTTCAAACGTGCTCTATAAAAGAGAATATTCAACTCTGTGACTTGAATGGAAACATCACAAAGCAGTTTCTGAGAATGCCTCCCTCTAGATTTTATATGGAGATATTCCGTTTTCGAACGAAATCTTCAAATCTATCTAAATATCAACTTGCAGATTCTACTCAAGGAATGTTTCCAAAATGCTGTATGCAAGCAATGGTTCAACTCTGTTAATTGAGGTCATACAGCACAAAGAAGTTTCTGAGAATGCTTCTGTCTAGATTTTATATGAAGATATCCCGTTTCCAACGAAATCCTCAAAGCTATCCAAATATCCACTTGCAGATTCTACAAAAAGATTGTTTCAAAACTGCTGTGTCAAGAGGAAGGTTCAACTCTGTTACTTGAGTACACACATCAAAAAGAAGTTTCTGAGAATGCTTGTTTCTGGTTTTTATGAGAAGATATTTCCTTTTTCACCATAGGCCTCAAAGCGCTGCAAATGTCCACTTCCAAATATTACAAAAAGAGTGTTTCAAACCTGCTCTATGAAAGGAAGTTTTCAACTCTATGAGTGGAATGCACACATCACAGAGAAGTTTCTGAGAATGCATCTGTCTTGAGCTTCTATGAAGAAATTCCCGTTTCCAACGAAATCTTAAAATCTATCCAAATATCCACCTGCAGATCCTACAAAAGGAGTGTTTCCAAAATGCTGTATCAAAACAAAGGTTCAACTGTGTTCGTTTAGGACACACATCACAAATAAGTTTCTGAGAATCCTTCTGTCTAGTTTTTATTTGAAGATATTTCCTTTCTCCCCGTAGGCCTGAAAGCGCTTGAAATGTCCACTTCCAGATACTACAGAAAGAGTGTTTCAAACCTGCACTCTGAAAAGGAATGTTCAATTCTGTGACTTGAATGCAAACATCAGAAAGAAGTTCCTGAGAATGCTTCTCTCTAGATTTTATACGTCATCCCGTTTCCAACGAAATCCACAAAGCTATCCAATTATCCACTTTCAGATTCCACAAAAAGAGTGTTTTAAAACTGCTCTGTAAAAAGAAATGTTCAACGCTCTTAGTTGAATACACACATCTCAAACAAGTTTCTGAGAAGGCTTCCGTCTAGTTTTTATGGGAAGATATTTCCTTTTTCACCATAGGCCTCAAAGCGCTTGAAATCTCCACTTCCAGGGAGTGCAGAAAGAGTGTTTCAAACCTGCTCTGTAAAAGAATATTTAACTCTGTGACTTGAATGCAAACATCACAAAGCAGTTTCTGACAATGCTTCCGTCTAGATTTTTTATGAAGATATTCCCGTTTCCAACGAAATCTTCAAAGCTATCTAAATATCAACTTGCAGATTCTACTAAAGGAATGTTTCCAAAATGCTGTATCCAAACAAAGGTTCAACTCTGTGAATTGAGGACATACAGCACAAAGAAGTTTCTGAGAATGCTCCTGTCTGGATTTTATATGAAGATAACCCGTTTCCAACGAAATCCTCAAAGCTATCCAAATATCCACTTGCAGATTCTACCAAAAGAGTGTTTCAAAACTGCTCTGTCAAAAGGAAGGTTCAACACTGTTACTTGAGTACACACAACACAAAGAAGTTTCTGAGAATGCTTCTTTCTGGTTTTTATGAGAAGATATTTCCTTTTTCATCATAGGCCTCAAAGCGCTCGAAATGTCCGCTTCCAGGTAGTGCAGAAAGAGTGTTTCAAACCTGCTCTATGAAAGGAAGTGTTCAACTCTACTGAGTTGAATGCAAACATCACAGAGATGTTTCCGAGAATGCTTCTGTCTTGATTTTATATGAAGATATTCCGGTTTCCAACGAAATCTTCAAAGCTATCCAAATATCCACCTGCAGATTCTACAAAAGGAGTGTTTCCAAAATGCTGTATCAAAACAAAGGTTCAACTCTGTTAGTTGAGGACACACATCACAAATAAGTTTCTGAGAATGCTTCTGTCTAGTTTTTATTTGAAGGTATTCCCTTTCTCTCCATAGGCCTGAAAGCGCTTGAAATGCCCACTTCCAGATACTAGAGAAAGAGTGTTTCAAACCTGCTCTATGAAAGGGAATGTTCAATTCTGTGACTTGAATGCAAACATCACAAAGAAGTTCCTGAGAATGCTTCTCTCTAGATATTATATGTCATCCCGTTTCCAACGAAATCCTCAAAGCTATCCAAATATCCACTTGCAGATTCTACAAAAAGAGTGTTTCAAAACTGCTCTGTCAAAAGGATGGTTCAACACTGTTACATGAGTACACACAACACAAAGAAGTTTCTGAGAATGCTTCTTTCTGGTTTCTATGAGAAGATATTTCCTTTTTCACCATAGGACTCAAAGCGCTCGAAATGTCCTCTTCCAAGTAGTGCAGAAAGAGTGTTTCAAACCTGCTCTATGAAAGGAAGTGTACAACTCCATGAGCTGAATGCAAACATCACTGAGAAGTTTCTGAGAATGCTTCTGTTTGATTTTATATGAAGAAATTCCCGTTTCCAACGAAATCTTCAGAGCTATCCACATATCCACATGCAGATTCTACAAAAGGAGTGTTTCCAAAATGCTGTATCAAAACCAAGGTTCAACTCTGTTAGTTGAGGACACACATCACAAATAAGTTTCTGAGAATGCTTCTGTCTAGATTCTATATGAAGATATCCCCTTTCCAACGAATCCCTCTAAGCTATCCAAATATCCACCTGCAGATTCTACAAAAAGAGTGTTTCCAAAATGCTGTATCAAAACAAAGTTTCAACTCTGTTAGTTGAGGACACACATCACAAATAAGTTTGAGGATGCTTCTGTCTAGTTTTTATTCGAAGATATTTCCTTTCTCACCATAGGCCTGAAAGCGCTTGAAATGTCCACTTCCAGATACTACAGAATGAGTGTTTCAAACCTGCTCTATCAAAGTGAATGTTGAATTCTGTGACTTCAATGCAAACATCACAAAGAAGTTCCTGAGAATGCTTCTCTCTAGATTTTATATGTAATCCCGCTTCCAACGAAATCCTCAAAGCCATCCGAATATCCACTTTGTGATTCCACAAAAAGATTGTGTTAAAACTGCTCTGTAAAAACAAAAGTTCAAGTCTGTTAGTTGAATACACATATCACAAACAAGTTTCTGAGAATGCTTCCGTCTAGTTTTTATGGGAAGATATTTCCTTTTTCACCATAGGCCTCAAAGCGCTCGAAATCTCCACTTCCAGGGAGTGCAGAAAGAGTGTTTCAAACCTGCTCTGTAAAAGAATATTTAACTCTGTGACTTGAATGCAAACATCACAGAGCAGTTTCTGACAATGCTTCCCTCTAGATTTTATATGGAGATATTCCCTTTTCCAACGAAATCTTCAAATCTATCTAAATATCAACTTGCAGATTCTACTCAAGGAATGTTTCCAAAATGCTGTATCCAGGCAATGGTTCAACTCTGTTAATTGAGGACATACAGCACAAAGAAGTTTCTGAGAATGCTTCTGTCTAGATTTTATATGAAGATATCCCGTTTCCAACGAAATCCTCAAAGCTATCCAAATATCCACTTGCAGATTCTACAAAAAGATTGTTTCAAAACTGCTGTGTCAAAAGGAAGGTTCAACTCTGTTACTTGAGTACACACATCAAAAAGAAGTTTCTGAGAATGCTTGTTTCTGGTTTTTATGAGAAGATATTTCCTTTTTCACCATAGGCCTCAAAGCGCTGCAAATGTCCACTTCCAAATATTACAAAAAGAGTGTTTCAAACCTGCTCTATGAAAGGAAGTTTTCAACTCTATGAGTGGAATGCACACATCACAGAGAAGTTTCTGAGAATGCATCTGTCTTGAGCTTCTATGAAGAAATTCCCGTTTCCAACGAAATCTTAAAATCTATCCAAATATCCACCTGCAGATCCTACAAAAGGAGTGTTTCCAAAATGCTGTATCAAAACAAAGGTTCAACTGTGTTCGTTTAGGACACACATCACAAATAAGTTTCTGAGAATCCTTCTGTCTAGTTTTTATTTGAAGATATTTCCTTTCTCCCCGTAGGCCTGAAAGCGCTTGAAATGTCCACTTCCAGATACTACAGAAAGAGTGTTTCAAACCTGCACTCTGAAAAGGAATGTTCAATTCTGTGACTTGAATGCAAACATCAGAAAGAAGTTCCTGAGAATGCTTCTCTCTAGATTTTATACGTCATCCCGTTTCCAACGAAATCCACAAAGCTATCCAATTATCCACTTTCAGATTCCACAGAAAGAGTGTTTTAAAATTGCTCTGTAACAGAAATGTTCAACTCTGGTAGTTGAATACACACATCACAAACAAGTTTCTGAGACGGCTTCTGTCTAGTTTTTATGGGAAGATATTTCCTTTTAACCATAGGCCTCAAAGAGCTCGAAATATCCACTTCCAGGTAGTGCCGAAAGAGTGTTTCAAACCTACTCTATAAAAGGGAATATTCAACTCTGTGACTTGAATGCAAACATCACAAAGCAGTTTCTGAGAATGCTTCCGTCTAGATTTTTTATGAAGATATTCCCGTTTCCAACGAAATCGTCAAAGCTATCTAAATATCAACTTGCAGATTCTACTAAAGGAATGTTTCCAAAATGCTGTATCCAAACAAAGGATCAACTCTCTGAATTGAGGACATACAGCACAAAGAAGTTTCTGAGAATGCTCCTGTCTGGATTTTATAGGAAGATAACCCGTTTCCAACGAAATCCTCAAAGCTATCCAAATATCCACTTGCAGATTCTACCAAAAGAGTGTTTCAAAACTGCTCTGTCAAAAGGATGGTTCAACACTGTTACATGAGTACACACAACACAAAGAAGTTTCTGAGAATGCTTCTTTCTGGTTTTTATGAGAAGATATTTCCTTTTTCACCATAGGCCTCAAAGCGCTCGAAATGTCCGCTTCCAGGTAGTGCAGAAAGAGTGTTTCAAACCTGCTCTATGAAAGGAAGTGTTCAACTCTACTGAGTTGAATGCAAACATCACAGAGATGTTTCCGAGAATGCTTCTGTCTTGATTTTATATGAAGATATTCCGGTTTCCAACGAAATCTTCAAAGCTATCCAAATATCCACCTGCAGATTCTACAAAAGGAGTGTTTCCAAAATGCTGTATCAAAACAAAGGTTCAACTCTGTTAGTTGAGGACACACATCACAAATAAGTTTCTGAGAATGCTTCTGTCTAGTTTTTATTTGAAGGTATTTCCTTTCTCTCCATAGGCCTGAAAGCGCTTGAAATGCCCACTTCCAGATACTAGAGAAAGAGTGTTTCAAACCTGCTCTATGAAAGGGAATGTTCAATTCTGTGACTTGAATGCAAACATCACAAAGAAGTTCCTGAGAATGCTTCTCTCTAGATATTATATGTCATCCCGTTTCCAACGAAATCCTCAAAGCTATCCAAATATCCACTTGCAGATTCTACAAAAAGAGTGTTTCAAAACTGCTCTGTCAAAAGGATGGTTCAACACTGTTACATGAGTACACACAACACAAAGAAGTTTCTGAGAATGCTTCTTTCTGGTTTCTATGAGAAGATATTTCCTTTTTCACCATAGGACTCAAAGCGCTCGAAATGTCCTCTTCCAGGTAGTGCAGAAAGAGTGTTTCAAACCTGCTCTATGAAAGGAAGTGTACAACTCCATGAGCTGAATGCAAACATCACTGAGAAGTTTCTGAGAATGCTTCTGTTTGATTTTCTATGAAGAAATTCCCGTTTCCAACGAAATCTTCAGAGCTATCCACATATCCACCTGCAGATTCTACAAAAGGAGTGTTTCCAAAATGCTGTATCAAAACCAAAGTTCAACTCTGTTAGTTGAGGACACACATCACAAATAAGTTTCTGAGAATGCTTCTGTCTAGATTCTATATGAAGATATCCCCTTTCCAACGAATCCCTCTAAGCTATCCAAATATCCACCTGCAGATTCTACAAAAAGAGTGTTTCCAAAATGCTGTATCAAAACAAAGTTTCAACTCTGTTAGTTGAGGACACACATCACAAATAAGTTTGAGGATGCTTCTGTCTAGTTTTAATTTGAAGATATTTCCTTTCTCCCCATAGGCCTGAAAGCGCTTGAAATGTCCACTTCCAGATACTACAGAATGAGTGTTTCAAACCTGCTCTATCAAAGTGAATGTTCAATTCTGTGACTTCAATGCAAACATCACAAAGTAGTTCCTGAGAATGCTTCTCTCTAGATTTTATACGTAATCCCGCTTCCAACGAAATCCTCAGAGCCATCCGAATATCCACTTTCTGATTCCACAAAAAGAGTGTTTTAAAACGGCTCTGTAAAAACAAAAGTTCAACTCTGTTAGTTGAATACACACATCACAAACAAGTTTCTGAGAATGCTTCTGTCTAGTTTTTATGGGAAGATATTTCCTTTTTCACCATAGGCCTCAAAGCGCTCGAAATGTCCGCTTCCAGATAGTGCAGAAAGAGTGTTTCAAACGTGCTCTATAAAAGGGAATATTCAACTCTGTGACTTGAATGGAAACATCACAAAGCAGTTTCTGAGAATGCTTCCCTCTAGATTTTATATGGAGATATTCCCTTTTCCAACGAAATCTTCAAATCTATCTAAATATCAACTTGCAGATTCTACTCAAGGAATGTTTCCAAAATGCTGTATCCAGGCAATGGTTCAACTCTGTTAATTGAGGACATACAGCACAAAGAAGTTTCTGAGAATGCTTCTGTCTAGATTTTATATGAAGATATCCCGTTTCCAACGAAATCCTCAAAGCTATCCAAATATCCACTTGCAGATTCTACAAAAAGATTGTTTCAAAACTGCTGTGTCAAGAGGAAGGTTCAACTCTGTTACTTGAGTACACACATCAAAAAGAAGTTTCTGAGAATGCTTGTTTCTGGTTTTTATGAGAAGATATTTCCTTTTTCACCATAGGCCTCAAAGCGCTGCAAATGTCCACTTCCAAATATTACAAAAAGAGTGTTTCAAACCTGCTCTATGAAAGGAAGTTTTCAACTCTATGAGTGGAATGCAAACATCACAGAGAAGTTTCTGAGAATGCATCTGTCTTGAGTTTCTATGAAGAAATTCCCATTTCCAACGAAATCTTAAAATCTATCCAAATATCCACCTGCAGATTCTACAAAAGGAGTGTTTCCAAAATCCTGTATCAAAACAAAGGTTCAACTGTGTTCGTTTACGACACACATCACAAATAAGTTTCTGAGAATCCTTCTGTCTAGTTTTTAATTTGAAGGTATTTCCTTTCTCCCTATAGGCCTGAAAGCGCTTGAAATGTCCACTTCCAGATACTACAGAAAGAGTGTTTCAAACCTGCACTATGAAAAGGAATGTTCAATTCTGTGACTTGAATGCAAACATCAGAAAGAAGTTCCTGAGAATGCTTCTCTCTAGATTTTATACGTCACCCCGTTTCCAACGAAATCCACAAAGCTATCCAATTATCCACTTTCAGATTCCACAAAAAGAGTGTTTTAAAACTGCTCTGTAACAGAAATGTTCAGCTCTGTTAGTTGAATACACACATCACAAACAAGTTTCTGAGACGGCTTCTGTCTAGTTTTTATGGGAAGATATTTCCTTTTAACCATAGGCCTCAAAGAGCTCGAAATATCCACTTCCAGGTAGTGCCGAAAGAGTGTTTCAAACCTACTCTATAAAAGGGAATATTCAACTCTGTGACTTGAATGCAAACATCACAAAGCAGTTTCTGAGAATGCTTCCGTCTAGATTTTCTATGAAGATATTCCCGTTTCCAACGAAATCTTCAAAGCTATCTAAATATCAACTTGCAGATTCTACTAAAGGAATGTCTCCAAAATGCTGTATCCAAACAAAGGTTCAGCTCTGTGAATTGAGGACATACAGCACAAAGAAGTTTCTGAGAATGCTCCTGTCTGGATTTTATATGAAGATAACCCGTTTCCAACGAATTCCTCAAAGCTATCCAAATATCCACTTGCAGATTCTACCAAAAGAGTGTTTCAAAACTGCTCTGTCAAAAGGAAGGTTCAACACTGTTACTTGAGTACACACAACACAAAGAAGTTTCTGAGAATGCTTCTTTCTGGTTTTTATGAGAAGATATTTCCTTTTTCACCATAGGCCTCAAAGCGCTCGAAATGTCCGCTTCCAGGTAGTGCAGAAAGAGTGTTTCAAACCTGCTCTATGAAAGGAAGTGTTCAACTCTACTGAGTTGAATGCAAACATCACAGAGATGTTTCCCGAGAATGCTTCTGTCTTGATTTTATATGAAGATATTCCGGTTTCCAACGAAATCTTCAAAGCTATCCAAATATCCACCTGCAGATTCTACAAAAGGAGTGTTTCCAAAATGCTGTATCAAAACAAAGGTTCAACTCTGTTAGTTGAGGACACACATCACAAATAAGTTTCTGAGAATGCTTCTGTCTAGTTTTTATTTGAAGGTATTTCCTTTCTCTCCATAGGCCTGAAAGCGCTTGAAATG
This sequence comes from Homo sapiens, assembly GCF_000001405.40. Taxonomy (NCBI): domain Eukaryota; kingdom Metazoa; phylum Chordata; class Mammalia; order Primates; family Hominidae; genus Homo; species Homo sapiens. The sequence goes on along the minus strand of NC_000004.12, from coordinate 51,682,485 downwards.
CCCACTTCCAGATACTAGAGAAAGAGTGTTTCAAACCTGCTCTATGAAAGGGAATGTTCAATTCTGTGACTTGAATGCAAACATCACAAAGAAGTTCCTGAGAATGCTTCTGTCTAGATTTAATATGAAGATAACCCGTTTCCAACGAAATCCTCAAAGCTATCCAAATATCCACTTGCAGATTCTACAAAAAGAGTGTTTCAAAACTGCTCTGTCAAAAGGATGGTTCAACACTGTTACATGAGTACACACAACACAAAGAAGTTTCTGAGAACGCTTCTTTCTGGTTTCTATGAGAAGATATTTCCTTTTTCACCATAGGACTCAAAGCGCTCGAAATGTCCTCTTCCAGGTAGTGCAGAAAGAGTGTTTCAAACCGGCTCTATGAAAGGAAGTGTTCAACTCCATGAACTGAATGCAAACATCACTGAGAAGTTTCTGAGAATGCTTCTGTTTGATTTTATATGAAGAAATTCCCGTTTCCAACGAAATCTTCAAAGCTATCCACATATCCACCTGCAGATTCTTCAAAAGGAGTGTTTCCAAAATGCTGTATCAAAACCAAGGTTCAACTCTGTTAGTTGAGGACACACATCACAAATAAGTTTCTGAGAATGCTTCTGTCTAGATTCTATATGAAGATATCCCCTTTCCAACGAATCCCTCTAAGCTATCCAAATATCCACCTGCAGATTCTACAAAAAGAGTGTTTCCAAAATGCTGTATCAAAACAAAGTTTCAACTCTGTTAGTTGAGGACACACATCACAAATAAGTTTGAGGATGCTTCTGTCTAGTTTTTATTCGAAGATATTTCCTTTCTCACCATAGGCCTGAAAGCGCTTGAAATGTCCACTTCCAGATACTACAGAATGAGTGTTTCAAACCTGCTCTATCAAAGTGAATGTTCAATTCTGTGGACTTCAATGCAAACATCACAAAGAAGTTCCTGAGAATGCTTCTCTCTAGATTTTATACGTAATCCCGCTTCCAACGAAATCCTCAGTAGCCATCCGAATATCCACTTTCTGATTCCACAAAAAGAGTGTTTTAAAACGGCTCTGTAAAAACAAAAGTTCAACTCTGTTAGTTGAATACACACATCACAAACAAGTTTCTGAGAATGCTTCTTTCTTGATTTTATATGAAGATATTTCCGTTTCCAACAAAATCTTCAAAGCTATCCAAATATCCACCCGCAGATTCTACAAAAACAGTGTTTCCAAAATGCTGTATCAAAACAAAGGTTCAACTCTGTTAGTTGGGGACACACATCACTAATAAGTTTCTGAGAATGTTTATGTCCAGTTTTTATTTGAAGATATTTCCTTTCTCACCATAGGCCTGAAAGCGCTTGAAATGTCCACTTGCAGATACTACAGAAAGAGTGTTTCAAACCTGCTCTATGAAAGGGAATGTTCAATTCTGTGACTTGAATTCAAACATCACAAAGAAGTTCCTGAGAATGCTTCTCTCTAGAGTTTATATGTAATCCCGTTTCCAACGAAATCCTCAAAGCTATCCAAATATCCACTCTCAGATTCCACAAAAAGAGTGTTTCAAAATTGCTCTGTATAAAGAAAGTTCAACTCAGTTGAATACACACATCACAAACAAGTTTCTGAGAATGCTTCTGTCTAGTTTTTATGGGAAGATATTTCCTTTTAACCATAGGCCTCAAAGAGCTCGAAATATCCACTTCCAGGTAGTGCCGAAAGAGTGTTTCAAACCTACTCTATAAAAGGGAATATTCAACTCTGTGACTTGAATGCAAACATCACAAAGCAGTTTCTGAGAATGCTTCCGTCTAGATTTTCTATGAAGATATTCCCGTTTCCAACGAAATCTTCAAAGCTATCTAAATATCAACTTGCAGATTCTACTAAAGGAATGTCTCCAAAATGCTGTATCCAAACAAAGGTTCAGCTCTGTGAATTGAGGACATACAGCACAAAGAAGTTTCTGAGAATGCTCCTGTCTGGATTTTATATGAAGATAACCCGTTTCCAACGAAATCCTCAAAGCTATCCAAATATCCACTTGCAGATTCTACCAAAAGAGTGTTTCAAAACTGCTCTGTCAAAAGGAAGGTTCAACACTGTTACTTGAGTACACACAACACAAAGAAGTTTCTGAGAATGCTTCTTTCTGGTTTTTATGAGAAGATATTTCCTTTTTCACCATAGGCCTCAAAGCGCTCGAAATGTCCGCTTCCAGGTAGTGCAGAAAGAGTGTTTCAAACCTGCTCTATGAAAGGAAGTGTTCAACTCTACTGAGTTGAATGCAAACATCACAGAGATGTTTCCGAGAATGCTTCTGTCTTGATTTTATATGAAGATATTCCGGTTTCCAACGAAATCTTCAAAGCTATCCAAATATCCACCTGCAGATTCTACAAAAGGAGTGTTTCCAAAATGCTGTATCAAAACAAAGGTTCAACTCTGTTAGTTGAGGACACACATCACAAATAAGTTTCTGAGAATGCTTCTGTCTAGTTTTTATTTGAAGGTATTTCCTTTCTCTCCATAGGCCTGAAAGCGCTTGAAATGCCCACTTCCAGATACTAGAGAAAGAGTGTTTCAAACCTGCTCTATGAAAGGGAATGTTCAATTCTGTGACTTGAATGCAAACATCACAAAGAAGTTCCTGAGAATGCTTCTCTCTAGATATTATATGTCATCCCGTTTCCAACGAAATCCTCAAAGCTATCCAAATATCCACTTGCAGATTCTACAAAAAGAGTGTTTCAAAACTCCTCTGTCAAAAGGATGGTTCAACACTGTTACATGAGTACACACAACACAAAGAAGTTTCTGAGAATGCTTCTTTCTGGTTTCTATGAGAAGATATTTCCTTTTTCACCATAGGACTCAAAGCGCTCGAAATGTCCTCTTCCAGGTAGTGCAGAAAGAGTGTTTCAAACCTGCTCTATGAAAGGAAGTGTTCAACTCCATGAGCTGAATGCAAACATCACTGAGAAGTTTCTAAGAATGCTTCTGTTTGATTTTATATGAAGAAATTCCCGTTTCCAACGAAATCTTCAGAGCTATCCACATATCCACCTGCAGATTCTACAAAAGGAGTGTTTCCAAAATGCTGTATCAAAACCAAAGTTCAACTCTGTTAGTTGAGGACACACATCACAAATAAGTTTCTGAGAATGCTTCTGTCTAGATTCTATATGAAGATATCCCCTTTCCAACGAATCCCTCTAAGCTATCCAAATATCCACCTGCAGATTCTACAAAAAGAGTGTTTCCAAAATGCTGTATCAAAACAAAGTTTCAACTCTGTTAGTTGAGGACACACATCACAAATAAGTTTGAGGATGCTTCTGTCTAGTTTTTATTCGAAGATATTTCCTTTCTCACCATAGGCCTGAAAGCGCTTGAAATGTCCACTTCCAGATCCTACAGAATGAGTGTTTCAAACCTGCTCTATCAAAGTGAATGTTCAATTCTGTGACTTCAATGCAAACATCACAAAGAAAGTTCCTGAGAATGCTTCTCTCTAGATTTTATACGTAATCCCGCTTCCAACGAAATCCTCAGAGCCATCCGAATATCCACTTTCTGATTCCACAAAAAGAGTGTTTTAAAACGGCTCTGTAAAAACAAAAGTTCAACTCTGTTAGTTGAATACACACATCACAAACAAGTTTCTGAGAATGCTTCTGTCTAGTTTTTATGGGAAGATATTTCCTTTTTCACCATAGGCCTCAAAGCGCTCGAAATGTCCGCTTCCAGATAGTGCAGAAAGAGTGTTTCAAACGTGCTCTTTAAAAGGGAATATTCAACTCTGTGACTTGAATGGAAACATCACAAAGCAGTTTCTGAGAATGCTTCCGTCTAGATTTTATATGAAGATATTCCCGTTTCCAACGAAATCTTCAAATCTATCTAAATATCAACTTGCAGATTCTACTAAAGGAATGTTTCCAAAATGCTGTATCCAAGCAATGGTTCAACTCTGTTAATTGAGGACATACAGCACAAAGAAGTTTCTGAGAATGCTTCTGTCTAGATTTTATATGAAGATATCCCGTTTCCAACGAAATCCTCAAAGCTATCCAAATATCCACTTGCAGATTCTACAAAAAGATTGTTTCAAAACTGCTGTGTCAAGAGGAAGGTTCAACTCTGTTACTTGAGTACACACATCAAAAAGAAGTTTCTGAGAATGCTTGTTTCTGGTTTTTATGAGAAGATATTTCCTTTTTCACCATAGGCCTCAAAGCGCTGCAAATGTCCACTTCCAAATATTACAAAAAGAGTGTTTCAAACCTGCTCTATGAAAGGAAGTTTTCAACTCTATGAGTGGAATGCAAACATCACAGAGAAGTTTCTGAGAATGCATCTGTCTTGAGTTTATATGAAGAAATTCCCGTTTCCAATGAAATCTTAAAATCTATCCAAATATCCACCTGCAGATTCTACAAAAGGAGTGTTTCCAAAATGCTGTATCAAAACAAAGGTTCAACTGTGTTCGTTTAGGACACACATCACAAATAAGTTTCTGAGAATCCTTCTGTCTAGTTTTTATTTCAAGATATTTCCTTTCTCCCCATAGGCCTGAAAGCCCTTGAAATGTCCACTTCCAGATACTACAGAGTGTTTCAAACCTGCACTATGAAAAGGAATGTTCAATTCTGTGACTTGAATGCAAACATCAGAAAGAAGTTCCTGAGAATGCTTCTCTCTAGATTTTAAACGTAATCCCGTTTCCAACGAAATCCACAAAGCTATCCAATTATCCACTTTCAGATTCCACCAAAAGACTGTTTTAAAACTGCTCAGTAAAAAGAAATGTTCAACGCTCTTAGTTGAATACACACATCTCAAACATGTTTCTGAGAAGGCTTCTGTCTAGTTTTTATGGGAAGATATTTCCTTTTAACCATAGGCCTCAAAGAGCTCGAAATATCCACTTCCAGGTAGTGCCGAAAGAGTGTTTCAAACCTACTCTATAAAAGGGAATATTCAACTCTGTGACTTGAATGCAAACATCACAAAGCAGTTTCTGAGAATGCTTCCGTCTAGATTTTCTATGAAGATATTCCCGTTTCCAACGAAATCTTCAAAGCTATCTAAATATCAACTTGCAGATTCTACTAAAGGAATGTCTCCAAAATGCTGTATCCAAACAAAGGTTCAGCTCTGTGAATTGAGGACATACAGCACAAAGAAGTTTCTGAGAATGCTCCTGTCTGGATTTTATATGAAGATAACCCGTTTCCAACGAAATCCTCAAAGCTCTCCAAATATCCACTTGCAGATTCTACCAAAAGAGTGTTTCAAAACTGCTCTGTCAAAAGGAAGGTTCAACACTGTTACTTGAGTACACACAACACAAAGAAGTTTCTGAGAATGCTTCTTTCTGGTTTTTATGAGAAGATATTTCCTTTTTCACCATAGGCCTCAAAGAGCTCGAAATGTCCGCTTCCAGGTAGGGCAGAAAGAGTGTTTCAAACCTGCTCTATGAAAGGAAGTGTTCAACTCTACTGAGTTGAATGCAAACATCACAGAGATGTTTCCGAGAATGCTTCTGTCTTGATTTTATATGAAGATATTCCGGTTTCCAACGAAATCTTCAAAGCTATCCAAATATCCACCTGCAGATTCTACAAAAGGAGTGTTTCCAAAATGCTGTATCAAAACAAAGGTTCAACTCTGTTAGTTGAGGACACACATCACAAATAAGTTTCTGAGAATGCTTCTGTCTAGTTTTTATTTGAAGGTATTTCCTTTCTCTCCATAGGCCTGAAAGCGCTTGAAATGCCCACTTCCAGATACTAGAGAAAGAGTGTTTCAAACCTGCTCTATGAAAGGGAATGTTCAATTCTGTGACTTGAATGCAAACATCACAAAGAAGTTCCTGAGAATGCTTCTCTCTAGATATTATATGTCATCCCGTTTCCAACGAAATCCTCAAAGCTATCCAAATATCCACTTGCAGATTCTACAAAAAGAGTGTTTCAAAACTCCTCTGTCAAAAGGATGGTTCAACACTGTTACATGAGTACACACAACACAAAGAAGTTTCTGAGAATGCTTCTTTCTGGTTTTTATGAGAGGATATTTCCTTTTTCACCATAGGCCTCAAAGCGCTCGAAATGTCCACTTCCAGGTAGTGCAGAAAGAGTGTTTCAAACCTGCTCTATGAAAGGAAGTGTTCAACTCCATGAGCTGAATGCAAACATCACAGAGAAGTTCCTGAGAATGCTTCTGTTTGATTTTATATGAAGAAATTCCCGTTTCCAACGAAATCTTCAGAGCTATCCACATATCCACCTGCAGATTCTACAAAAGGAGTGTTTCCAAAATGCTGTATCAAAACCAAGGTTCAACTCTGTTAGTTGAGGACACACATCACAAATATGTTTCTGAGAATGCTTCTGTCTAGATTTTATATGAAGATATCCCCTTTCCAACGAATCCCTCTAAGCTATCCAAATATCCACCTGCAGATTCTACAAAAAGAGTGTTTCCAAAATGCTGTATCAAAACAAAGTTTCAACTCTGTTAGTTGAGGACACACATCACAAATAAGTTTCTGAGAATGCTTCTGTCTAGTTTTTATTCGAAGATATTTCCTTTCTCACCATAGGCCTGAAAGCGCTTGAAATGTCCACTTCCAGATACTACAGAATGAGTGTTTCAAACCTGCTCTATAAAAGTGAATGTTCAATTCCGTGACTTCAATGCAAACATCAGAAAGAAGTTCCTGAGAATGCTTCTCTCTAGATTTTATATGTAATCCCGCTTCCAACGAAATCCTCAAAGCCATCCGAATATCCACTTTCTGATTCCACAAAAAGATTGTTTTAAAACTGCTCTGTAAAAACAAAAGTTCAAGTCTGTTAGTTGAATACACACATCACAAACAAGTTTCTGAGAATGCTTCTGTCTAGTTTTTATGGGAAGATATTTCCTTTTTCACCATAGGCCTCAAAGCGCTCGAAATGTCCACTTCCAGATAGCGCAGAAAGAGTGTTTCAAACGTGCTCTATAAAAGGGAATATTCAACTCTGTGACTTGAATGGAAACATCACAAAGCAGTTTCTGAGAATGCTTCCCTCTAGATTTTATATGGAGATATTCCGTTTTCGAACGAAATCTTCAAATCTATCTAAATATCAACTTGCAGATTCTACTCAAGGAATGTTTCCAAAATGCTGTATGCAAGCAATGGTTCAACTCTGTTAATTGAGGTCATACAGCACAAAGAAGTTTCTGAGAATGCTTCTGTCTAGATTTTATATGAAGATATCCCGTTTCCAACGAAATCCTCAAATCTATCCAAATATCCACTTGCAGATTCTACAAAAAGATTGTTTCAAAACTGCTGTGTCAAAAGGAAGGTTCAACTCTGTTACTTGAGTACACACATCAAAAAGAAGTTTCTGAGAATGCTTGTTTCTGGTTTTTATGAGAAGATATTTCCTTTTTCACCATAGGCCTCAAAGCGCTGCAAATGTCCACTTCCAAATATTACAGAAAGAGTGTTTCAAACCTGCTCTATGAAAGGAAGTTTTCAACTCTATGAGTGGAATGCAAACATCACAGAGAAGTTTCTGAGAATGCATCTGTCTTGAGTTTCTATGAAGAAATTCCCGTTTCCAACGAAATCTTAAAATCTATCCAAATATCCACCTGCAGATTCTGCAAAAGGAGTGTTTCCAAAATGCTGTATCAAAACAAAGGTTCAACTGTGTTCGTTTAGGACACACATCACAAATAAGTTTCTGAGAAGCCTTCTGTCTAGTTTTTATTTGAAGATATTTCCTTTCTCCCCGTAGGCCTGAAAGCGCTTGAAATGTCCACTTCCAGATACTACAGAAAGAGTGTTTCAAACCTGCACTCTGAAAAGGAATGTTCAATTCTGTGACTTGAATGCAAACATCAGAAAGAAGTTCCTGAGAATGCTTCTCTCTAGATTTTATACGTCATCCCGTTTCCAACGAAATCCACAAAGCTATCCAATTATCCACTTTCAGATTCCACAGAAAGAGTGTTTTAAAATTGCTCTGTAACAGAAATGTTCAACTCTGGTAGTTGAATACACACATCACAAACAAGTTTCTGAGACGGCTTCTGTCTAGTTTTTATGGGAAGATATTTCCTTTTAACCATAGGCCTCAAACAGCTCGAAATATCCACTTCCAGGTAGTGCCGAAAGAGTGTTTCAAACCTACTCTATAAAAGGGAATATTCAAATCTGTGACTTGAATGCAAACATCACAAAGCAGTTTATGTGAATGCTTCCGTCTAGATTTTCTATGAAGATATTCCCGTTTCCAACGAAATCTTCAAAGCTATCTAAATATCAACTTGCAGATTCTACTAAAGGAATGTCTCCAAAATGCTGTATCCAAACAAAGGTTCAGCTCTGTGAATTGAGGACATACAGCACAAAGAAGTTTCTGAGAATGCTCCTGTCTGGATTTTATATGAAGATAACCCGTTTCCAACGAAATCCTCAAAGCTATCCAAATATCCACTTGCAGATTCTACCAAAAGAGTGTTTCAAAACTACTCTGTCAAAAGGAAGGTTCAACACTGTTACTTGAGTACACACAACACAAAGAAGTTTCTGAGAATGCTTCTTTCTGGTTTTTATGAGAAGATATTTCCTTTTTCACCATAGGCCTCAAAGCGCTCGAAATGTCCGCTTCCAGGTAGTGCAGAAAGAGTGTTTCAAACCTGCTCTATGAAAGGAAGTGTTCAACTCTACTGAGTTGAATGCAAACATCACAGAGATGTTTCCGAGAATGCTTCTGTCTTGATTTTATATGAAGATATTCCGGTTTCCAACGAAATCTTCAAAGCTATCCAAATATCCACCTGCAGATTCTACAAAAGGAGTGTTTCCAAAATGCTGTATCAAAACAAAGGTTCAACTCTGTTAGTTGAGGACACACATCACAAATAAGTTTCTGAGAATGCTTCTGTCTAGTTTTTATTTGAAGGTATTTCCTTTCTCTCCATAGGCCTGAAAGCGCTTGAAATGCCCACTTCCAGATACTAGAGAAAGAGTGTTTCAAACCTGCTCTATGAAAGGGAATGTTCAATTCTGTGACTTGAATGCAAACATCACAAAGAAGTTCCTGAGAATGCTTCTGTCTAGATTTAATATGAAGATAACCCGTTTCCAACGAAATCCTCAAAGCTATCCAAATATACACTTGCAGATTCTACAAAAAGAGTGTTTCAAAACTGCTCTGTCAAAAGGATGGTTCAACACTGTTACATGAGTACACACAACACAAAGAAGTTTCTGAGAACGCTTCTTTCTGGTTTCTATGAGAAGATATTTCCTTTTTCACCATAGGACTCAAAGCGCTCGAAATGTCCTCTTCCAGGTAGTGCAGAAAGAGTGTTTCAAACCTGCTCTATGAAAGGAAGTGTTCAACTCCATGAGCTGAATGCAAACATCACTGAGAAGTTTCTGAGAATGCTTCTGTTTGATTTTATATGAAGAAATTCCCGTTTCCAACGAAATCTTCAGAGCTATCCACATATCCACCTGCAGATTCTACAAAAGGAGTGTTTCCAAAATGCTGTATCAAAACCAAGGTTCAACTCTGTTAGTTGAGGACACACATCACAAATAAGTTTCTGAGAATGCTTCTGTCTAGATTTTATATGAAGATATCCCCTTTCCAACGAATCCCTCTAAGCTATCCAAATATCCACCTGCAGATTCTACAAAAAGAGTGTTTCCAAAATGCTGTATCAAAACAAAGTTTCAACTCTGTTAGTTGAGGACACACATCACAAATAAGTTTCTGAGAATGCTTCTGTCTAGTTTTAATTTGAAGATATTTCCTTTCTCCCCATAGGCCTGAAAGCGCTTGAAATGTCCACTTCCAGATACTACAGCATGAGTGTTTCAAACCTGCTCTATCATAGTGAATGTTCAATTCTGTGACTTCAATGCAAACATCACAAAGTAGTTCCTGAGAATGCTTCTCTCTAGATTTTATACGTAATCCCGCTTCCAACGAAATCCTCAGAGCCATCCGAATATCCACTTTCTGATTCCACAAAAAGAGTGTTTTAAAACGGCTCTGTAAAAACAAAAGTTCAACTCTGTTAGTTGAATACACACATCACAAACAAGTTTCTGAGAATGCTTCTGTCTAGTTTTTATGGGAAGATATTTCCTTTTTCACCATAGGCCTCAAAGCGCTCGAAATGTCCACTTCCAGATAGTGCAGAAAGAGTGTTTCAAACGTGCTCTATAAAAGGGAATATTCAACTCTGTGACTTGAATGGAAACATCACAAAGCAGTTTCTGAGAATGCTTCCCTCTAGATTTTATATGGAGATATTCCCGTTTCCAACGAAATCTTCAAATCTATCTAAATATCAACTTGCAGATTCTACTCAAGGAATGTTTCCAAAATGCTGTATCCAGGCAATGGTTCAACTCTGTTAATTGAGGACATACAGCACAAAGAAGTTTCTGAGAATGCTTCTGTCTAGATTTTATATGAAGATATCCCGTTTCCAACGAAATCCTCAAAGCTATCCAAATATCCACTTGCAGATTCTACAAAAAGATTGTTTCAAAACTGCTGTGTCAAAAGGAAGGTTCAACTCTGTTACTTGAGTACACACATCAAAAAGCAGTTTCTGAGAATGCTTGTTTCTGGTTTTTATGAGAAGATATTTCCTTTTTCACCATAGGCCTCAAAGCGCTGCAAATGTCCACTTCCAAATATTACAAAAAGAGTGTTTCAAACCTGCTCTATGAAAGGAAGTTTTCAACTCTATGAGTGGAATGCAAACATCACAGAGAAGTTTCTGAGAATGCATCTGTCTTGAGTTTATATGAAGAAATTCCCGTTTCCAATGAAATCTTAAAACCTATCCAAATATCCACCTGCAGATTCTACAAAAGGAGTGTTTCCAAAATGCTGTATCAAAACAAAGGTTCAACTGTGTTCGTTTAGGACACACATCACAAATAAGTTTCTGAGAATCCTTCTGTCTAGTTTTTATTTGAAGATATTTCCTTTCTCCCTGTAGGCCTGAAAGCGCTTGAAATGTCCACTTCCAGATACTACAGAAAGAGTGTTTCAAACCTGCACTCTGAAAAGGAATGTTCAATTCTGTGACTTGAATGCAAACATCAGAAAGAAGTTCCTGAGAATGCTTCTCTCTAGATTTTAAACGTCATCCCGTTTCCAACGAAATACACAAAGCTATCCAATTATCCACTTTCAGATTCCACCAAAAGAGTGTTTTAAAACTGCTCTGTAAAAAGAAATGTTCAACGCTCTTAGTTGAATACACACATCTCAAACAAGTTTCTGAGAAGGCTTCTGTCTAGTTTTTATGGGAAGATATTTCCTTTTAACCATAGGCCTCAAAGAGCTCGAAATATCCACTTCCAGGTAGTGCCGAAAGAGTGTTTCAAACCTACTCTATAAAAGGGAATATTCAACTCTGTGACTTGAATGCAAACATCACAAAGCAGTTTCTGAGAATGCTTCCGTCTAGATTTTCTATGAAGATATTCCCGTTTCCAACGAAATCTTCAAAGCTATCTAAATATCAACTTGCAGATTCTACTAAAGGAATGTCTCCAAAATGCTGTATCCAAACAAAGGTTCAGCTCTGTGAATTGAGGACATACAGCACAAAGAAGTTTCTGAGAATGCTCCTGTCTGGATTTTATATGAAGATAACCCGTTTCCAATGAAATCCTCAAAGCTATCCAAATATCCACTTGCAGATTCTACCAAAAGAGTGTTTCAAAACTGCTCTGTCAAAAGGAAGGTTCAACACTGTTACTTGAGTACACACAACACAAAGAAGTTTCTGAGAATGCTTCTTTCTGGTTTTTATGAGAAGATATTTCCTTTTTCACCATAGGCCTCAAAGCGCTCGAAATGTCCGCTTCCAGGTAGTGCAGAAAGAGTGTTTCAAACCTGCTCTATGAAAGGAAGTGTTCAACTCTACTGAGTTGAATGCAAACATCACAGAGATGTTTCCGAGAATGCTTCTGTCTTGATTTTATATGAAGATATTCCGGTTTCCAACGAAATCTTCAAAGCTATCCAAATATCCACCTGCAGATTCTACAAAAGGAGTGTTTCCAAAATGCTGTATCAAAACAAAGGTTCAACTGCTGTTAGTTGGGGACACACATCACAAATAAGTTTCTGAGAATGCTTCTGTCTAGTTTTTATTTGAAGGTATTTCCTTTCTCTCCATAGGCCTGAAAGCGCTTGAAATGCCCACTTCCAGATACTAGAGAAAGAGTGTTTCAAACCTGCTCTATGAAAGGGAATGTTCAATTCTGTGACTTGAATGCAAACATCACAAAGAAGTTCCTGAGAATGCTTCTGTCTAGATTTAATATGAAGATAAACCGTTTCCAACGAAATCCTCAAAGCTATCCAAATATCCACTTGCAGATTCTACAAAAAGAGTGTTTCAAAACTGCTCTGTCAAAAGGATGGTTCAACACTCTTACATGAGTACACACAACACAAAGAAGTTTCTGAGAACGCTTCTTTCTGGTTTTTATGAGAAGATATTTCCTTTTTCACCATAGGCCTCAAAGCGCTCGAAATGTCCACTTCCTGGAAGTGCAGAAAGAGTGTTTCAAACCTGCTCTATGAAGGGAAGTGTTCAACTCCATGAGCTGAATGCAAACATCACAGAGAAGTTTCTGAGAATGCTTCTCTTTGATTTAATATGAAGAAATTCCCGTTTCCAACGAAATCTTCAAAGCTATCCACATATCCACCTGCAGATTCTACAAAAGGAGTGTTTCCAAAATGCTGTATCAAAACCAAGGTTCAACTCTGTTAGTTGAGGACACACATCACAAATAAGTTTCTGAGAATGCTTCTGTCTAGATTTTATATGAAGATATCCCCTTTCCAACGAATCCCTCTAAGCTATCCAAATATCCACCTGCAGATTCTACAAAAAGAGTGTTTCCAAAATGCTGTATCAAAACAAAGTTTCAACTCTGTTAGTTGAGGACACACATCACAAATAAGTTTCTGAGGATGCTTCTGTCTAGTTTTTATTCGAAGATATTTCCTTTCTCACCATAGGCCTGAAAGCGCTTGAAATGTCCACTTCCAGATACTACAGAATGAGTGTTTCAAACCTGCTCTATAAAAGTGAATGTTCAATTCCGTGACTTCAATGCAAACATCAGAAAGAAGTTCCTGAGAATGCTTGTCTCTAGATTTTATACGTAATCCCTCTTCCAACGAAATCCTCAGAGCCATCCGAATATCCACTTTCTGATTCCACAAAAAGAGTGTTTTAAAACGGCTCTGTAAAAACAAAAGTTCAACTCTGTTAGTTGAATACACACATCACAAACAAGTTTCTGAGAATGCTTCCGTCTAGTTTTTACGGGAAGATATTTCCTTTTTCACCATAGACCTCAAAGCGCTCGAAATCTCCACTTCCAGGGAGTGCAGAAAGAGTGTTTCAAACCTGCTCTATAAAAGAATATTTAACTCTGTGACTTGAATGCAAACATCACAGAGCAGTTTCTGACAATGCTTCCGTCTAGATTTTTTATGAAGATATTCCCGTTTCCAACGAAATCTTCAAAGCTATCTAAATATCAACTTGCAGATTCTACTAAAGGAATGTTTCCAAAATGCTGTATCCAAACAAAGGTTCAACTCTGTGAATTGAGGACATACAGCACAAAGAAGTTTCTGAGAATGCTTCTGTCTAGTTTTTATGGGAAGATATTTCCTTTTTCACCATAGGCCTCAAAGCGCTCGAAATGTCCACTTCCAGATAGTGCCGAAAGAGTGTTTCAAACGTGCTCTATAAAAGGGAATATTCAACTCTGTGACTTGAATGGAAACATCACAAAGCAGTTTCTGAGAATGCCTCCCTCTAGATTTTATATGGAGATATTCCCTTTTCCAACGAAATCTTCAAATCTATCTAAATATCAACTTGCAGATTCTACTCAAGGAATGTTTCCAAAATGCTGTATCCAAGCAATGGTTCAACTCTGTTAATTGAGGACATACAGCACAAAGAAGTTTCTGAGAATGCTTCTGTCTAGATTTTATATGAAGATATCCCGTTTCCAACGAAATCCTCAAAGCTATCCAAATATCCACTTGCAGATTCTACAAAAAGATTGTTTCAAAACTGCTGTGTCAAGAGGAAGGTTCAACTCTGTTACTTGAGTACACACATCAAAAAGAAGTTTCTGAGAATGCTTGTTTCTGGTTTTTATGAGAAGATATTTCCTTTTTCACCATAGGCCTCAAAGCGCTGCAAAGGTCCACTTCCAAATATTACAAAAAGAGTGTTTCAAACCTGCTCTATGAAAGGAAGTTTTCAACTCTATGAGTGGAATGCAAACATCACAGAGAAGTTTCTGAGAATGCATCTGTCTTGAGCTTCTATGAAGAAATTCCCGTTTCCAACGAAATCTTAAAATCTATCCAAATATCCACCTGCAGATCCTACAAAAGGAGTGTTTCCAAAATGCTGTATCAAAACAAAGGTTCAACTGTGTTCGTTTAGGACACACATCACAAATAAGTTTCTGAGAATCCTTCTGTCTAGTTTTTATTTGAAGATATTTCCTTTCTCCCCATAGGCCTGAAAGTGCTTGAAATGTCCACTTCCAGATACTACAGAAAGAGTGTTTCAAACCTGCACTATGAAAAGGAATGTTCAATTCTGTGACTTGAATGGAAACATCAGAAAGAAGTTCCTGAGAATGCTTCTCTCTAGATTTTATACGTCATCCCGTTTCCAACGAAATCCACAAAGCTATCCAATTATCCACCTTCAGATTCCACAAAAAGAGTGTTTTAAAACTGCTCTGTAAAAAGAAATGTTCAACGCTCTTAGTTGAATACACACATCTCAAACAAGTTTCTGAGAAGGCTTCTGTCTAGTTTTTATGGGAAGATATTTCCTTTTAACCATAGGCCTCAAAGAGCTCGAAATATCCACTTCCAGGTAGTGCCGAAAGAGTGTTTCAAACCTACTCTATAAAAGGGAATATTCAACTCTGTGACTTGAATGCAAACATCACAAAGCAGTTTCTGAGAATGCTTCCGTCTAGATTTTTTATGAAGATATTCCCGTTTCCAACGAAATCTTCAAAGCTATCTAAATATCAACTTGCAGATTCTACTAAAGGAATGTTTCTAAAATGCTGTATCCAAACAAAGGTTCAACTCTGTGAATTGAGGACATACAGCACAAAGAAGTTTCTGAGAATGCTCCTGTCTGGATTTTATAGGAAGATAACCCGTTTCCAACGAAATCCTCAAAGCTATCCAAATATCCACTTGCAGATTCTACCAAAAGAGTGTTTCAAAACTACTCTGTCAAAAGGAAGGTTCAACACTGTTACTTGAGTACACACAACACAAAGAAGTTTCTGAGAATGCTTCTTTCTGGTTTTTATGAGAAGATATTTCCTTTTTCACCATAGGCCTCAAAGCGCTCGAAATGTCCGCTTCCAGGTAGTGCAGAAAGAGTGTTTCAAACCTGCTCTATGAAAGGAAGTGTTCAACTCTACTGAGTTGAATGCAAACATCACAGAGATGTTTCCGAGAATGCTTCTGTCTTGATTTTATAGGAAGATATTCCGGTTTCCAACGAAATCTTCAAAGCTATCCAAATATCCACCTGCAGATTCTACAAAAGGAGTGTTTCCAAAATGCTGTATCAAAACAAAGGTTCAACTCTGTTAGTTGAGGACACACATCACAAATAAGTTTCTGAGAATGCTTCTGTCTAGTTTTTATTTGAAGGTATTTCCTTTCTCTCCATAGGCCTGAAAGCGCTTGAAATGCCCACTTCCAGATACTAGAGAAAGAGTGTTTCAAACCTGCTCTATGAAAGGGAATGTTCAATTCTGTGACTTGAATGCAAACATCACAAAGAAGTTCCTGAGAATGCTTCTGTCTAGATTTAATATGAAGATAACCCGTTTCCAACGAAATCCTCAAAGCTATCCAAATATCCACTGGCAGATTCTACAAAAAGAGTGTTTCAAAACTGCTCTGTCAAAAGGATGGTTCAACACTGTTACATGAGTACACACAACACAAAGAAGTTTCTGAGAACGCTTCTTTCTGGTTTCTATGAGAAGATATTTCCTTTTTCACCATAGGACTCAAAGCGCTCGAAATGTCCTCTTCCAGGTAGTGCAGAAAGAGTGTTTCAAACCTGCTCTATGAAAGGAAGTGTACAACTCCATGAGCTGAATGCAAACATCACTGAGAAGTTTCTGAGAATGCTTCTGTTTGATTTTATATGAAGAAATTCCCGTTTCCAACGAAATCTTCAGAGCTATCCACATATCCACCTGCAGATTCTACAAAAGGAGTGTTTCCAAAATGCTGTATCAAAACCAAGGTTCAACTCTGTTAGTTGAGGACACACATCACAAATAAGTTTCTGAGAATGCTTCTGTCTAGATTCTATATGAAGATATCCCCTTTCCAACGAATCCCTCTAAGCTATCCAAATATCCACCTGCAGATTCTACAAAAAGAGTGTTTCCAAAATGCTGTATCAAAACAAAGTTTCAACTCTGTTAGTTGAGGACACACATCACAAATAAGTTTGAGGATGCTTCTGTCTAGTTTTTATTCGAAGATATTTCCTTTCTCACCATAGGCCTGAAAGCGCTTGAAATGTCCACTTCCAGATACTACAGAATGAGTGTTTCAAACCTGCTCTATCAAAGTGAATGTTCAATTCTGTGACTTCAATGCAAACATCACAAAGAAGTTCCTGAGAATGCTTCTCTCTAGATTTTATATGTAATCCCGCTTCCAACGAAATCCTCAGAGCCATCCGAATATCCACTTTCTGATTCCACAAAAAGAGTGTTTTAAAACGGCTCTGTAAAAACAAAAGTTCAACTCTGTTAGTTGAATACACACATCACAAACAAGTTTCTGAGAATGCTTCTGTCTAGTTTTTATGGGAAGATATTTCCTTTTTCACCATAGGCCTCAAAGCGCTCGAAATGTCCACTTCCAGATAGTGCAGAAAGAGTGTTTCAAACGTGCTCTATAAAAGGGAATATTCAACTCTGTGACTTGAATGGAAACATCACAAAGCAGTTTCTGAGAATGCTTCCCTCTAGATTTTATATGGAGATATTCCCTTTTCCAACGAAATCTTCAAATCTATCTAAATATCAACTTGCAGATTCTACTCAAGGAATGTTTCCAAAATGCTGTATCCAGGCAATGGTTCAACTCTGTTAATTGAGGACATACAGCACAAAGAAGTTTCTGAGAATGCTTCTGTCTAGATTTTATATGAAGATATCCCGTTTCCAACGAAATCCTCAAAGCTATCCAAATATCCACTTGCAGATTCTACAAAAAGATTGTTTCAAAACTGCTGTGTCAAGAGGAAGGTTCAACTCTGTTACTTGAGTACACACATCAAAAAGAAGTTTCTGAGAATGCTTGTTTCTGGTTTTTATGAGAAGATATTTCCTTTTTCACCATAGGCCTCAAAGCGCTGCAAATGTCCACTTCCAAATATTACAGAAAGAGTGTTTCAAACCTGCTCTATGAAAGGAAGTTTTCAACTCTATGAGTGGAATGCAAACATCACAGAGAAGTTTCTGAGAATGCATCCGTCTTGAGATTATATGAAGAAATTCCCGTTTCCAACGAAATCTTAAAATCTATCCAAATATCCACCTGCAGATTCTACAAAAGGAGTGTTTCCAAAATGCTGTATCAAAACAAAGGTTCAACTGTGTTCGTTTAGGACACACATCACAAATAAGTTTCTGAGAAGCCTTCTGTCTAGTTTTTATTTGAAGATATTTCCTTCCTCCTCAGAGGCCTGAAAGCGCTTGAAATGTCCCCTTCCAGATACTACAGAAAGAGTGTTTCAAACCTGCACTATGAAAAGGAATGTTCAATTCTGTGACTTGAATGCAAACATCAGAAAGAAGTTCCTGAGAATGCTTCTCTCTAGATTTTAAACGTAATCCCGTTTCCAACGAAATCCACAAAGCTATCCAATTATCCACTTTCAGATTGCACCAAAAGACTGTTTTAAAACTGCTCTGTAAAAAGAAATGTTCAACGCTCTTAGTTGAATACACACATCTCAAACAAGTTTCTGAGAAGGCTTCTGTCTAGTTTTTATGGGAAGATATTTCCTTTTAACCATAGGCCTCATAAGAGCTCGAAATATCCACTTCCAGGTAGTGCCGAAAGAGTGTTTCAAACCTACTCTATAAAAGGGAATATTCAACTCTGTGACTTGAATGCAAACATCACAAAGCAGTTTCTGAGAATGCTTCCGTCTAGATTTTTTATGAAGATATTCCCGTTTCCAACGAAATCTTCAAAGCTATCTAAATATCAACTTGCAGATTCTACTAAAGGAATGTCTCCAAAATGCTGTATCCAAACAAAGGTTCAGCTCTGTGAATTGCGGACATACAGCACAAAGAAGTTTCTGAGAATGCTCCTGTCTGGATTTTATATGAAGATAACCCGTTTCCAACGAATTCCTCAAAGCTCTCCAAATATCCACTTGCAGATTCTACCAAAAGAGTGTTTCAAAACTGCTCTGTCAAAAGGAAGGTTCAACACTGTTACTTGAGTACACACAACACAAAGAAGTTTCTGAGAATGCTTCTTTCTGGTTTTTATGAGAAGATATTTCCTTTTTCACCATAGGCCTCAAAGCGCTCGAAATGTCCGCTTCCAGGTAGTGCAGAAAGAGTGTTTCAAACCTGCTCTATGAAAGGAAGTGTTCAACTCTACTGAGTTGAATGCAAACATCACAGAGATGTTTCCGAGAATGCTTCTGTCTTGATTTTATATGAAGATATTCCGGTTTCCAACGAAATCTTCAAAGCTATCCAAATATCCACCTGCAGATTCTACAAAAGGAGTGTTTCCAAAATGCTGTATCAAAACAAAGGTTCAACTCTGTTAGTTGAGGACACACATCACAAATAAGTTTCTGAGAATGCTTCTGTCTAGTTTTTATTTGAAGGTATTTCCTTTCTCTCCATAGGCCTGAAAGCGCTTGAAATGCCCACTTCCAGATACTAGAGAAAGAGTGTTTCAAACCTGCTCTATGAAAGGGAATGTTCAATTCTGTGACTTGAATGCAAACATCACAAAGAAGTTCCTGAGAATGCTTCTGTCTAGATTTAATATGAAGATAACCCGTTTCCAACGAAATCCTCAAAGGTATCCAAATATCCACTGGCAGATTCTACAAAAAGAGTGTTTCAAAACTGCTCTGTCAAAAGGATGGTTCAACACTGTTACATGAGTACACACAACACAAAGAAGTTTCTGAGAACGCTTCTTTCTGGTTTCTATGAGAAGATATTTCCTTTTTCACCATAGGACTCAAAGCGCTCGAAATGTCCTCTTCCAGGTAGTGCAGAAAGAGTGTTTCAAACCGGCTCTATGAAAGGAAGTGTTCAACTCCATGAACTGAATGCAAACATCACTGAGAAGTTTCTGAGAATGCTTCTCTTTGATTTTATATGAAGAAATTCCCGTTTCCAACGAAATCTTCAAACCTATCCACATATCCACCTGCAGATTCTACAAAAGGAGTGTTTCCAAAATGCTGTATCAAAACCAAGGTTCAACTCTGTTAGTTGAGGACACACATCACAAATAAGTTTCTGAGAATGCTTCTGTCTAGATTTTATATGAAGATATCCCCTTTCCAACGAATCCCTCTAAGCTATCCAAATATCCACCTGCAGATTCTACAAAAAGAGTGTTTCCAAAATGCTGTATCAAAACAAAGTTTCAACTCTGTTAGTTGAGGACACACATCACAAATAAGTTTCTGAGGATGCTTCTGTCTAGTTTTTATTTGAAGATATTTCCTTTCTCCCCATAGGCCTGAAAGCGCTTGAATTATCCGCTTCCAGATACTACAGAATGAGTGTTTCAAACCTGCTCTATCAAAGTGAATGTTCAATTCTGTGACTTCAATGCAAACATCACAAAGTAGTTCCTGAGAATGCTTCTCTCTAGATTTTATACGT
This sequence comes from Homo sapiens, assembly GCF_000001405.40. Taxonomy (NCBI): domain Eukaryota; kingdom Metazoa; phylum Chordata; class Mammalia; order Primates; family Hominidae; genus Homo; species Homo sapiens. The sequence continues at coordinate 51,662,449 of NC_000004.12, read as the reverse complement.
AATCCCGCTTCCAACGAAATCCTCAGAGCCATCCGAATATCCACTTTCTGATTCCACAAAAAGAGTGTTTTAAAACGGCTCTGTAAAAACAAAAGTTCAACTCTGTTAGTTGAATACACACATCACAAACAAGTTTCTGAGAATGCTTCTGTCTAGTTTTTATGGGAAGATATTTCCTTTTTCACCATAGGCCTCACAGCGCTCGAAATGTCCACTTCCAGATAGTGCAGAAAGAGTGTTTCAAACGTGCTCTATAAAAGAGAATATTCAACTCTGTGACTTGAATGGAAACATCACAAAGCAGTTTCTGAGAATGCCTCCGTCTAGATTTTATATGAAGATATTCCCGTTTCCAACGAAATCTTCAAATCTATCTAAATATCAACTTGCAGATTCTACTAAAGGAATGTTTCCAAAATGCTGTATCGAAGCAATGGTTCAACTCTGTTAATTGAGGACATACAGCACAAAGAAGTTTCTGAGAATGCTTCTGTCTAGATTTTATATGAAGATATCCCGTTTCCAACGAAATCCTCAAAGCTATCCAAATATCCACTTGCAGATTCTACAAAAAGATTGTTTCAAAACTGCTGTGTCAAAAGGAAGGTTCAACTCTGTTACTTGAGTACACACATCAAAAAGAAGTTTCTGAGAATGCTTGTTTCTGGTTTTTATGAGAAGATATTTCCTTTTTCACCATAGGCCTCAAAGCGCTGCAAATGTCCACTTCCAAATATTACAAAAAGAGTGTTTCAAACCTGCTCTATGAAAGGAAGTTTTCAACTCTGTGAGTGGAATGCAAACATCACAGAGAAGTTTCTGAGAATGCATCTGTCTTGAGTTTCTATGCAGAAATTCCCGTTTCCAACGAAATCTTAAAATCTATCCAAATATCCACCTGCAGATCCTACAAAAGGAGTGTTTCCAAAATGCTGTATCAAAACAAAGGTTCAACTGTGTTCGTTTAGGACACACATCACAAATAAGTTTCTGAGAATCCTTCTGTCTAGTTTTTATTTGAAGATATTTCCTTTCTCCCCATAGGCCTGAAAGCGCTTGAAATGTCCACTTCCAGATACTACAGAAAGAGTGTTTCAAACCTGCACTCTGAAAAGGAATGTCAATTCTGTGACTTGAATGCAAACATCAGAAAGAAGTTCCTGAGAATGCTTCTCTCTAGATTTTAAACGTAATCCCGTTTCCAACGAAATCCACAAAGCTATCCAATTATCCACTTTCAGATTGCACCAAAAGAGTGTTTTAAAACTGCTCTGTAAAAAGAAATGTTCAACGCTCTTAGTTGAATACACACATCTCAAACAAGTTTCTGAGAAGGCTTCCGTCTAGTTTTTACAGGAAGATATTTCCTTTTTCACCATAGGCCTCAAAGCGCTCGAAATCTCCACTTCCAGGGAGTGCAGAAAGAGTGTTTCAAACCTGCTCTATAAAAGAATATTTAACTCTGTGACTTGAATGCAAACATCACAGAGCAGTTTCTGACAATGCTTCCGTCTAGATTTTTTATGAAGATATTCCCGTTTCCAACGAAATCTTCAAAGCTATCTAAATATCAACTTGCAGATTCTACTAAAGGAATGTTTCCAAAATGCTGTATCCAAACAAAGGTTCAACTCTGTGAATTGAGGACATACAGCACAAAGAAGTTTCTGAGAATGCTCCTGTCTGGATTTTATAGGAAGATAACCCGTTTCCAACGAAATCCTCAAAGCTATCCAAATATCCACTTGCAGATTCTACCAAAAGAGTGTTTCAAAACTGCTCTGTCAAAAGGAAGGTTCAACACTGTTACTTGAGTACACACAACACAAAGAAGTTTCTGAGAATGCTTCTTTCTGGTTTTTATGAGAAGATATTTCCTTTTTCACCATAGGCCTCAAAGCGCTCGAAATGTCCGCTTCCAGGTAGTGCAGAAAGAGTGTTTCAAACCTGCTCTATGAAAGGAAGTGTTCAACTCTACTGAGTTGAATGCAAACATCACAGAGATGTTTCCGAGAATGCTTCTGTCTTGATTTTATAGGAAGATATTCCGGTTTCCAACGAAATCTTCAAAGCTATCCAAATATCCACCTGCAGATTCTACAAAAGGAGTGTTTCCAAAATGCTGTATCAAAACAAAGGTTCAACTCTGTTAGTTGAGGACACACATCACAAATAAGTTTCTGAGAATGCTTCTGTCTAGTTTTTATTTGAAGGTATTTCCTTTCTCTCCATAGGCCTGAAAGCGCTTGAAATGCCCACTTCCAGATACTAGAGAAAGAGTGTTTCAAACCTGCTCTATGAAAGGGAATGTTCAATTCTGTGACTTGAATGCAAACATCACAAAGAAGTTCCTGAGAATGCTTCTCTCTAGATATTATATGTCATCCCGTTTCCAACGAAATCCTCAAAGCTATCCAAATATCCACTTGCAGATTCTACAAAAAGAGTGTTTCAAAACTCCTCTGTCAAAAGGATGGTTCAACACTGTTACATGAGTACACACAACACAAAGAAGTTTCTGAGAATGCTTCTTTCTGGTTTTTATGAGAAGATATTTCCTTTTTCACCATAAGCCTCAAAGCGCTCGAAATGTCCACTTCCTGGTAGTGCAGAAAGAGTTTTTCAAACCTGCTCTATGAAAGGAAGTGTTCAACTCCATGAGCTGAATGCAAACATCACAGAGAAGTTTCTGAGAATGCTTCTGTTTGATTTTATATGAAGAAATTCCCGTTTCCAACGAAATCTTCAAAGCTATCCACATATCCACCTGCAGATTCCACAAAAGGAGTGTTTCCGAAATGCTGTATCAAAACCAAGGTTCAACTCTGTTAGTTGAGGACACACATCACAAATAAGTTTCTGAGAATGCTTCTGTCTAGATTTTATATGAAGATATCCCTTTTCCAACGAATCCCTAGAAGCTATCCAAATATCCACCTGCAGATTCTACAAAAAGAGTGTTTCCAAAATGCTGTATCAAAACAAAGTTTCAACTCTGTTACTTGAGGACACACATCACAAATAAGTTTCTGAGGATGCTTCTGTCTAGTTTTTATTCGAAGATATTTCCTTTCTCACCATAGGCCTGAAAGCGCTTGAAATGTCCACTTCCAGATACTACAGAATGAGTGTTTCAAACCTGCTCTATCAAAGTGAATGTTCAATTCTGTGACTTCAATGCAAACATCAGAAAGAAGTTTCTGAGAATGCTTCTCTCTAGATTTTATATGTAATCCCGCTTCCAACGAAATCCTCAGAGCCATCCGAATATCCACTTTCTGATTCCACAAAAAGAGTGTTTTAAAACGGCTCTGTAAAAACAAAAGTTCAACTCTGTTAGTTGAATACACACATCACAAACAAGTTTCTGAGAATGCTTCCGTCTAGTTTTTATGGGAAGATATTTCCTTTTTCACCATAGGCCTCAAAGCGCTCGAAATCTCCACTTCCAGGGAGTGCAGAAAGAGTGTTTCAAACCTGCTCTGTAAAAGAATATTTAACTCTGTGACTTGAATGCAAACATCACAGAGCAGTTTCTGACAATGCTTCCCTCTAGATTTTATATGGAGATATTCCCTTTTCCAACGAAATCTTCAAATCTATCTAAATATCAACTTGCAGATTCTACTCAAGGAATGTTTCCAAAATGCTGTATCCAGGCAATGGTTCAACTCTGTTAATTGAGGACATACAGCACAAAGAAGTTTCTGAGAATGCTTCTGTCTAGATTTTATATGAAGATATCCCGTTTCCAATGAAATCCTCAAAGCTATCCAAATATCCACTTGCAGATTCTACAAAAAGATTGTTTCAAAACTGCTGTGTCAAAAGGAAGGTTCAACTCTGTTACTTGAGTACACACATCAAAAAGAACTTTCTGAGAATGCTTGTTTCTGGTTTTTATGAGAAGATATTTCCTTTTTCACCATAGGCCTCAAAGCGCTGCAAATGTCCACTTCCAAATACTACAGAAAGAGTGTTTCAAACCTGCTCTATGAAAGGAAGTTTTCAACTCTATGAGTGGAATGCAAACATCACAGAGAAGTTTCTGAGAATGCATCTGTCTTGAGTTTATATGAAGAAATTCCCGTTTCCAACGAAATCTTAAAATCTATCCAAATATCCACCTGCAGATTCTACAAAAGGAGTGTTTCCAAAATGCTGTATCAAAACAAAGGTTCAACTGTGTTCGTTTAGGACACACATCACAAATAAGTTTCTGAGAAGCCTTCTGTCTAGTTTTTATTTGAAGATATTTCCTTCCTCCCCAGAGGGCCTGAAAGCGCTTGAAATGTCCCCTTCCAGATACTACAGAAAGAGTGTTTCAAACCTGCACTATGAAAAGGAATGTTCAATTCTGTGACTTGAATGCAAACATCAGAAAGAAGTTCCTGAGAATGCTTCTCTCTAGATTTTATACGTCATCCCGTTTCCAACGAAATCCACAAAGCTATCCAATTATCCACTTTCAGATTCCACAAAAAGAGTGTTTTAAAATTGCTCTGTAACAGAAATGTTCAACTCTGTTAGTTGAATACACACATCACAAACTAGTTTCTGAGACGGCTTCTGTCTAGTTTTTATGGGAAGATATTTCCTTTTAACCATAGGCCTCAAAGAGCTCGAAATATCCACTTCCAGGTAGTGTCGAAAGAGTGTTTCAAACCTACTCTATAAAAGGGAATATTCAACTCTGTGACTTGAATGCAAACATCACAAAGCAGTTTCTGAGAATGCTTCCGTCTAGATTTTCTATGAAGATATTCCCGTTTCCAACGAAATCTTCGAAGCTATCTAAATATCAACTTGCAGATTCTACTAAAGGAATGTCTCCAAAATGCTGTATCCAAACAAAGGTTCAGCTCTGTGAATTGAGGACATACAGCACAAAGAAGTTTCTGAGAATGCTCCTGTCTGGATTTTATATGAAGATAACCCGTTTCCAACGAAATCCTCAAAGCTATCCAAATATCCACTTGCAGATTCTACCAAAAGAGTGTTTCAAAACTGCTCTGTCAAAAGGAAGGTTCAACACTGTTACTTGAGTACACACAACACAAAGAAGTTTCTGAGAATGCTTCTTTCTGGTTTTTATGAGAAGATATTTCCTTTTTCACCATAGGCCTCAAAGAGCTCGAAATGTCCGCTTCCAGGTAGGGCAGAAAGAGTGTTTCAAACCTGCTCTATGAAAGGAAGTGTTCAACTCTACTGAGTTGAATGCAAACATCACAGAGATGTTTCCGAGAATGGTTCTGTCTTGATTTTATATGAAGATATTCCGGTTTCCAACGAAATCTTCAAAGCTATCCACATATCCACCTGCAGATTCTACAAAAGGAGTGTTTCCAAAATGCTGTATCAAAACAAAGGTTCAACTCTGTTAGTTGAGGACACACATCACAAATAAGTTTCTGAGAATGCTTCTGTCTACTTTTTATTTGAAGGTATTTCCTTTCTCTCCATAGGCCTGAAAGCGCTTGAAATGCCCACTTCCAGATACTAGAGAAAGAGTGTTTCAAACCTGCTCTATGAAAGGGAATGTTCAATTCTGTGACTTGAATGCAAACATCACAAAGAAGTTCCTGAGAATGCTTCTCTCTAGATATTATATGTCATCCCGTTTCCAACGAAATCCTCAAAGCTATCCAAATATCCACTTGCAGATTCTACAAAAAGAGTGTTTCAAAACTCCTCTGTCAAAAGGATGGTTCAACACTGTTACATGAGTACACACAACACAAAGAAGTTTCTGAGAATGCTTCTTTCTGGTTTCTATGAGAAGATATTTCCTTTTTCACCATAGGACTCAAAGCGCTCGAAATGTCCTCTTCCAGGTAGTGCAGAAAGAGTGTTTCAAACCTGCTCTATGAAAGGAAGTGTACAACTCCATGAGCTGAATGCAAACATCACTGAGAAGTTTCTGAGAATGCTTCTGTTTGATTTTATATGAAGAAATTCCCGATTCCAACGAAATCTTCAAAGCTATCCACATATCCACCTGCAGATTCTACAAAAGGAGTGTTTCCAAAATGCTGTATCAAAACCAAGGTTCAACTCTGTTAGTTGAGGGCACACATCACAAATAAGTTTCTGTGAATGCTTCTGTCTAGATTTTATATGAAGATATCCCCTTTCCAACGAATCCCTCTAAGCTATCCAAATATCCACCTGCAGATTCTACAAAAAGAGTGTTTCCAAAATGCTGTATCAAAACAAAGTTTCAACTCTGTTAGTTGAGGACACACATCACAAATAAGTTTCTGAGGATGCTTCTGTCTAGTTTTTATTCGAAGATATTTCCTTTCTCACCATAGGCCTGAAAGCGCTTGAAATGTCCACTTCCAGATACTACAGAATGAGTGTTCCAAACCTGCTCTATCAAAGTGAATGTTCAATTCTGTGACTTCAATGCAAACATCACAAAGAAGTTCCTGAGAATGCTTCTCTCTAGATTTTATACGTAATCCCGCTTCCAACGAAATCCTCAGAGCCATCCGAATATCCACTTTCTGATTCCACAAAAAGAGTGTTTTAAAACGGCTCTGTAAAAACAAAAGTTCAACTCTGTTAGTTGAATACACACATCACAAACAAGTTTCTGAGAATGCTTCTGTCTAGTTTTTATGGGAAGATATTTCCTTTTTAACCATAGGCCTCACAGCGCTCGAAATGTCCACTAACAGATAGTACAGAAAGAGTGTTTCAAACGTGCTCTACAAAAGAGAATATTCAACTCTGTGACTTGAATGGAAACATCACAAAGCAGTTTCTGAGAATGCCTCCGTCTAGATTTTATATGAAGATATTGCCGTTTCCAACGAAATCTTCAAATCTATCTAAATATCAACTTGCAGATTCTACTAAAGGAATGTTTCCAAAATGCTGTATCCAAGCAATGGTTCAACTCTGTTAATTGAGGACATACAGCACAAAGAAGTTTCTGAGAATGCTTCTGTCTAGATTTTATATGAAGATATCCCGTTTCCAACGAAATCCTCAAAGCTATCCAAATATCCACTTGCAGATTCTACAAAAAGATTGTTTCAAAACTGCTGTGTCAGAAGGAAGGTTCAACTATGTTACTTGAGTACACACATCAAAAAGAAGTTTCTGAGAATGCTTGTTTCTGGTTTTTATGAGAAGATATTTCCTTTTTCACCATAGGCCTCAAAGCGCTGCAAATGTCCACTTCCAAATATTACAAAAAGAGTGTTTCAAACCTGCTCTATGAAAGGAAGTTTTCAACTCTATGAGTGGAATGCAAACATCACAGAGAAGTTTCTGAGAATGCATCTGTCTTGAGTTTATATGCAGAAATTCCCGTTTCCAACGAAATCTTAAAATCTATCCAAATATCCACCTGCAGATCCTACAAAAGGAGTGTTTCCAAAATGCTGTATCAAAACAAAGGTTCAACTGTGTTCGTTTAGGACACACATCACAAATAAGTTTCTGAGAATCCTTCTGTCTAGTTTTTATTTGAAGATATTTCCTTTCTCCCCGTAGGCCTGAAAGCGCTTGAAATGTCCACTTCCAGATACTACAGAAAGAGTGTTTCAAACCTGCACTCTGAAAAGGAATGTTCAATTCTGTGACTTGAATGCAAACATCAGAAAGAAGTTCCTGAGAATGCTTCTCTCTAGATTTTAAACGTCATCCCGTTTCCAACGAAATACACAAAGCTATCCAATTATCCACTTTCAGATTCCACCAAAAGAGTGTTTTAAAACTGCTCTGTAAAAAGAAATGTTCAACGCTCTTAGTTGAATACACACATCTCAAACAAGTTTCTAAGAAGGCTTCCGTCTAGTTTTTATGGGAAGATATTTCCTTTTTCACCATAGGCCTCAAAGCGCTCGAAATCTCCACTTCCAGGGAGTGCAGAAAGACTGTTTCAAACCTGCTCTGTAAAAGAATATTTAACTCTGTGACTTGAATGCAAACATCACAGAGCAGTTTCTGACAATGCTTCCGTCTAGATTTTTTATGAAGATATTCCCGTTTCCAACGAAATCTTCAAAGCTGTCTAAATATCAACTTGCAGATTCTACTAAAGGAATGTTTCCAAAATGCTGTATCCAAACAAAGGTTCAACTCTGTGAATTGAGGACATACAGCACAAAGAAGTTTCTGAGAATGCTTCTGTCTAGATTTAATATGAAGATAACCCGTTTCCAACGAAATCCTCAAAGCTATCCAAATATCCAGTTGCAGATTCTACAAAAAGAGTGTTTCAAAACTGCTCTGTCAAAAGGATGGTTCAACACTGTTACATGAGTACACACAACACAAAGAAGTTTCTGAGAACGCTTCTTTCTGGTTTCTATGAGAAGATATTTCCTTTTTCACCATAGGCCTCAAAGCGCTCGAAATGTCCTCTTCCAGGTAGTGCAGAAAGAGTGTTTCAAACCTGCTCTATGAAAGGAAGTGTACAACTCCATGAGCTGAATGCAAACATCACTGAGAAGTTTCTGAGAATGCTTCTGTTTGATTTTATATGAAGAAATTCCCGTTTCCAACGAAATCTTCAAAGCTATCCACATATCCACCTGCAGATTGTACAAAAGGAGTGTTTCCAAAATGCTGTATCAAAACCAAGGTTCAACTCTGTTAGTTGAGGACACAAATCACAAATAAGTTTCTGAGAATGCTTCTGTCTAGATTTTATATGAAGATATCCCCTTTCCAACGAATCCCTCTAAGCTATCCAAATATCCACCTGCAGATTCTACAAAAAGAGTGTTTCCAAAATGCTGTATCAAAACAAAGTTTCAACTCTGTTAGTTGAGGACACACATCACAAATAAGTTTCTGAGGATGCTTCTGTCTAGTTTTTATTCGAAGATATTTCCTTTCTCACCATAGGCCTGAAAGCGCTTGAAATGTCCACTTCCAGATCCTACAGAATGAGTGTTTCAAACCTGCTCTATCAAAGTGAATGTTCAATTCTGTGACTTCAATGCAAACATCACAAAGAAGTTCCTGAGAATGCTTCTCTCTAGATTTTATATGTAATCCCGCTTCCAACGAAATCCTCAGAGCCATCCGAATATCCACTTTCTGATTCCACAAAAAGAGTGTTTTAAAACGGCTCTGTAAAAACAAAAGTTCAACTCTGTTAGTTGAATACACACATCACAAACAAGTTTCTGAGAATGCTTCTGTCTAGTTTTTATGGGAAGATATTTCCTTTTTCACCATAGGCCTCAAAGCGCTCGAAATGTCCACTTCCAGATAGCGCAGAAAGAGTGTTTCAAACGTGCTCTATAAAAGGGAATATTCAACTCTGTGACTTGAATGGAAACATCATAAAGCAGTTTCTGAGAATGCTTCCCTCTAGATTTTATATGGAGATATTCCCTTTTCCAACGAAATCTTCAAATCTATCTAAATATCAACTTGCAGATTCTACTCAAGGAATGTTTCCAAAATGCTGTATCCAGGCAATGGTTCAACTCTGTTAATTGAGGACATACAGCACAAAGAAGTTTCTGAGAATGCTTCTGTCTAGATTTTATATGAAGATATCCCGTTTCCAACGAAATCCTCAAAGCTATCCAAATATCCACTTGCAGATTCTACAAAAAGATTGTTTCAAAACTGCTGTGTCAAAAGGAAGGTTCAACTCTGTTACTTGAGTACACACATCAAAAAGAAGTTTCTGAGAATGCTTGTTTCTGGTTTTTATGAGAAGATATTTCCTTTTTCACCATAGGCCTCAAAGCGCTGCAAATGTCCACTTCCAAATATTACAAAAAGAGTGTTTCAAACCTGCTCTATGAAAGGAAGTTTTCAACTCTATGAGTGGAATGCAAACATCACAGAGAAGTTTCTGAGAATGCATCTGTCTTGAGTTTATATGCAGAAATTCCCGTTTCCAACGAAATCTTAAAATCTATCCAAATATCCACCTGCAGATCCTACAAAAGGAGTGTTTCCAAAATGCTGTATCAAAACAAAGGTTCAACTGTGTTCGTTTAGGACACACATCACAAATAAGTTTCTGAGAATCCTTCTGTCTAGTTTTTATTTGAAGATATTTCCTTTCTCCCCGTAGGCCTGAAAGCGCTTGAAATGTCCACTTCCAGATACTACAGAAAGAGTGTGTTTCAAACCTGCACTCTGAAAAGGAATGTTCAATTCTGTGACTTGAATGCAAACATCAGAAAGAAGTTCCTGAGAATGCTTCTCTCTAGATTTTATACGTCATCCCGTTTCCAACGAAATCCACAAAGCTATCCAATTATCCACTTTCAGATTCCACAAAAAGAGTGTTTTAAAATTGCTCTGTAACAGAAATGTTCAACTCTGGTAGTTGAATACACACATCACAAACAAGTTTCTGAGACGGCTTCTGTCTAGTTTTTATGGGAAGATATTTCCTTTTAACCATAGGCCTCAAAGAGCTCGAAATATCCACTTCCAGGTAGTGCCGAAAGAGTGTTTCAAACCTACTCTATAAAAGGGAATATTCAACTCTGTGACTTGAATGCAAACATCACAAAGCAGTTTCTGAGAATGCTTCCGTCTAGATTTTCTATGAAGATATTCCCGTTTCCAACGAAATCTTCAAAGCTATCTAAATATCAACTTGCAGATTCTACTAAAGGAATGTCTCCAAAATGCTGTATCCAAACAAAGGTTCAGCTCTGTGAATTGAGGACATACAGCACAAAGAAGTTTCTGAGAATGCTCCTGTCTGGATTTTATATGAAGATAACCCGTTTCCAACGAAATCCTCAAAGCTCTCCAAATATCCACTTGCAGATTCTACCAAAAGAGTGTTTCAAAACTGCTCTGTCAAAAGGAAGGTTCAACACTGTTACTTGAGTACACACAACACAAAGAAGTTTCTGAGAATGCTTCTTTCTGGTTTTTATGAGAAGATATTTCCTTTTTCACCATAGGCCTCAAAGCGCTCGAAATGTCCGCTTCCAGGTAGTGCAGAAAGAGTGTTTCAAACCTGCTCTATGAAAGGAAGTGTTCAACTCTACTGAGTTGAATGCAAACATCACAGAGATGTTTCCGAGAATGCTTCTGTCTTGATTTTATATGAAGATATTCCGGTTTCCAACGAAATCTTCAAAGCTATCCAAATATCCACCTGCAGATTCTACAAAAGGAGTGTTTCCAAAATGCTGTATCAAAACAAAGGTTCAACTCTGTTAGTTGAGGACACACATCACAAATAAGTTTCTGAGAATGCTTCTGTCTAGTTTTTATTTGAAGGTATTTCCTTTCTCTCCATAGGCCTGAAAGCGCTTGAAATGCCCACTTCCAGACACTAGAGAAAGAGTGTTTCAAACCTGCTCTATGAAAGGGAATGTTCAATTCTGTGACTTGAATGCAAACATCACAAAGAAGTTCCTGAGAATGCTTCTCTCTAGATATTATATGTCATCCCGTTTCCAACGAAATCCTCAAAGCTATCCAAATATCCACTTGCAGATTCTACAAAAAGAGTGTTTCAAAACTGCTCTGTCAAAAGGATGGTTCAACACTGTTACATGAGTACACACAACACAAAGAAGTTTCTGAGAATGCTTCTTTCTGGTTTCTATGAGAAGATATTTCCTTTTTCACCATAGGACTCAAAGCGCTCGAAATGTCCTCTTCCAGGTAGTGCAGAAAGAGTGTTTCAAACCTGCTCTATGAAAGGAAGTGTACAACTCCATGAGCTGAATGCAAACATCACTGAGAAGTTTCTGAGAATGCTTCTCTTTGATTTTATATGAAGAAATTCCCGTTTCCAACGAAATCTTCAAAGCTATCCACATATCCACCTGCAGATTCTACAAAAGGAGTGTTTCCAAAATGCTGTATCTAAACCAAGGATCAACTCTGTTAGTTGAGGACACACATCACAAATAAGTTTCTGAGAATGCTTCTGTCTAGATTTTATATGAAGATATCCCCTTTCCAACGAATCCCTCTAAGCTATCCAAATATCCACCTGCAGATTCTACAAAAAGAGTGTTTCCAAAATGCTGTATCAAAACAAAGTTTCAACTCTGTTAGTTGAGGACACACATCACAAATAAGTTTCTGAGGATGCTTCTGTCTAGTTTTTATTCGAAGATATTTCCTTTCTCACCATAGGCCTGAAAGCGCTTGAAATGTCCACTTCCAGATACTACAGAATGAGTGTTTCAAACCTGCTCTATAAAAGTGAATGTTCAATTCCGTGCCTTCAATGCAAACATCAGAAAGAAGTTCCTGAGAATGCTTCTCTCTAGATTTTATACGTAATCCCGCTTCCAACGAAATCCTCAGAGCCATCCGAATATCCACTTTCTGATTCCACAAAAAGAGTGTTTTAAAACGGCTCTGTAAAAACAAAAGTTCAACTCTGTTAGTTGAATACACACATCACAAACAAGTTTCTGAGAATGCTTCTGTCTAGTTTTTATGGGAAGATATTTCCTTTTTCACCATAGGCCTCAAAGCGCTCGAAATGTCCACTTCCAGATAGCGCAGAAAGAGTGTTTCAAACGTGCTCTATAAAAGGGAATATTCAACTCTGTGACTTGAATGGAAACATCACAAAGCAGTTTCTGAGAATGCTTCCGTCTAGATTTTATATGAAGATATTCCCGTTTCCAACGAAATCTTCAAAGCTATCTACATATCAACTTGCAGATTCTACTCAAGGAATGTTTCCAAAATGCTGTATCCAAGCCATGGTTCAACTCTGTTAATTGAGGACATACAGCACAAAGAAGTTTCTGAGAATGCTTCTGTCTAGATTTTATATGAAGATATCCCGTTTCCAACGAAATCCTCAAAGCTATCCAAATATCCACTTGCAGATTCTACAAAAAGATTGTTTCAAAACTGCTGTGTCAAAAGGAAGGTTCAACTCTGTTACTTGAGTACACACATCGAAAAGAAGTTTCTGAGAATGCTTGTTTCTGGTTTTTATGAGAAGATATTTCCTTTTTCACCATAGGCCTCAAAGCGCTGCAAATGTCCACTTCCAAATATTACAAAAAGAGTGTTTCAAACCTGCTCTATGAAAGGAAGTTTTCAACTCTATGAGTGGAATGCAAACATCACAGAGAAGTTTCTGAGAATGCATCTGTCTTGAGCTTCTATGAAGAAATTCCCGTTTCCAACGAAATCTTAAAATCTATCCAAATATCCACCTGCAGATCCTACAAAAGGAGTGTTTCCAAAATGCTGTATCAAAACAAAGGTTCAACTGTGTTCGTTTAGGACACACATCACAAATAAGTTTCTGAGAATCCTTCTGTCTAGTTTTTATTTGAAGATATTTCCTTTCTCCCCATAGGCCTGAAAGCGCTTGAAATGTCCACTTCCAGAAACTACAGAAAGAGTGTTTCAAACCTGCACTCTGAAAAGGAATGTCAATTCTGTGACTTGAATGCAAACATCAGAAAGAAGTTCCTGAGAATGCTTCTCTCTAGATTTTATACGTCATCCCGTTTCCAACGAAATCCACAAAGCTATCCAATTATCCACTTTCAGATTCCACAAAAAGAGTGTTTTAAAATTGCTCTGTAACACAAATGTTCCACTCTGGTAGTTGAATACACACATCACAAACAAGTTTCTGAGACGGCTCTGTCTAGTTTTTATGGGAAGATATTTCCTTTTAACCATAGGCCTCAAAGAGCTCGAAATATCCACTTCCAGGTAGTGCCGAAAGAGTGTTTCAAACCTACTCTATAAAAGGGAATATTCAACTCTGTGACTTGAATGCAAACATCACAAAGCAGTTCTGAGAATGCTCTCCGTCTAGATTTTATATGAAGATATTCCCGTTTCCAACGAAATCTTCAAAGCTATCTACATATCAACTTGCAGATTCTACTAAAGGAATGTTTCCAAAATGTTGTATCCAAGCAATGGTTCAACTCTGTTAATTGAGGACATAGAGCACAAAGAAGTTTCTGAGAATGCTCCTGTCTGGATTTTATATGAAGATATCCCGTTTCCAACGAAATCCTCAAAGCAATCCAAATATCCACTTGCAGATTCTACAAAAAGATTGTTTCAAAACTGCTGTGTCAATAGGAAGGTTCAACTCTGTTACTTGAGTACACACATCAAAAAGAAGTTTCTGAGAATGCTCGTTTCTGGTTTTTATGAGAAGATATTTCCTTTTTCACCATAGGCCTCAAAGCGCTGCAAATGTCCACTTCCAAATATTACAAAAAGAGTGTTTCAAACCTACTCTATGAAAGGAAGTTTTCAACTCTATGAGTGGAATGCAAACATCACAGAGAAGATTCTGAGAATGCATCTGTCTTGAGTTTCTATGAAGAAATTCCCGTTTCCAACGAAATCTTAAAATCTATCCAAATATCCACCTGCAGATTCTACAAAAGGAGTGTTTCCAAAATGCTGTATCAAAACAAAGGTTCAACTGTGTTCGTTTAGGACACACATCCCAAATAAGTTTCTGAAAAGCCTTCTGTCTAGTTTTTATTTGAAGATATTTCCTTTCTCCCCGTAGGCCTGAAAGCGCTTGAAATGTCCACTTCCAGATACTACAGAAAGAGTGTTTCAAACCTGCACTCTGAAAAGGAATGTTCAATTCTGTGACTTGAATGCAAACATCAGAAAGAAGTTCCTGAGAATGCTTCTCTCTAGATTTTATACGTCATCCCGTTTCCAACGAAATCCACAAAGCTATCCAATTATCCACTTTCAGATTCCACAAAAAGAGTGTTTTAAAATTGCTCTGTAACAGAAATGTTCAACTCTGGTAGTTGAATACACACATCACAAACAAGTTTCTGAGACGGCTTGTCTGTCTAGTTTTTATGGGAAGATATTTCCTTTTAACCATAGGCCTCAAAGAGCTCGAAATATCCACTTCCAGGTAGTGCCGAAAGAGTGTTTCAAACCTACTCTATAAAAGGGAATATTCAACTCTGTGACTTGAATGCAAACATCACAAAGCAGTTTCTGAGAATGCTTCCGTCTAGATTTTCTATGAAGATATTCCCGTTTCCAACGAAATCTTCAAAGCTATCTAAATATCAACTTGCAGATTCTACTAAAGGAATGTCTCCAAAATGCTGTATCCAAACAAAGGTTCAGCTCTGTGAATTGAGGACATACAGCACAAAGAAGTTTCTGAGAATGCTCCTGTCTGGATTTTATATGAAGATAACCCGTTTCCAACGAAATCCTCAAAGCTATCCAAATATCCACTTGCAGATTCTACCAAAAGAGTGTTTCAAAACTGCTCTGTCAAAAGGAAGGTTCAACACTGTTACTTGAGTACACACAACACAAAGAAGTTTCTGAGAATGCTTCTTTCTGGTTTTTATGAGAAGATATTTCCTTTTTCACCATAGGCCTCAAAGCGCTCGAAATGTCCGCTTCCAGGTAGTGCAGAAAGAGTGTTTCAAACCTGCTCTATGAAAGGAAGTGTTCAACTCTACTGAGTTGAATGCAAACATCACAGAGATGTTTCCGAGAATGCTTCTGTCTTGATTTTATATGAAGATATTCCGGTTTCCAACGAAATCTTCAAAGCTATCCAAATATCCACCTGCAGATTCTACAAAAGGAGTGTTTCCAAAATGCTGTATCAAAACAAAGGTTCAACTCTGTTAGTTGAGGACACACATCACAAATAAGTTTCTGAGAATGCTTCTGTCTAGTTTTTATTTGAAGGTATTTCCTTTCTCTCCATAGGCCTGAAAGCGCTTGAAATGCCCACTTCCAGATACTAGAGAAAGAGTGTTTCAAACCTGCTCTATGAAAGGGAATGTTCAATTCTGTGACTTGAATGCAAACATCACAAAGAAGTTCCTGAGAATGCTTCTCTCTAGATATTATATGTCATCCCGTTTCCAACGAAATCCTCAAAGCTATCCAAATATCCACTTGCAGATTCTACAAAAAGAGTGTTTCAAAACTGCTCTGTCAAAAGGATGGTTCAACACTGTTACATGAGTACACACAACACAAAGAAGTTTCTGAGAATGCTTCTTTCTGGTTTCTATGAGAAGATATTTCCTTTTTCACCATAGGACTCAAAGCGCTCGAAATGTCCTCTTCCAGGTAGTGCAGAAAGAGTGTTTCAAACCGGCTCTATGAAAGGAAGTGTTCAACTCCATGAACTGAATGCAAACATCACTGAGAAGTTTCTGAGAATGCTTCTGTTTGATTTTATATGAAGAAATTCCCGTTTCCAACGAAATCTTCAGAGCTATCCACATATCCACCTGCAGATTCTACAAAAGGAGTGTTTCCAAAATGCTGTATCAAAACCAAGGTTCAACTCTGTTAGTTGAGGACACACATCACAAATAAGTTTCTGAGAATGCTTCTGTCTAGATTTTATATGAAGATATCCCCTTTCCAACGAATCCCTCTAAGCTATCCAAATATCCACCTGCAGATTCTACAAAAAGAGTGTTTCCAAAATGCTGTATCAAAACAAAGTTTCAACTCTGTTAGTTGAGGACACACATCACAAATAAGTTTCTGAGGATGCTTCTGTCTAGTTTTTATTCGAAGATATTTCCTTTCTCACCATAGGCCTGAAAGCGCTTGAAATGTCCACTTCCAGATACTACAGAATGAGTGTTTCAAACCTGCTCTATCAAAGTGAATGTTCAATTCTGTGACTTCAATGCAAACATCACAAAGAAGTTCCTGAGAATGCTTCTCTCTAGATTTTATACGTAATCCCGCTTCCAACGAAATCCTCAGAGCCATCCGAATATCCACTTTCTGATTCCACAAAAAGAGTGTTTTAAAACGGCTCTGTAAAAACAAAAGTTCAACTCTGTTAGTTGAATACACACATCACAAACAAGTTTCTGAGAATGCTTCTGTCTAGTTTTTATGGGAAGATATTTCCTTTTTCACCATAGGCCTCAAAGCGCTCGAAATGTCCGCTTCCAGATAGTGCAGAAAGAGTGTTTCAAACGTGCTCTATAAAAGGGAATATTCAACTCTGTGACTTGAATGGAAACATCACAAAGCAGTTTCTGAGAATGCTTCCCTCTAGATTTTATATGGAGATATTCCCTTTTCCAACGAAATCTTCAAATCTATCTAAATATCAACTTGCAGATTCTACTCAAGGAATGTTTCCAAAATGCTGTATCCAGGCAATGGTTCAACTCTGTTAATTGAGGACATACAGCACAAAGAAGTTTCTGAGAATGCTTCTGTCTAGATTTTATATGAAGATATCCCGTTTCCAACGAAATCCTCAAAGCTATCCAAATATCCACTTGCAGATTCTACAAAAAGATTGTTTCAAAACTGCTGTGTCAAAAGGAAGGTTCAACTCTGTTACTTGAGTACACACATCAAAAAGCAGTTTCTGAGAATGCTTGTTTCTGGTTTTTATGAGAAGATATTTCCTTTTTCACCATAGGCCTCAAAGCGCTGCAAATGTCCACTTCCAAATATTACAAAAAGAGTGTTTCAAACCTGCTCTATGAAAGGAAGTTTTCAACTCTATGAGTGGAATGCAAACATCACAGAGAAGTTTCTGAGAATGCATCTGTCTTGAGTTTATATGAAGAAATTCCCATTTCCAACGAAATCTTAAAATCTATCCAAATATCCACCTGCAGATTCTACAAAAGGAGTTTTTCCAAAATGCTGTATCAAAACAAAGGTTCAACTGTGTTCGTTTAGGACACACATCACAAGTAAGTTAATGAGAATCCTTCTGTCTAGTTTTTATTTCAAGATATTTCCTTTCTCCCCATAGGCCTGAAAGCGCTTGAAATGTCCACTTCCAGATACTACAGAGTGTTTCAAACCTGCACTATGAAAAGGAATGTTCAATTCTGTGACTTGAATGCAAACATCAGAAAGAAGTTCCTGAGAATGCTTCTCTCTAGATTTTATACGTCATCCCGTTTCCAACGAAATCCACAAAGCTATCCAATTATCCACTTTCAGATTCCACAGAAAGAGTGTTTTAAAATTGCTCTGTAACAGAAATGTTCAACTCTGGTAGTTGAATACACACATCACAAACAAGTTTCTGAGACGGCTTCCGTCTAGTTTTTATGGGAAGATATTTCCTTTTAACCATAGGCCTCAAAGCGCTCGAAATCTCCACTTCCAGGGAGTGCAGAAAGAGTGTTTCAAACCTGCTCTGTAAAAGAATATTTAACTCTGTGACTTGAATGCAAACATCACAAAGCAGTTTCTGACAATGCTTCCGTCTAGATTTTCTATGAAGATATTCCCGTTTCCAACGAAATCTTCAAAGCTATCTAAATATCAACTTGCAGATTCTACTAAAGGAATGTCTCCAAAATGCTGTATCCAAACAAAGGTTCAGCTCTGTGAATTGAGGACATACAGCACAAAGAAGTTTCTGAGAATGCTCCTGTCTGGATTTTATAGGAAGATAACCCGTTTCCAACGAAATCCTCAAAGCTATCCAAATATCCACTTGCAGATTCTACCAAAAGAGTGTTTCAAAACTACTCTGTCAAAAGGAAGGTTCAACACTGTTACTTGAGTACACACAACACAAAGAAGTTTCTGAGAATGCTTCTTTCTGGTTTTTATGAGAAGATATTTCCTTTTTCACCATAGGCCTCAAAGCGCTCGAAATGTCCACTTCCAGGTAGTGCAGAAAGAGTGTTTCAAACCTGCTCTATGAAAGGAAGTGTTCAACTCTACTGAGTTGAATGCAAACATCACAGAGATGTTTCCGAGAATGCTTCTGTCTTGATTTTATATGAAGATATTCCGGTTTCCAACGAAATCTTCAAAGCTATCCAAATATCCACCTGCAGATTCTACAAAAGGAGTGTTTCCAAAATGCTGTATCAAAACAAAGGTTCAACTCTGTTAGTTGAGGACACACATCACAAATAAGTTTCTGAGAATGCTTCTGTCTAGTTTTTATTTGAAGGTATTTCCTTTCTCTCCATAGGCCTGAAAGCGCTTGAAATGCCCACTTCCAGATACTAGAGAAAGAGTGTTTCAAACCTGCTCTATGAAAGGGAATGTTCAATTCTGTGACTTGAATGCAAACATCACAAAGAAGTTCCTGAGAATGCTTCTGTCTAGATTTAATATGAAGATAACCCGTTTCCAACGAAATCCTCAAAGCTATCCAAATATCCACTTGCAGATTCTACAAAAAGAGTGTTTCAAAACTGCTCTGTCAAAAGGATGGTTCAACACTGTTACATGAGTACACACAACACAAAGAAGTTTCTGAGAACGCTTCTTTCTGGTTTCTATGAGAAGATATTTCCTTTTTCACCATAGGACTCAAAGCGCTCGAAATGTCCTCTTCCAGGTAGTGCAGAAAGAGTGTTTCAAACCTGCTCTATGAAAGGAAGTGTACAACTCCATGAGCTGAATGCAAACATCACTGAGAAGTTTCTGAGAATGCTTCTGTTTGATTTTATATGAAGAAATTCCCGTTTCCAACGAAATCTTCAAAGCTATCCACATATCCACCTGCAGATTCTACAAAAGGAGTGTTTCCAAAATGCTGTATCAAAACCAAGGTTCCACTCTGTTAGTTGAGGACACACATCACAAATAAGTTTCTGAGAATGCTTCTGTCTAGATTTTATATGAAGATATCCCCTTTCCAACGAATCCCTCTAAGCTATCAAAATATCCACCTGCAGATTCTACAAAAAGAGTGTTTCCAAAATGCTGTATCAAAACAAAGTTTCAACTCTGTTAGTTGAGGACACACATCACAAATAAGTTTCTGAGGATGCTTCTGTCTAGTTTTTATTCGAAGATATTTCCTTTCTCACCATAGGCCTGAAAGCGCTTGAAATGTCCACTTCCAGATCCTACAGAATGAGTGTTTCAAACCTGCTCTATCAAAGTGAATGTTCAATTCTGTGACTTCAATGCAAACATCACAAAGAAGTTCCTGAGAATGCTTCTCTCTAGATTTTATACGTAATCCCGCTTCCAACGAAATCCTCAGAGCCATCCCAATATCCACTTTCTGATTCCACAAAAAGAGTGTTTTAAAACGGCTCTGTAAAAACAAAAGTTCAACTCTGTTAGTTGAATACACACATCACAAACAAGTTTCTGAGAATGCTTCTGTCTAGTTTTTATGGGAAGATATTTCCTTTTTCACCATAGGCCTCAAAGCGCTCGAAATGTCCGCTTCCAGATAGTGCAGAAAGAGTGTTTCAAACGTGCTCTATAAAAGGGAATATTCAACTCTGTGACTTGAATGGAAACATCACAAAGCAGTTTCTGAGAATGCTTCCCTCTAGATTTTATATGGAGATATTCCCTTTTCCAACGAAATCTTCAAATCTATCTAAATATCAACTTGCAGATTCTACTCAAGGAATGTTTCCAAAATGCTGTATCCAAGCAATGGTTCAACTCTGTTAATTGAGGACATACAGCACAAAGAAGTTTCTGAGAATGCTTCTGTCTAGATTTTATATGAAGATATCCCGTTTCCAACGAAATCCTCAAAGCTATCCAAATATCCACTTGCAGATTCTACAAAAAGATTGTTTCAAAACTGCTGTGTCAAAAGGAAGGTTCAACTCTGTTACTTGAGTACACACATCAAAAAGAAGTTTCTGAGAATGCTTGTTTCTGGTTTTTATGAGAAGATATTTCCTTTTTCACCATAGGCCTCAAAGTGCTGCAAATGTCCACTTCCAAATATTACAAAAAGAGTGTTTCAAACCTGCTCTATGAAAGGAAGTTTTCAACTCTATGAGTGGAATGCAAACATCACAGAGAAGTTTCTGAGAATGCATCTGTCTTGAGCTTCTATGAAGAAATTCCCGTTTCCAACGAAATCTTAAAATCTATCCAAATATCCACCTGCAGATCCTACAAAAGGAGTGTTTCCAAAATGCTGTATCAAAACAAAGGTTCAACTGTGTTCGTTTAGGACACACATCACAAATAAGTTTCTGAGAATCCTTCTGTCTAGTTTTTATTTGAAGATATTTCCTTTCTCCCCATAGGCCTGAAAGCGCTTGAAATGTCCACTTCCAGATACTACAGAAAGAGTGTTTCAAACCTGCACTATGAAAAGGAATGTTCAATTCTGTGACTTGAATGCAAACATCAGAAAGAAGTTCCTGAGAATGCTTCTCTCTAGATTTTATACGTCATCCCGTTTCCAACGAAATCCACAAAGCTATCCAATTATCCACTTTCAGGTTCCACAAAAAGAGTGTTTTAAAATTGCTCTGTAAAAAGAAATGTTCAACGCTCTTAGTTGAATACACACATCTCAAACAAGTTTCTGAGAAGGCTTCTGTCTAGTTTTTATGGGAAGATATTTCCTTTTAACCATAGGCCTCAAAGAGCTCGAAATATCCACTTCCAGGTAGTGCCGAAAGAGTGTTTCAAACCTACTCTATAAAAGGGAATATTCAACTCTGTGACTTGAATGCAAACATCACAAAGCAGTTTCTGAGAATGCTTCCGTCTAGATTTTTTATGAAGATATTCCCGTTTCCAACGAAATCTTCAAAGCTATCTCAATATCAACTTGCAGATTCTACTAAAGGAATGTTTCCAAAATGCTGTATCCAAACAAAGGTTCAACTCCTGTGAATTGAGGACATACAGCACAAAGAAGTTTCTGAGAATGCTCCTGTCTAGATTTAATATGAAGATATCCCGTTTCCAACGAAATCCTCAATGCTATCCAAATATCCACTTGCAGATTCTACAAAAAGAGTGTTTCAAAACTGCTCTGTCAAAAGGAAGGTTCAACACTGTTACATGAGTATACACAACACAAAGAAGTTTCTGAGAATGCTTCTTTCTGGTTTTTATGAGAAGATATTTCCTTTTTCACCATAGGCCTCAAAGCGCTCGAAATGTCCGCTTCCAGGTAGTGCAGAAAGAGTGTTTCAAACCTGCTCTATGAAAGGAAGTGTTCAACTCTACTGAGTTGAATGCAAACATCACAGAGATGTTTCCGAGAATGCTTCTGTCTTGATTTTATATGAAGATATTCCGGTTTCCAACGAAATCTTCAAAGCTATCCAAATATCCACCTGCAGATTCTACAAAAGGAGTGTTTCCAAAATGCTGTATCAAAACAAAGGTTCAACTCTGTTAGTTGAGGACACACATCACAAATAAGTTTCTGAGAATGCTTCTGTCTAGTTTTTATTTGAAGGTATTTCCTTTCTCTCCATAGGCCTGAAAGCGCTTGAAATGCCCACTTCCAGATACTAGAGAAAGAGTGTTTCAAACCTGCTCTATGAAAGGGAATGTTCAATTCTGTGACTTGAATGCAAACATCACAAAGAAGTTCCTGAGAATGCTTCTCTCTAGATTTTATATGTCATCCCGCTTCCAACGAAATCCTCAAAGCTATCCAAACTTCCACTTTCAGATTCCACAAAAAGAGTGTTTTAAAACTGCTCTGTAAAAAGAAATGTTCAACTCTCCTAGGTTGAATACACACATCTCAAACAAGTTTCTGAGAAGGCTTCCGTCTAGTTTTTATGGGAAGATATTTCCTTTTTCACCATAGGCCTCAAAACGCTCGAAATGTCCACTTCCAGGAAGTCCGGAAAGAGTGTTTCAAACCTGCTCTATAAAAGCGAATATTCAACTCTGTGACTTGAATGCAAACATCACAAAGCAGTTTCTGAGAATGCTTCCGATCTAGATTTTATATGAAGATATTCCCGTTTCCAACGAAATCTTCAAAGCTATCTAAATATCAACTTGCAGATTCTACTAAAGGAATGTTTCAAAAATGTTGTATCCAAGCAATGGTTCAACTCTGTTAATTGAGGACATACAGCACAAAGAAGTTTCTGAGAATGCTCCTGTCTGGATTTTATATGAAGATATCCCGTTTCCAACGAACTCCTCAAAGCTATCCAAATATCTACTTGCAGATTCTACAAAAAGATTGTTTCAAAACTGCTGTGTCAATAGGAAGGTTCAACTCTGTTACTTGAGTACACACATCAAAAAGAAGTTTCTGAGAATGCTCGTTTCTGGTTTTTATGAGAAGATATTTCCTATTTCACCATAGGCCTCAAAGCGCTGCAAATGTCCACTTTCAAATATTACAGAAAGAGTGTTTCAAACCTGCTCTATGAAAGGAAGTTTTCAACTCTATGAGTGGAATGTAAACATCACAGAGAAGTTTCTGAGAATGCATCTGTCTTGAGTTTATATGAAGAAATTCCCGTTTCCAAAGAAATCTTAAAATCTATCCAAATATCCACCTGCAGATTCTACAAAAGGAGTGTTTCCAAAATGCTGTATCAAAACAAAGGTTCAACTGTGTTCGTTTAGGACACACATCACAAATAAGTTTCTGAGAAGCCTTCTGTCTAGTTTTTATTTGAAGATATTTCCTTTCTCCCCGTAGGCCTGAAAGCGCTTGAAATGTCCACTTCCAGATACTACAGAAAGAGTGTGTTTCAAACCTGCACTCTGAAAAGGAATGTTCAATTCTGTGACTTGAATGCAAACATCAGAAAGAAGTTCCTGAGAATGCTTCTCTCTAGATTTTATACGTCATCCCGTTTCCAACGAAATCCACAAAGCTATCCAATTATCCACTTTCAGATTCCACAAAAAGAGTGTTTTAAAACTGCTCTGTAAAAAGAAATGTTCAACGCTCTTAGTTGAATACACACATCTCAAACAAGTTTCTGAGAAGGCTTCCGTCTAGTTTTTATGGGAAGATATTTCCTTTTTCACCATAGGCCTCAAAGCGCTCGAAATCTCCACTTCCAGGGAGTGCAGAAAGAGTGTTTCAAACCTGCTCTGTAAAAGAATATTTAACTCTGTGACTTGAATGCAAACATCACAAAGCAGTTTCTGACAATGCTTCCCTCTAGATTTTATATCGGAGATATTCCGTTTTCGAACGAAATCTTCAAATCTATCTAAATATCAACTTGCAGATTCTACTCAAGGAATGTTTCCAAAATGCTGTATGCAAGCAATGGTTCAACTCTGTTAATTGAGGTCATACAGCACAAAGAAGTTTCTGAGAATGCTTCTGTCTAGATTTTATATGAAGATATCCCGTTTCCAACGAAATCCTCAAAGCTATCCAAATATCCACTTGCAGATTCTACAAAAAGATTGTTTCAAAACTGCTGTGTCAAAAGGAAGGTTCAACTCTGTTACTTGAGTACACACATCAAAAAGAAGTTTCTGAGAATGCTTGTTTCTGGTTTTTATGAGAAGATATTTCCTTTTTCACCATAGGCCTCAAAGCGCTGCAAATGTCCACTTCCAAATATTACAAAAAGAGTGTTTCAAACCTGCTCTATGAAAGGAAGTTTTCAACTCTATGAGTGGAATGCACACATCACAGAGAAGTTTCTGAGAATGCATCTGTCTTGAGTTTCTATGCAGAAATTCCCGTTTCCAACGAAATCTTAAAATCTATCCAAATATCCACCTGCAGATCCTACAAAAGGAGTGTTTCCAAAATGCTGTATCAAAACAAAGGTTCAACTGTGTTCGTTTAGGACACACATCACAAATAAGTTTCTGAGAATCCTTCTCTCTAGTTTTTATTTGAAGATATTTCCTTTCTCCCCATAGGCCTGAAAGCGCTTGAAATGTCCACTTCCAGATACTACAGAAAGAGTGTTTCAAACATGCACTATGAAAAGGAATGTTCAATTCTGTGACTTGAATGCAAACATCAGAAAGAAGTTCCTGAGAATGCTTCTCTCTAGATTTTATACGTCATCCCGTTTCCAACGAAATCCACAAAGCTATCCAATTATCCACTTTCAGATTCCACAAAAAGAGTGTTTTAAAATTGCTCTGTAACAGAAATGTTCAACTCTGTTAGTTGAATACACACATCACAAACAAGTTTCTGAGACAGCTTCTGTCTAGTTTTTATGGGAAGATATTTCCTTTTAACCATAGGCCTCAAAGAGCTCGAAATATCCACTTCCAGGTAGTGCCGAAAGAGTGTTTCAAACCTACTCTATAAAAGGGAATATTCAACTCTGTGACTTGAATGCAAACATCACAAAGCAGTTTCTGAGAATGCTTCCGTCTAGATTTTCTATGAAGATATTCCCGTTTCCAACGAAATCTTCAAAGCTATCTAAATATCAACTTGCAGATTCTACTAAAGGAATGTCTCCAAAATGCTGTATCCAAACAAAGGTTCAGCTCTGTGAATTGAGGACATACAGCACAAAGAAGTTTCTGAGAATGCTCCTGTCTGGATTTTATAGGAAGATAACCCGTTTCCAACGAAATCCTCAAAGCTATCCAAATATCCACTTGCAGATTCTACCAAAAGAGTGTTTCAAAACTGCTCTGTCAAAAGGAAGGTTCAACACTGTTACTTGAGTACACACAACACAAAGAAGTTTCTGAGAATGCTTCTTTCTGGTTTTTATGAGAAGACATTTCCTTTTTCACCATAGGCCTCAAAGCGCTCGAAATGTCCGCTTCCAGGTAGTGCAGAAAGAGTGTTTCAAACCTGCTCTATGAAAGGAAGTGTTCAACTCTACTGAGTTGAATGCAAACATCACAGAGATGTTTCCGAGAATGCTTCTGTCTTGATTTTATATGAAGATATTCCGGTTTCCAACGAAATCTTCAAAGCTATCCAAATATCCACCTGCAGATTCTACAAAAGGAGTGTTTCCAAAATGCTGTATCAAAACAAAGGTTCAACTCTGTTAGTTGAGGACACACATCACAAATAAGTTTCTGAGAATGCTTCTGTCTAGTTTTTATTTGAAGGTATTTCCTTTCTCTCCATAGGCCTGAAAGCGCTTGAAATGCCCACTTCCAGATACTAGAGAAAGAGTGTTTCAAACCTGCTCTATGAAAGGGAATGTTCAATTCTGTGACTTGAATGCAAACATCACAAAGAAGTTCCTGAGAATGCTTCTGTCTAGATTTAATATGAAGATAACCCGTTTCCAACGAAATCCTCAAAGCTATCCAAATATCCACTTGCAGATTCTACAAAAAGAGTGTTTCAAAACTGCTCTGTCAAAAGGATGGTTCAACACTGTTACATGAGTACACACAACACAAAGAAGTTTACTGAGAACGCTTCTTTCTGGTTTCTATGAGAAGATATTTCCTTTTTCACCATAGGACTCAAAGCGCTCGAAATGTCCTCTTCCAGGTAGTGCAGAAAGAGTGTTTCAAACCTGCTCTATGAAAGGAAGTGTACAACTCCATGAGCTGAATGCAAACATCACTGAGAAGTTTCTGAGAATGCTTCTGTTTGATTTTATATGAAGAAATTCCCGTTTCCAACGAAATCTTCAGAGCTATCCACATATCCACCTGCAGATTCTACAAAAGGAGAGTTTCCAAAATGCTGTATCAAAACCAAGGTTCAACTCTGTTAGTTGAGGACACACATCACAAATAAGTTTCTGAGAATGCTTCTGTCTAGATTTTATATGAAGATATCCCCTTTCCAACGAATCCCTCTAAGCTATCCAAATATCCACCTGCAGATTCTACAAAAAGAGTGTTTCCAAAATGCTGTATCAAAACAAAGTTTCAACTCTGTTAGTTGAGGACACACATCACAAATAAGTTTCTGAGGATGCTTCTGTCTAGTTTTTATTCGAAGATATTTCCTTTCTCACCATAGGCCTGAAAGCGCTTGAAATGTCCACTTCCAGATACTACAGAATGAGTGTTTCAAACCTGCTCTATAAAAGTGAATGTTCAATTCTGTGACTTCAATGCAAACATCAAAAAGAAGTTCCTGAGAATGCTTCTCTCTAGATTTTATATGTAATCCCGCTTCCAACGAAATCCTCAGAGCCATCCGAATATCCACTTTCTGATTCCACAAAAAGAGTGTTTTAAAACGGCTCTGTAAAAACAAAAGTTCAACTCTGTTAGTTGAATACACACATCACAAACAAGTTTCTGAGAATGCTTCCGTCTAGTTTTTATGGGAAGATATTTCCTTTTTCACCATAGGCCTCAAAGCGCTCGAAATCTCCACTTCCAGGGAGTGCAGAAAGAGTGCTTCAAACCTGCTCTATAAAAGAATATTTAACTCTGTGACTTGAATGCAAACATCACAGAGCAGTTTCTGACAATGCTTCCCTCTAGATTTTATATGGAGATATTCCGTTTTCGAACGAAATCTTCAAATCTATCTAAATATCAACTTGCAGATTCTACTCAAGGAATGTTTCCAAAATGCTGTATGCAAGCAATGGTTCAACTCTGTTAATTGAGGTCATACAGCACAAAGAAGTTTCTGAGAATGCTTCTGTCTAGATTTTATATGAAGATATCCCGTTTCCAACGAAATCCTCAAAGCTATCCAAATATCCACTTGCAGATTCTACAAAAAGATTGTTTCAAAACTGCTGTGTCAAAAGGAAGGTTCAACTCTGTTACTTGAGTACACACATCAAAAAGAAGTTTCTGAGAATGCTTGTTTCTGGTTTTTATGAGAAGATATTTCCTTTTTCACCATAGGCCTCAAAGCGCTGCAAATGTCCACTTCCAAATATTACAAAAAGAGTGTTTCAAACCTGCTCTATGAAAGGAAGTTTTCAACTCTATGAGTGGAATGCAAACATCACAGAGAAGTTTCTGAGAATGCATCTGTCTTGAGTTTATATGAAGAAATTCCCGTTTCCAATGAAATCTTAAAATCTATCCAAATATCCACCTGCAGATTCTACAAAAGAGTGCTTCCAAAATGCTATATCAAAACAAAGGTTCAACTGTGTTCGTTGAGAACACACATCACAAATAAGTTTCTGAGAATCCTTCTGTCTAGTTTTTATTTGAAGATATTTCCTTTCTCCCCATAGGCCTGAAAGCGCTTGAAATGTCCACTTCCAGATACTACAGAAAGAGTGTTTCAAACCTGCACTATGAAAAGGAATGTTCAATTCTGTGACTTGAATGCAAACATCAGAAAGAAGTTCCTGAGAATGCTTCTCTCTAGATTTTATACGTCATCCCGTTTCCAACGAAATCCACAAAGCTATCCAATTATCCACTTTCAGATTCCACAGAAAGAGTGTTTTAAAATTGCTCTGTAACAGAAATGTTCAACTCTGGTAGTTGAATACACACATCACAAACAAGTTTCTGAGACGGCTTCTGTCTAGTTTTTATGGGAAGATATTTCCTTTTAACCATAGGCCTCAAAGAGCTCGAAATATCCACTTCCAGGTAGTGCCGAAAGAGTGTTTCAAACCTACTCTATAAAAGGGAATATTCAACTCTGTGACTTGAATGCAAACATCACAAAGCAGTTTCTGAGAATGCTTCCGTCTAGATTTTCTATGAAGATATTCCCGTTTCCATCGAAATCTTCAAAGCTATCTAAATATCAACTTGCAGATTCTACTAAAGGAATGTCTCCAAAATGCTGTATCCAAACAAAGGTTCAGCTCTGTGAATTGAGGACATACAGCACAAAGAAGTTTCCTGAGAATGCTCCTGTCTGGATTTTATATGAAGATAACCCGTTTCCAACGAAATCCTCAAAGCTATCCAAATATCCACTTGAAGATTCTACCAAAAGAGTGTTTCAAAACTGCTCTGTCAAAAGGAAGGTTCAACACTGTTACTTGAGTACACACAACACGAAGAAGTTTCTGAGAATGCTTCTTTCTGGTTTTTATGAGAAGATATTTCCTTTTTCACCATAGGCCTCAAAGCGCTCGAAATGTCCGCTTCCAGGTAGTGCAGAAAGAGTGTTTCAAACCTGCTCTATGAAAGGAAGTGTTCAACTCTACTGAGTTGAATGCAAACATCACAGAGATGTTTCCCGAGAATGCTTCTGTCTTGATTTTATATGAAGATATTCCGGTTTCCAACGAAATCTTCAAAGCTATCCAAATATCCACCTGCAGATTCTACAAAAGGAGTGTTTCCAAAATGCTGTATCAAAACAAAGGTTCAACACTGTTAGTTGAGGACACACATCACAAATAAGTTTCTGAGAATGCTTCTGTCTAGTTTTTATTTGAAGGTATTTCCTTTCTCTCCATAGGCCTGAAAGCGCTTGAAATGCCCACTTCCAGATACTAGAGAAAGAGTGTTTCAAACCTGCTCTATGAAAGGGAATGTTCAATTCTGTGACTTGAATGCAAACATCACAAAGAAGTTCCTGAGAATGCTTCTGTCTAGATTTAATATGAAGATAACCCGTTTCCAACGAAATCCTCAAAGCTATCCAAATATCCACTTGCAGATTCTACAAAAAGAGTGTTTCAAAACTGCTCTGTCAAAAGGATGGTTCAACACTGTTACATGAGTACACACAACACAAAGAAGTTTCTGAGAACGCTACTTTCTGGTTTTTATGAGAAGATATTTCCTTTTTCACCATAGGCCTCAAAGCGCTCAAAATGTCCACTTCCTGGTAGTGCAGAAAGAGTGTTTCAAACCTGCTCTATGAAAGGAAGTGTTCAACTCCATGAGCTGAATGCAAACATCACAGAGAAGTTTCTGAGAATGCTTCTGTTTGATTTTATATGAAGAAATTCCCGTTTCCAACGAAATCTTCAAAGCTATCCACATATCCACCTGCAGATTCTACAAAAGGAGTGTTTCCAAAATGCTGTATCAAAACCAAGGTTCAACTCTGTTAGTTGAGGACACACATCACAAATAAGTTTCTGAGAATGCTTCTGTCTAGATTTTATATGAAGATATCCCCTTTCCAACGAATCCCTCTAAGCTATCCAAATATGCACCTGCAGATTCTACAAAAAGAGTGTTTCCAAAAGGCTGTATCAAAACAAAGTTTCAACTCTGTTAGTTGAGGACACACATCACAAATAAGTTTCTGACGATGCTTCTGTCTAGTTTTAATTTGAAGATATTTCCTTTCTCACCATAGGCCTGAAAGCGCTTGAAATGTCCACTTCCAGATACTACAGCATGAGTGTTTCAAACCTGCTCTATCATAGTGAATGTTCAATTCTGTGACTTCAATGCAAACATCACAAAGTAGTTCCTGAGAATGCTTCTCTCTAGATTTTATACGTAATCCCGCTTCCAACGAAATCCTCAGAGCCATCCGAATATCCACTTTCTGATTCCACAAAAAGAGTGTTTTAAAACGGCTCTGTAAAAACAAAAGTTCAACTCTGTTAGTTGAATACACACATCACAAACAAGTTTCTGAGAATGCTTCTGTCTAGTTTTTATGGGAAGATATTTCCTTTTTCACCATAGGCCTCAAAGCGCTCGAAATGTCCACTTCCAGATAGTGCCGAAAGAGTGTTTCAAACCTGCTCTATAAAAGGGAATATTCAACTCTGTGACTTGAATGGAAACATCACAAAGCAGTTTCTGAGAATGCCTCCCTCTAGATTTTATATGGAGATATTCCGTTTTCGAACGAAATCTTCAAATCTATCTAAATATCAACTTGCAGATTCTACTCAAGGAATGTTTCCAAAATGCTGTATGCAAGCAATGGTTCAACTCTGTTAATTGAGGTCATACAGCACAAAGAAGTTTCTGAGAATGCTTCTGTCTAGATTTTATATGAAGATATCCCGTTTCCAACGAAATCCTCAAAGCTATCCAAATATCCACTTGCAGATTCTACAAAAAGATTGTTTCAAAACTGCTGTGTCAAAAGGAAGGTTCAACTCTGTTACTTGAGTACACACATCAAAAAGAAGTTTCTGAGAATGCTTGTTTCTGGTTTTTATGAGAAGATATTTCCTTTTTCACCACAGGCCTCAAAGCGCTGCAAAGGTCCACTTCCAAATATTACAAAAAGAGTGTTTCAAACGTGCTCTATGAAAGGAAGTTTTCAACTCTATGAGTGGAATGCAAACATCACAGAGAAGTTTCTGAGAATGCATCTGTCTTGAGCTTCTATGAAGAAATTCCCGTTTCCAACGAAATTTTAAAATCTATCCAAATATCCACCTGCAGATCCTACAAAAGGAGTGTTTCCAAAATGCTGTATCAAAACAAAGGTTCAACTGTGTTCGTTTAGGACACACATCACAAATAAGTTTCTGAGAATCCTTCTGTCTAGTTTTTATTTGAAGATATTTCCTTTCTCCCCGTAGGCCTGAAAGCGCTTGAAATGTCCACTTCCAGATACTACAGAAAGAGTGTGTTTCAAACCTGCACTCTGAAAAGGAATGTTCAATTCTGTGACTTGAATGCAAACATCAGAAAGAAGTTCCTGAGAATGCTTCTCTCTAGATTTTATACGTCATCCCGTTTCCAACGAAATCCACAAAGCTATCCAATTATCCACTTTCAGATTCCACAGAAAGAGTGTTTTAAAATTGCTCTGTAACAGAAATGTTCAACTCTGGTAGTTGAATACACACATCACAAACAAGTTTCTGAGACGGCTTCTGTCTAGTTTTTATGGGAAGATATTTCCTTTTAACCATAGGCCTCAAAGAGCTCGAAATATCCACTTCCAGGTAGTGCCGAAAGAGTGTTTCAAACCTACTCTATAAAAGGGAATATTCAACTCTGTGACTTGAATGCAAACATCACAAAGCAGTTTCTGAGAATGCTTCCGTCTAGATTTTCTATGAAGATATTCCCGTTTCCAACGAAATCTTCAAAGCTATCTAAATATCAACTTGCAGATTCTACTAAAGGAATGTCTCCAAAATGCTGTATCCAAACAAAGGTTCAGCTCTGTGAATTGAGGACATACAGCACAAAGAAGTTTCTGAGAATGCTCCTGTCTGGATTTTATATGAAGATAACCCGTTTCCAACGAAATCCTCAAAGCTATCCAAATATCCACTTGCAGATTCTACCAAAAGAGTGTTTCAAAACTGCTCTGTCAAAAGGAAGGTTCAACACTGTTACTTGAGTACACACAACACAAAGAAGTTTCTGAGAATGCTTCTTTCTGGTTTTTATGAGAAGATATTTCCTTTTTCACCATAGGCCTCAAAGCGCTCGAAATGTCCGCTTCCAGGTAGTGCAGAAAGAGTGTTTCAAACCTGCTCTATGAAAGGAAGTGTTCAACTCTACTGAGTTGAATGCAAACATCACAGAGATGTTTCCGAGAATGCTTCTGTCTTGATTTTATAGGAAGATATTCCGGTTTCCAACGAAATCTTCAAAGCTATCCACATATCCACCTGCAGATTCTACAAAAGGAGTGTTTCCAAAATGCTGTATCAAAACAAAGGTTCAACTCTGTTAGTTGAGGACACACATCACAAATAAGTTTCTGAGAATGCTTCTGTCTAGTTTTTATTTGAAGGTATTTCCTTTCTCTCCATAGGCCTGAAAGCGCTTGAAATGCCCACTTCCAGATACTAGAGAAAGAGTGTTTCAAACCTGCTCTATGAAAGGGAATGTTCAATTCTGTGACTTGAATGCAAACATCACAAAGAAGTTCCTGAGAATGCTTCTCTCTAGATATTATATGTCATCCCGTTTCCAACGAAATCCTCAAAGCTATCCAAATATCCACTTGCAGATTCTACAAAAAGAGTGTTTCTAAACTGCTCTGTCAAAAGGATGGTTCAACACTGTTACATGAGTACACACAACACAAAGAAGTTTCTGAGAATGCTTCTTTCTGGTTTCTATGAGAAGATATTTCCTTTTTCACCATAGGACTCAAAGCGCTCGAAATGTCCTCTTCCAGGTAGTGCAGAAAGAGTGTTTCAAACCTGCTCTATGAAAGGAAGTGTTCAACTCCATGAACTGAATGCAAACATCACTGAGAAGTTTCTGAGAATGCTTCTGTTTGATTTTATATGAAGAAATTCCCGTTTCCAACGAAATCTTCAGAGCTATCCACATATCCACCTGCAGATTCTACAAAAGGAGTGTTTCCAAAATGCTGTATCAAAACCAAAGTTCAACTCTGTTAGTTGAGGACACACATCACAAATAAGATTCTGAGAATGCTTCTGTCTAGATTTTATATGAAGATATCCCCTTTCCAACGAATCCCTCTAAGCTATCCAAATATCCACCTGCAGATTCTACAAAAAGAGTGTTTCCAAAATGCTGTATCAAAACAAAGTTTCAACTCTGTTAGTTGAGGACACACATCACAAATAAGTTTCTGAGGATGCTTCTGTCTAGTTTTTATTCGAAGATATTTCCTTTCTCACCATAGGCCTGAAAGCGCTTGAAATGTCCACTTCCAGATACTACAGAATGAGTGTTTCAAACCTGCTCTATCAAAGTGAATGTTCAATTCTGTGACTTCAATGCAAACATCACAAAGAAGTTCCTGAGAATGCTTCTCTCTAGATTTTATATGTAATCCCGCTTCCAACGAAATCCTCAGAGCCATCCGAATATCCACTTTCTGATTCCACAAAAAGAGTGTTTTAAAACGGCTCTGTAAAAACAAAAGTTCAACTCTGTTAGTTGAATACACACATCACAAACAAGTTTCTGAGAATGCTTCCGTCTAGTTTTTATGGGAAGATATTTCCTTTTTCACCATAGGCCTCAAAGCGCTCGAAATCTCCACTTCCAGGTAGTGTAGAAAGAGTGTTTCAAACCTGCTCTATAAAAGACTATTTAACTCAGTGACTTGAATGCAAACATCACAAAGCAGTTTCTGACAATGCTTCCGTCTAGATTTTTTATGAAGATATTCCCGTTTCCAACGAAATCTTCAAAGCTATCTAAATATCCACTTGCAGATCCTACTAAAGGAATGTTTCCAAAATGCTGTATCCAAACAAAGGTTCAACTCTGTGAATTGAGGACATACAGCACAAAGAAGTTTCTCAGAATGCTTCTGTCTAGATTTAATATGAAGATAACCCGTTTCCAACGAAATCCTCAAAGCTATCCAAATATCCACTTGCAGATTCTACAAAAAGACTGTTTCAAAACTGCTCTGTCAAAAGGATGGTTCAACACTGTTACATGAGTACACACAACACAAAGAAGTTTCTGAGAATGCTTCCTTCTGGTTTTTATGAGAAGATATTTCCTTTTTCACCATAGGCCTCAAAGCGCTCGAAATGTCCACTTCCAGGTAGTGCAGAAAGAGTGTTTCAAACCTGCTCTATGAAAGGAAGTGTTCAACTCCATGAGCTGAATGCAAACATCACAGAGAAGTTTCTGAGAATGCTTCTGTTTGATTTTATAGGAAGAAATTCCCGATTCCAACGAAATCTTCAAAGCTATCCACATATCCATCTGCAGATTCTACAAAAGGAGTGTTTCCAAAATGCTGTATCAAAACCAAGGTTCAACTCTGTTAGTTGAGGGCACACATCACAAATAAGTTTCTGAGAATGCTTCTGTCTAGATTTTATATGAAGATATCCCCTTTCCAAGGAATCCCTCTAAGCTACCCAAATAGCCACCTGCAGATTCTACAAAAGGAGTGTTTCCAAAAGGCTGTATCAAAACAAAGTTTCAACTCTGTTAGTTGAGGACACACATCACAAATAAGTTTCTAAGGATGCTTCTCTCTAGTTTTTATTTGAAGATATCTCCTTTCTCACCATAGGCCTGAAAGCGCTCGAAATGTCCACTTCCAGATACTACAGAATGAGTGTTTCAACCCTGCTCTATAAAAGTGAATGTTCAATTCTGTGACTTCAATGCAAACATCACAAAGAAGTTCCTGAGAATGCTTCTCTCTAGATTTTATATGTAATCCCGCATCCAACGAAATCCTCAATGCCATCCGAATATCCACTTTCTGATTCCACAAAAAGAGTGTTTTAAAACGGCTCTGTAAAAACAAATTTCAACTCTGTTAGTTGAATACACCCATCACAAACAAGTTTCTGAGAATGCTTCTGTCTAGTTTTTATGGGAAGATATTTCCTTTTTCACCATAGGCCTCACAGCGCTCGAAATGTCCACTTCCAGATAGTGCAGAAAGAGTGTTTCAAACGTGCTCTATAAAAGAGAATATTCAACTCTGTGACTTGAATGGAAACATCACAAAGCAGTTTCTGAGAATGCCTCCGTCTAGATTTTATATGAAGATATTCCCGTTTCCAACGAAATCTTCAAATCTATCTAAATATCAACTTGCAGATCCTACTAAAGGAATGTTTCCACAATGCTGTATCCAAGCAATGGTTCAACTCTGTTAATTGAGGACATACAGCACAAAGAAGTTTCTGAGAATGCTTCTGTCTAGATTTTATATGAAGATATCCCGTTTCCAACGAAATCCTCAAAGCTATCCAAATATCCACTTGCAGATTCTACAAAAAGATTGTTTCAAAACTGCTGTGTCAAAAGGAAGGTTCAACTCTGTTACTTGAGTACACACATCAAAAAGAAGTTTCTGAGAATGCTTGTTTCTGGTTTTTATGAGAAGATATTTCCTTTTTCACCATAGGCCTCAAAGCGCTGCAAATGTCCACTTCCAAATATTACAAAAAGAGTGTTTCAAACCTGCTCTATGAAAGGAAGTTTTCAACTCTATGAGTGGAATGCAAACATCACAGAGAAGTTTCGGAGAATGCATCTGTCTTGAGTTTATATGAAGAAATTCCCGTTTCCAATGAAATCTTAAAATCTATCCAAATATCCACCTGCAGATTCTACAAAAGGAGTGTTTCCAAAATGCTGTATCAAAACAAAGGTTCAACTGTGTTCGTTTAGGACACACATCACAAATAAGTTTCTGAGAATCCTCCTGTCTAGTTTTTATTTCAAGATATTTCCTTTCTCCCCATAGGCTTGAAAGCGCTTGAAATGTCCACTTCCAGATACTACAGAGTGTTTCAAACCTGCACTATGAAAAGGAATGTTCAATTCTGTGACTTGAATGCAAACATCAGAAAGAAGTTCCTGAGAATGCTTCTCTCTAGATTTTAAACGTAATCCCGTTTCCAACGAAATCCACAAAGCTATCCAATTATCCACTTTCAGATTCCACCAAAAGACTGTTTCAAAACTGCTCTGTAAAAAGAAATGTTCAACGCTCTTAGTTGAATACACACATCTCAAACAAGTTTCTGAGAAGGCTTCTGTCTAGTTTTTATGGGAAGATATTTCCTTTTAACCATAGGCCTCAAAGAGCTCGAAATATCCACTTCCAGGTAGTGCCGAAAGAGTGTTTCAAACCTACTCTATAAAAGGGAATATTCAACTCTGTGACTTGAATGCAAACATCACAAAGCAGTTTCTGAGAATGCTTCCGTCTAGATTTTCTATGAAGATATTCCCGTTTCCAACGAAATCTTCAAAGCTATCTAAATATCAACTTGCAGATTCTACTAAAGGAATGTCTCCAAAATGCTGTATCCAAACAAAGGTTCAGCTCTGTGAATTGAGGACATACAGCACAAAGAAGTTTCTGAGAATGCTCCTGTCTGGATTTTATAGGAAGATAACCCGTTTCCAACGAAATCCTCAAAGCTATCCAAATATCCACTTGCAGATTCTACCAAAAGAGTGTTTCAAAACTACTCTGTCAAAAGGAAGGTTCAACACTGTTACTTGAGTACACACAACACAAAGAAGTTTCTGAGAATGCTTCTTTCTGGTTTTTATGAGAAGATATTTCCTTTTTCACCATAGGCCTCAAAGCGCTCGAAATGTCCGCTTCCAGGTAGTGCAGAAAGAGTGTTTCAAACCTGCTCTATGAAAGGAAGTGTTCAACTCTACTGAGTTGAATGCAAACATCACAGAGATGTTTCCGAGAATGCTTCTGTCTTGATTTTATATGAAGATATTCCGGTTTCCAACGAAATCTTCAAAGCTATCCAAATATCCACCTGCAGATTCTACAAAAGGAGTGTTTCCAAAATGCTGTATCAAAACAAAGGTTCAACTCTGTTAGTTGAGGACACACATCACAAATAAGTTTCTGAGAATGCTTCTGTCTAGTTTTTATTTGAAGGTATTTCCTTTCTCTCCATAGGCCTGAAAGCGCTTGAAATGCCCACTTCCAGATACTAGAGAAAGAGTGTTTCAAACCTGCTCTATGAAAGGGAATGTTCAATTCTGTGACTTGAATGCAAACATCACAAAGAAGTTCCTGAGAATGCTTCTCTCTAGATATTATATGTCATCCCGTTTCCAACGAAATCCTCAAAGCTATCCAAATATCCACTTGCAGATTCTACAAAAAGAGTGTTTCAAAACTGCTCTGTCAAAAGGATGGTTCAACACTGTTACATGAGTACACACAACACAAAGAAGTTTCTGAGAATGCTTCTTTCTGGTTTCTATGAGAAGATATTTCCTTTTTCACCATAGGACTCAAAGCGCTCGAAATGTCCTCTTCCAGGTAGTGCAGAAAGAGTGTTTCAAACCTGCTCTATGAAAGGAAGTGTACAACTCCATGAGCTGAATGCAAACATCACTGAGAAGTTTCTGAGAATGCTTCTGTTTGATTTTATATGAAGAAATTCCCGTTTCCAACGAAATCTTCAAAGCTATCCACATATCCACCTGCAGATTCTTCAAAAGCAGTGTTTCCAAAATGCTGTATCAAAACCAAGGTTCAACTCTGTTAGTTGAGGACACACATCACAAATAAGTTTCTGAGAATGCTTCTGTCTAGATTTTATATGAAGATATCCCCTTTCCAACGAATCCCTCTAAGCTATCCAAGTATCCACCTGCAGATTCTACAAAAAGAGTGTTTCCAAAATGCTGTATCAAAACAAAGTTTCAACTCTGTTAGTTGAGGACACACATCACAAATAAGTTTCTGAGGATGCTTCTGTCTAGTTTTAATTTGAAGATATTTCCTTTCTCCCCATAGGCCTGAAAGCGCTTGAAATGTCCACTTCCAGATACTACAGAATGAGTGTTTCAAACCTGCTCTATCAAAGTGAATGTTCAATTCTGTGACTTCAATGCAAACATCACAAAGTAGATCCTGAGAATGCTTCTCTCTAGATTTTATATGTAATCACGCTTCCAACGAAATCCTCAAAGCCATCCGAATATCCACTTTCTGATTCCACAAAAAGATTGTTTTAAAACTGCTCTGTAAAAACAAAAGTTCAAGTCTGTTAGTTGAATACACACATCACAAACAAGTTTCTGAGAATGCTTCTGTCTAGTTTTTATGGGAAGATATTTCCTTTTTCACCATAGGCCTCAAAGCGCTCGAAATGTCCACTTCCAGATAGTGCAGAAAGAGTGTTTCAAACGTGCTCTATAAAAGAGAATATTCAACTCTGTGACTTGAATGGAAACATCACAAAGCAGTTTCTGAGAATGCCTCCCTCTAGATTTTATATGGAGATATTCCGTTTTCGAACGAAATCTTCAAATCTATCTAAATATCAACTTGCAGATTCTACTCAAGGAATGTTTCCAAAATGCTGTATGCAAGCAATGGTTCAACTCTGTTAATTGAGGTCATACAGCACAAAGAAGTTTCTGAGAATGCTTCTGTCTAGATTTTATATGAAGATATCCCGTTTCCAATGAAATCCTCAAAGCTATCCAAATATCCACTTGCAGATTCTACAAAAAGATTGTTTCAAAACTGCTGTGTCAAAAGGAAGGTTCAACTCTGTTACTTGAGTACACACATCAAAAAGAAGTTTCCTGAGAATGCTTGTTTCTGGTTTTTATGAGAAGATATTTCCTTTTTCACCATAGGCCTCAAAGCGCTGCAAATGTCCACTTCCAAATATTACAAAAAGAGTGTTTCAAACCTGCTCTATGAAAGGAAGTTTTCAACTCTATGAGTGGAATTGAAACATCACAGAGAAGTTTCGGAGAATGCATCTGTCTTGAGTTTATATAAAGAAATTCCCGTTTCCAGCGAAATCTTAAAATCTATCCAAATATCCACCTGCAGATTCTACAAAAGGAGTGTTTCCAAAATGCTGTATCAAAACAAAGGTTCAACTGTGTTCGTTTAGGACACACATCACCAATAAGTTTCTGAGAATCCTTCTGTCTAGTTTTTATTTGAAGATATTTCCTTTCTCCCAATAGGCCTGAAAGCGCTTGAAAAGT
This sequence comes from Homo sapiens, assembly GCF_000001405.40. Classification (NCBI taxonomy): domain Eukaryota; kingdom Metazoa; phylum Chordata; class Mammalia; order Primates; family Hominidae; genus Homo; species Homo sapiens. Next base: position 51,623,614 of record NC_000004.12, on the reverse strand, counting down.
CCACTTCCAGATACTACAGAAAGAGTGTTTCAAACCTGCACTATGAAAAGGAATGTTCAATTCTGTGACTTGAATGCAAACATCAGAAAGAAGTTCCTGAGAATGCTTCTCTCTAGATTTTATACGTCATCCCGTTTCCAACGAAATCCACAAAGCTATCCAATTATCCACTTTCAGATTCCACAAAAAGAGTGTTTTAAAATTGCTCTGTAACAGAAATGTTCAACTCTGGTAGTTGAATACACACATCACAAACAAGTTTCTGAGACGGCTTCTGTCTAGTTTTTATGGGAAGATATTTCCTTTTAACCATAGGCCTCAAAGAGCTCGAAATATCCACTTCCAGGTAGTGCCGAAAGAGTGTTTCAAACCTACTCTATAAAAGGGAATATTCAACTCTGTGACTTGAATGCAAACATCACAAAGCAGTTTCTGAGAATGCTTCCGTCTAGATTTTCTATGAAGATATTCCCGTTTCCAACGAAATCTTCAAAGCTATCTAAATATCAACTTGCAGATTCTACTAAAGGAATGTCTCCAAAATGCTGTATCCAAACAAAGGTTCAGCTCTGTGAATTGAGGACATACAGCACAAAGAAGTTTCTGAGAATGCTCCTGTCTGGATTTTATAGGAAGATAACCCGTTTCCAACGAAATCCTCAAAGCTATCCAAATATCCACTTGCAGATTCTACCAAAAGAGTGTTTCAAAACTGCTCTGTCAAAAGGAAGGTTCAACACTGTTACTTGAGTACACACAACACAAAGAAGTTTGCTGAGAATGCTTCTTTCTGGTTTTTATGAGAAGATATTTCCTTTTTCACCATAGGCCTCAAAGCGCTCGAAATGTCCGCTTCCAGGTAGTGCAGAAAGAGTGTTTCAAACCTGCTCTATGAAAGGAAGTGTTCAACTCTACTGAGTTGAATGCAAACATCACAGAGATGTTTCCGAGAATGCTTCTGTCTTGATTTTATATGAAGATATTCCGGTTTCCAACGAAATCTTCAAAGCTATCCAAATATCCACCTGCAGATTCTACAAAAGGAGTGTTTCCAAAATGCTGTATCAAAACAAAGGTTCAACTCTGTTAGTTGAGGACACACATCACAAATAAGTTTCTGAGAATGCTTCTGTCTAGTTTTTATTTGAAGGTATTTCCTTTCTCTCCATAGGCCTGAAAGCGCTTGAAATGCCCACTTCCAGATACTAGAGAAAGAGTGTTTCAAACCTGCTCTATGAAAGGGAATGTTCAATTCTGTGACTTGAATGCAAACATCACAAAGAAGTTCCTGAGAATGCTTCTCTCTAGATATTATATGTCATCCCGTTTCCAACGAAATCCTCAAAGCTATCCAAATATCCACTTGCAGATTCTACAAAAAGAGTGTTTCAAAACTGCTCTGTCAAAAGGATGGTTCAACACTGTTACATGAGTACACACAACACAAAGAAGTTTCTGAGAATGCTTCTTTCTGGTTTCTATGAGAAGATATTTCCTTTTTCACCATAGGACTCAAAGCGCTCGAAATGTCCTCTTCCAGGTAGTGCAGAAAGAGTGTTTCAAACCGGCTCTATGAAAGGAAGTGTTCAACTCCATGAACTGAATGCAAACATCACTGAGAAGTTTGCTGAGAATGCTTCTGTTTGATTTTATATGAAGAAATTCCCGTTTCCAACGAAATCTTCAAAGCTATCCACATATCCACCTGCAGATTCTACAAAAGGAGTGTTTCCAAAATGCTGTATCAAAACCAAGGTTCAACTCTGTTAGTTGAAGACACACATCACAAATAAGTTTCTGAGAATGCTTCTGTCTAGATTCTATATGAAGATATCCCCTTTCCAACGAATCCCTCTAAGCTATCCAAATATCCACCTGCAGATTCTACAAAAAGAGTGTTTCCAAAATGCTGTATCAAAACAAAGTTTCAACTCTGTTAGTTGAGGACACACATCACAAATAAGTTTGAGGATGCTTCTGTCTAGTTTTTATTTGAAGATATTTCCTTTCTCACCATAGGCCTGAAAGCGCTTGAAATGTCCACTTCCAGATACTACAGAATGAGTGTTTCAAACCTGCTCTATCAAAGTGAATGTTCAATTCTGTGAGTTCAATGCAAACATCACAAAGAAGTTCCTGAGAATGCTTCTCTCTAGATTTTATATGTAATCCCGCTTCCAACGAAATCCTCAGAGCCATCCGAATATCCACTTTCTGATTCCACAAAAAGAGTGTTTTAAAACGGCTCTGTAAAAACAAAAGTTCAACTCTGTTAGTTGAATACACACATCACAAACAAGTTTCTGAGAATGCTTCTGTCTAGTTTTTATGGGAAGATATTTCCTTTTTCACCATAGGCCTCAAAGCGCTCGAAATGTCCGCTTCCAGATAGTGCAGAAAGAGTGTTTCAAACGTGCTCTATAAAAGGGAATATTCAACTCTGTGACTTGAATGGAAACATCACAAAGCAGTTTCTGAGAATGCTTCCCTCTAGATTTTATATGGAGATATTCCCTTTTCCAACGAAATCTTCAAATCTATCTAAATATCAACTTGCAGATTCTACTCAAGGAATGTTTCCAAAATGCTGTATCCAAGCAATGGTTCAACTCTGTTAATTGAGGACATACAGCACAAAGAAGTTTCTGAGAATGCTTCTGTCTAGATTTTATATGAAGATATCCCGTTTCCAACGAAATCCTCAAAGCTATCCAAATATCCACTTGCAGATTCTACAAAAAGATTGTTTCAAAACTGCTGTGTCAAAAGGAAGGTTCAACTCTGTTACTTGAGTACACACATCAAAAAGAAGTTTCTGAGAATGCTTGTTTCTGGTTTTTATGAGAAGATATTTCCTTTTTCACCATAGGCCTCAAAGCGCTGCAAATGTCCACTTCCAAATATTACAAAAAGAGTGTTTCAAACCTGCTCTATGAAAGGAAGTTTTCAACTCTATGAGTGGAATGCAAACATCACAGAGAAGTTTCTGAGAATGCATCTGTCTTGAGTTTATATGAAGAAATTCCCGTTTCCAATGAAATCTTAAAATCTTTCCAAATATCCACCTGCAGATTCTACAAAAGGAGTGTTTCCAAAATGCTGTATCAAAACAAAGGTTCAACTGTGTTCGTTTAGGACACACATCACAAATAAGTTTCTGAGAATCCTTCTGTCTAGTTTTTATTTCAAGATATTTCCTTTCTCCCCATAGGCTTGAAAGCGCTTGAAATGTCCACTTCCAGATACTACAGAGTGTTTCAAACCTGCACTATGAAAAGGAATGTTCAATTCTGTGACTTGAATGCAAACATCAGAAAGAAGTTCCTGAGAATGCTTCTCTCTAGATTTTATACGTCATCCCGTTTCCAACGAAATCCACAAAGCTATCCAATTATCCACTTTCAGATTCCACAAAAAGAGTGTTTTAAATTGCTCTGTAACAGAAATGTTCAACTCTGTTAGTTGAATACACACATCACAAACAAGTTTCTGAGACGGCTTCTGTCTAGTTTTTATGGGAAGATATTTCCTTTTAACCATAGGCCTCAAAGAGCTCGAAATATCCACTTCCAGGTAGTGCCGAAAGAGTGTTTCAAACCTACTCTATAAAAGGGAATATTCAACTCTGTGACTTGAATGCAAACATCACAAAGCAGTTTCTGAGAATGCTTCCGTCTAGATTTTCTATGAAGATATTCCCGTTTCCAATGAAATCTTCAAAGCTATCTAAATATCAACTTGCAGATTCTACTAAAGGAATGTTTCCAAAATGCTGTATCCAAACAAAGGTTCAGCTCTGTGAATTGAGGACATACAGCACAAAGAAGTTTCTGTGAATGCTCCTGTCTGGATTTTATATGAAGATAACCCGTTTCCAACGAAATCCTCAAAGCTATCCAAATATCCACTTGCAGATTCTACCAAAAGAGTGTTTCAAAACTGCTCTGTCAAAAGGAAGGTTCAACACTGTTACTTGAGTACACACAACACAAAGAAGTTTCTGAGAATGCTTCTTTCTGGTTTTTATGAGAAGATATTTCCTTTTTCACCATAGGCCTCAAAGCGCTCGAAATGTCCGCTTCCAGGTAGTGCAGAAAGAGTGTTTCAAACCTGCTCTATGAAAGGAAGTGTTCAACTCTACTGAGTTGAATGCAAACATCACAGAGATGTTTCCGAGAATGCTTCTGTCTTGATTTTATATGAAGATATTCCGGTTTCCAACGAAATCTTCAAAGCTATCCAAATATCCACCTGCAGATTCTACAAAAGGAGTGTTTCCAAAATGCTGTATCAAAACAAAGGTTCAACTCTGTTAGTTGAGGACACACATCACAAATAAGTTTCTGAGAATGCTTCTGTCTAGTTTTTATTTGAAGGTATTTCCTTTCTCTCCATAGGCCTGAAAGCGCTTGAAATGCCCACTTCCAGATACTAGAGAAAGAGTGTTTCAAACCTGCTCTATGAAAGGGAATGTTCAATTCTGTGACTTGAATGCAAACATCACAAAGAAGTTCCTGAGAATGCTTCTGTCTAGATTTAATATGAAGATAACCCGTTTCCAACGAAATCCTCAAAGCTATCCAAATATCCACTTGCAGATTCTACAAAAAGAGTGTTTCAAAACTGCTCTGTCAAAAGGATGCTTCAACACTGTTACATGAGTACACACAACACAAAGAAGTTTCTGAGAACGCTTCTTTCTGGTTTTTATGAGAAGATATTTCCTTTTTCACCATAGGCCTCAAAGCGCTCGAAATGTCCACTTCCTGGTAGTGCAGAAAGAGTGTTTCAAACCTGCTCTATGAAAGGAAGTGTTCAACTCCATGAGCTGAATGCAAACATCACAGAGAAGTTTCTGAGAATGCTTCTGTTTGATTTTATATGAGGAAATTCCCGTTTCCAACGAAATCTTCAAAGCTATCCACATATCCACCTGCAGATTCTACAAAAGGAGTGTTTCCAAAATGCTGTATCAAAACCAAGGTTCAACTCTGTTAGTTGAGGACACACATCACAAATAAGTTTCTGAGAATGCTTCTGTCTAGATTTTATATGAAGATATCCCCTTTCCAACGAATCCCTCTAAGCTATCCAAATATCCACCTGCAGATTCTACAAAAAGAGTGTTTCCAAAATGCTGTATCAAAACAAAGTTTCAACTCTGTTAGTTGAGGACACACATCACAAATAAGTTTGAGGATGCTTCTGTCTAGTTTTTATTCGAAGATATTTCCTTTCTCACCATAGGCCTGAAAGCGCTTGAAATGTCCACTTCCAGATACTACAGAATGAGTGTTTCAAACCTGCTCTATCAAAGTGAATGTTCAATTCTGTGACTTCAATGCAAACATCACAAAGAAGTTCCTGAGAATGCTTCTCTCTAGATTTTATACGTAATCCCGCTTCCAACGAAATCCTCAGAGCCATCCGAATATCCACTTTCTGATTCCACAAAAAGAGTGTTTTAAAACGGCTCTGTAAAAACAAAAGTTCAACTCTGTTAGTTGAATACACACATCACAAACAAGTTTCTGAGAATGCTTCCGTCTAGTTTTTATGGGAAGATATTTGTTTTTCACCATTGGCCTCAAAGCGCTCGAAATCTCCACTTCCAGGGAGTGCAGAAAGAGTGTTTCAAACGTGCTCTATAAAAGAATATTTAACTCTGTGACTTGAATGCAAACATCACAAAGCAGTTTCTGACAATGCTTCCGTCTAGATTTTATATGAAGATATTCCCGTTTCCAACGAAATCTTCAAATCTATCTAAATATCAACTTGCAGATTCTACTAAAGGAATGTTTCCAAAATGCTGTATCCAAACAAAGGTTCAACACTGTGAATTGAGGACATACAGCACAAAGAAGTTTCTGAGAATGCTCCTGTCTGGATTTTATATGAAGATAACCCGTTTCCAACGAAATCCTCAAAGCTATCCAAATATCCACTTGCAGATTCTACCAAAAGAGTGTTTCAAAACTGCTCTGTCAAAAGGAAGGTTCAACACTGTTACTTGAGTACACACAACACAAAGAAGTTTCTGAGAATGCTTCTTTCTGGTTTTTATGAGAAGATATTTCCTTTTTCACCATAGGCCTCAAAGCGCTCGAAATGTCCGCTTCCAGGTAGTGCAGAAAGAGTGTTTCAAACCTGCTCTATGAAAGGAAGTGTTCAACTCTACTGAGTTGAATGCAAACATCACAGAGATGTTTCCGAGAATGCTTCTGTCTTGATTTTATATGAAGATATTCCGGTTTCCAACGAAATCTTCAAAGCTATCCAAATATCCACCTGCAGATTCTACAAAAGGAGTGTTTCCAAAATGCTGTATCAAAACAAAGGTTCAACTCTGTTAGTTGAGGACACACATCACAAATAAGTTTCTGAGAATGCTTCTGTCTAGTTTTTATTTGAAGGTATTTCCTTTCTCTCCATAGGCCTGAAAGCGCTTGAAATGCCCACTTCCAGATACTAGAGAAAGAGTGTTTCAAACCTGCTCTATGAAAGGGAATGTTCAATTCTGTGACTTGAATGCAAACATCACAAAGAAGTTCCTGAGAATGCTTCTCTCTAGATATTATATGTCATCCCGTTTCCAAAAATCCTCAAAGCTATCCAAATATCCACCTGCAGATTCTACAAAAGGAGTGTTTCCAAAATGCTGTATCAAAACCAAGGTTCAACTCTGTTAGTTGAGGACACACATCACAAATAAGTTTCTGAGAATGCTTCTTTCTGGTTTCTATGAGAAGATATTTCCTTTTTCACCATAGGACTCAAAGCGCTCGAAATGTCCTCTTCCAGGTAGTGCAGAAAGAGTGTTTCAAACCGGCTCTATGAAAGGAAGTGTTCAACTCCATGAACTGAATGCAAACATCACTGAGAAGTTTCTGAGAATGCTTCTGTTTGATTTTATATGAAGAAATTCCCGTTTCCAACGAAATCTTCAGAGCTATCCACATATCCACCTGCAGATTCTACAAAAGGAGTGTTTCCAAAATGCTGTATCAAAACCAAGGTTCAACTCTGTTAGTTGAGGACACACATCACAAATAAGTTTCTGAGAATGCTTCTGTCTAGATTTTATATGAAGATATCCCCTTTCCAACGAATCCCTCTAAGCTATCCAAATATCCACCTGCAGATTCTACAAAAAGAGTGTTTCCAAAATGCTGTATCAAAACAAAGTTTCAACTCTGTTAGTTGAGGACACACATCACAAATAAGTTTCTGAGGATGCTTCTGTCTAGTTTTTATTCGAAGATATTTCCTTTCTCACCATAGGCCTGAAAGCGCTTGAAATGTCCACTTCCAGATACTACAGAATGAGTGTTTCAAACCTGCTCTATAAAAGTGAATGTTCAATTCCGTGACTTCAATGCAAACATCAGAAAGAAGTTCCTGAGAATGCTTCTCTCTAGATTTTATATGTAATCCCGCTTCCAACGAAATCCTCAGAGCCATCCGAATATCCACTTTCTGATTCCACAAAAAGAGTGTTTTAAAACGGCTCTGTAAAAACAAAAGTTCAACTCTGTTAGTTGAATACACACATCACAAACAAGTTTCTGAGAATGCTTCCGTCTAGTTTTTATGGGAAGATATTTCCTTTTTCACCATAGGCCTCAAAGCGCTCGAAATCTCCACTTCCAGGGAGTGCAGAAAGAGTGTTTCAAACCTGCTCTATAAACGAATATTTAACTCTGTGACTTGAATGCAAACATCACAGAGCAGTTTCTGACAATGCTTCCGTCTAGATTTTTTATGAAGATATTCCCGTTTCCAACGAAATCTTCAAAGCTATCTAAATATCAACTTGCAGATTCTACTAAAGGAATGTTTCCAAAATGCTGTATCCAAACAAAGGTTCAACTCTGTGAATTGAGGACATACAGCACAAAGAAGTTTCTGAGAATGCTCCTGTCTGGATTTTATAGGAAGATAACCCGTTTCCAACGAAATCCTCAAAGCTCTCCAAATATCCACTTGCAGATTCTACCAAAAGAGTGTTTCAAAACTGCTCTGTCAAAAGGAAGGTTCAACACTGTTACTTGAGTACACACAACACAAAGAAGTTTCTGAGAATGCTTCTTTCTGGTTTTTATGAGAAGATATTTCCTTTTTCACCATAGGCCTCAAAGCGCTCGAAATGTCCACTTCCAGGTAGTGCAGAAAGAGTGTTTCAAACCTGCTCTATGAAAGGAAGTGTTCAACTCTACTGAGTTGAATGCAAACATCACAGAGATGTTTCCGAGAATGCTTCTGTCTTGATTTTATATGAAGATATTCCGGTTTCCAACGAAATCTTCAAAGCTATCCAAATATCCACCTGCAGATTCTACAAAAGGAGTGTTTCCAAAATGCTGTATCAAAACAAAGGTTCAACTCTGTTAGTTGAGGACACACATCACAAATAAGTTTCTGAGAATGCTTCTGTCTAGTTTTTATTTGAAGGTATTTCCTTTCTCTCCATAGGCCTGAAAGCGCTTGAAATGCCCACTTCCAGATACTAGAGAAAGAGTGTTTCAAACCTGCTCTATGAAAGGGAATGTTCAATTCTGTGACTTGAATGCAAACATCACAAAGAAGTTCCTGAGAATGCTTCTGTCTAGATTTAATATGAAGATAACCCGTTTCCAACGAAATCCTCAAAGCTATCCAAATATCCACTTGCAGATTCTACAAAAAGAGTGTTTCAAAACTGCTCTGTCAAAAGGATGGTTCAACACTGTTACATGAGTACACACAACACAAAGAAGTTTCTGAGAACGCTTCTTTCTGGTTTTTATGAGAGGATATTTCCTTTTTCACCATAGGCCTCAAAGCGCTCGAAATGTCCACTTCCAGGTAGTGCAGAAAGAGTGTTTCAAACCTGCTCTATGAAAGGAAGTGTTCAACTCCATGAGCTGAATGCAAACATCACAGAGAAGTTCCTGAGAATGCTTCTGTTTGATTTTATATGAAGAAATTCCCGTTTCCAACGAAATCTTCAAAGCTATCCACATATCCACCTGCAGATTCTTCAAAAGGAGTGTTTCCAAAATGCTGTATCAAAACCAAGGTTCAACTCTGTTAGTTGAGGACACACATCACAAATAAGTTTCTGAGAATGCTTCTGTCTAGATTTTATATGAATTTGTCCCCTTTCCAACGAATCCCTCTAAGCTATCCAAGTATCCACCTGCAGATTCTACAAAAAGAGTGTTTCCAAAATGCTGTATCAAAACAAAGTTTCAACTCTGTTAGTTGAGGACACACATCACAAATAAGTTTCTGAGGATGCTTCTGTCTAGTTTTAATTTGAAGATATTTCCTTTCTCACCATAGGCCTGAAAGCGCTTGAAATGTCCACTTCCAGATACTACAGCATGAGTGTTTCAAACCTGCTCTATCATAGTGAATGTTCAATTCTGTGACTTCAATGCAAACATCACAAAGTAGTTCCTGAGAATGCTTCTCTCTAGATTTTATACGTAATCCCGCTTCCAACGAAATCCTCAGAGCCATCCGAATATCCACTTTCTGATTCCACAAAAAGAGTGTTTTAAAACGGCTCTGTAAAAACAAAAGTTCAACTCTGTTAGTTGAATACACACATCACAAACAAGTTTCTGAGAATGCTTCTGTCTAGTTTTTATGGGAAGATATTTCCTTTTTCACCATAGGCCTCAAAGCGCTCGAAATGTCCACTTCCAGATAGCGCAGAAAGAGTGTTTCAAACGTGCTCTATAAAAGGGAATATTCAACTCTGTGACTTGAATGGAAACATCACAAAGCAGTTTCTGAGAATGCTTCCGTCTAGATTTTATATGAAGATATTCCCGTTTCCAACGAAATCTTCAAATCTATCTAAATATCAACTTGCAGATTCTACTAAAGGAATGTTTCCAAAATGCTGTATCCAAGCAATGGTTCAACTCTGTTAATTGAGGACATACAGCACAAAGAAGTTTCTGAGAATGCTTCTTTCTAGATTTTATATGAAGATATCCCGTTTCCAACGAAATCCTCAAAGCTATCCAAATATCCACTTGCAGATTCTACAGAAAGATTGTTTCAAAACTGCTGTGTCAAAAGGAAGGTTCAACTCTGTTACTTGAGTACACACATCAAAAAGCAGTTTCTGAGAATGCTTGTTTCTGGTTTTTATGAGAAGATATTTCCTTTTTCACCATAGGCCTCAAAGCGCTGCAAATGTCCACTTCCACATATTACAAAAAGAGTGTTTCAAACCTGCTCTATGAAAGGAAGTTTTCAACTCTATGAGTGGAATGCAAACATCACAGAGAAGTTTCTGAGAATGCATCTGTCTTGAGCTTCTATGAAGAAATTCCCGTTTCCAACGAAATCTTAAAATCTATCCAAATATCCACCTGCAGATCCTACAAAAGGAGTGTTTCCAAAATGCTGTATCAAAACAAAGGTTCAACTGTGTTCGTTTAGGACACACATCACAAATAAGTTTCTGAGAATCCTTCTGTCTAGTTTTTATTTGAAGATATTTCCTTTCTCCCCATAGGCCTGAAAGTGCTTGAAATGTCCACTTCCAGATAATACAGAAAGAGAGTTTCAAACCTGCACTATGAAAAGGAATGTTCAATTCTGTGACTTGAATGCAAACATCAGAAAGAAGTTCCTGAGAATGCTTCTCTCTAGATTTTATACGTCATCCCGTTTCCAACGAAATCCACAAAGCTATCCAATTATCCACTTTCAGATCCCACAAAAAGAGTGTTTTAAAACTGCTCTATAAAAAGAAATGTTCAACGCTCTTAGTTGAATACACACATCTCAAACAAGTTTCTGAGAAGGCTTCTGTCTAGTTTTTATGGGAAGATATTTCCTTTTAACCATAGGCCTCAAAGAGCTCGAAATATCCACTTCCAGGTAGTGCCGAAAGAGTGTTTCAAACCTACTCTATAAAAGGGAATATTCAACTCTGTGACTTGAATGCAAACATCACAAAGCAGTTTCTGAGAATGCTTCCATCTAGATTTTCTATGAAGATATTCCCGTTTCCAACGAAATCTTCAAAGCTATCTAAATATCAACTTGCAGATTCTACTAAAGGAATGTCTCCAAAATGCTGTATCCAAACAAAGGTTCAGCTCTGTGAATTGAGGACATACAGCACAAAGAAGTTTCTGAGAATGCTCCTGTCTGGATTTTATATGAAGATAACCCGTTTCCAACGAAATCCTCAAAGCTCTCCAAATATCCACTTGCAGATTCTACCAAAAGAGTGTTTCAAAACTGCTCTGTCAAAAGGAAGGTTCAACACTGTTACTTGAGTACACACAACACAAAGAAGTTTCTGAGAATGCTTCTTTCTGGTTTTTATGAGAAGATATTTCCTTTTTCACCATAGGCCTCAAAGCGCTCGAAATGTCCGCTTCCAGGTAGTGCAGAAAGAGTGTTTCAAACCTCCTCTATGAAAGGAAGTGTTCAACTCTACTGAGTTGAATGCAAACATCACAGAGATGTTTCCGAGAATGCTTCTGTCTTGATTTTATATGAAGATATTCCGGTTTCCAACGAAATCTTCAAAGCTATCCAAATATCCACCTGCAGATTCTACAAAAGGAGTGTTTCCAAAATGCTGTATCAAAACCAAGGTTCAACTCTGTTAGTTGAGGACACACATCACAAATAAGTTTCTGAGAATGCTTCTGTCTAGTTTTTATTTGAAGGTATTTCCTTTCTCTCCATAGGCCTGAAAGCGCTTGAAATGCCCACTTCCAGATACTAGAGAAAGAGTGTTTCAAACCTGCTCTATGAAACGGAATGTTCAATTCTGTGACTTGAATGCAAACATCACAAAGAAGTTCCTGAGAATGCTTCTCTCTAGATATTATATGTCATCCCGTTTCCAACGAAATCCTCAAAGCTATCCAAATATCCACTTGCAGATTCTACAAAAAGAGTGTTTCAAAACTGCTCTGTCAAAAGGATGGTTCAACACTGTTACATGAGTACACACAACACAAAGAAGTTTCTGAGAATGCTTCTTTCTGGTTTTTATGAGAAGATATTTCCTTTTTCACCATAGGCCTCAAAGTGCTCGAAATGTCCACTTCCTGGTAGTGCAGAAAGAGTGTTTCAAAGCTGCTCTATGAAAGGAAGTGTTCAACTCCATGAGCTGAATGCAAACATCACAGAGAAGTTTCTGAGAATGCTTCTGTTTGATTTTGTATGAAGAAATTCCCGTTTCCAACGAAATCTTCAAAGCTATCCACATATCCACCTGCAGATTCCACAAAAGGAGTGTTTCCAAAATGCTGTATCAAAACCAAGGTTCCACTCTGTTAGTTGAGGACACACATCACAAATAAGTTTCTGAGAATGCTTCTGTCTAGATTTTATATGAAGATATCCCCTTTCCAACGAATCCCTCTAAGCTATCCAAATATCCACCTGCAGATTCTACAAAAAGAGTGTTTCCAAAATGCTGTATCAAAACAAAGTTTCAACTCTGTTACTTGAGGACACACATCACAAATAAGTTTCTGAGGATGCTTCTCTCTAGTTTTTATTTGAAGATATTTCCTTTCTCCCCATAGGCCTGAAAGCGCTTGAATTGTCCGCTTCCAGATACTACAGAATGAGTGTTTCAAACCTGCTCTATCAAAGTGAATGTTCAATTCTGTGACTTCAATACAAACATCACAAAGTAGTTCCTGAGAATGCTTCTCTCTAGATTTTATATGTAATCCCGCTTCCAACGAAATCCTCAGAGCCATCCGAATATCCACTTTCTGATTCCACAAAAAGAGTGTTTTAAAACGGCTCTGTAAAAACAAAAGTTCAACTCTGTTAGTTGAATACACACATCACAAACAAGTTTCTGAGAATGCTTCCGTCTAGTTTTTATGGGAAGATATTTCCTTTTTCACCATAGGCCTCAAAGCGCTCGAAATCTCCACTTCCAGGGAGTGCAGAAAGAGTGTTTCAAACCTGCTCTATAAAAGAATATTTAACTCTGTGACTTGAATGCAAACATCACAGAGCAGTTTCTGACAATGCTTCCCTCTAGATTTTATATGGAGATATTCCGTTTTCGAACGAAATCTTCAAATCTATCTAAATATCAACTTGCAGATTCTACTCAAGGAATGTTTCCAAAATGCTGTATGCAAGCAATGGTTCAACTCTGTTAATTGAGGTCATACAGCACAAAGAAGTTTCTGAGAATGCTTCTGTCTAGATTTTATATGAAGATATCCCGTTTCCAACGAAATCCTCAAAGCTATCCAAATATCCACTTGCAGATTCTACAAAAAGATTGTTTCAAAACTGCTGTGTCAAAAGGGAAGGTTCAACTCTGTTACTTGAGTACACACATCAAAAAGAAGTTTCTGAGAATGCTTGTTTCTGGTTTTTATGAGAAGATATTTCCTTTTTCACCATAGGCCTCAAAGCGCTGCAAATGTCCACTTCCAAATATTACAAAAAGAGTGTTTCAAACCTGCTCTATGAAAGGAAGTTTTCAACTCTATGAGTGGAATGCAAACATCACAGAGAAGTTTCTGAGAATGCATCTGTCTTGAGTTTATATGAAGAAATTCCCGTTTCCAACGAAATCTTAAAATCTATCCAAATATCCACCTGCAGATTCTACAAAGGGAGTGTTTCCAAAATGCTGTATCAAAACAAAGGTTCAACTGTGTTCGTTTAGGACACACATCACCAATAAGTTTCTGAGAATCCTTCTGTCTAGTTTTTATTTGAAGATATTTCCTTTCTCCCCGTAGGCCTGAAAGCGCTTGAAATGTCCACTTCCAGATACTACAGAAAGAGTGTTTCAAACCTGCACTCTGAAAAGGAATGTTCAATTCTGTGACTTGAATGCAAACATCAGAAAGAAGTTCCTGAGAATGCTTCTCTCTAGATTTTAAACGTAATCCCGTTTCCAACGAAATCCACAAAGCTATCCAATTATCCACTTTCAGATTGCACCAAAAGAGTGTTTTAAAACTGCTCTGTAAAAAGAAATGTTCAACGCTCTTAGTTGAATACACACATCTCAAACAAGTTTCTGAGAAGGCTTCTGTCTAGTTTTTATGGGAAGATATTTCCTTTTAAGCATAGGCCTCAAAGAGCTCGAAATATCCACTTCCAGGTAGTGCCGAAAGAGTGTTTCAAACCTACTCTATAAAAGGGAATATTCAACTCTGTGACTTGAATGCAAACATCACAAAGCAGTTTATGAGAATGCTTCCGTCTAGATTTTCTATGAAGATATTCCCGTTTCCAACGAAATCTTCAAAGCTATCTAAATATCAACTTGCAGATTCTACTAAAGGAATGTCTCCAAAATGCTGTATCCAAACAAAGGTTCAGCTCTGTGAATTGAGGACATACAGCACAAAGAAGTTTCTGAGAATGCTCCTGTCTGGATTTTATATGAAGATAACCCGTTTCCAACGAAATCCTCAAAGCTATCCAAATATCCACTTGCAGATTCTACCAAAAGAGTGTTTCAAAACTGCTCTGTCAAAAGGAAGGTTCAACACTGTTACTTGAGTACACACAACACAAAGAAGTTTCTGAGAATGCTTCTTTCTGGTTTTTATGAGAAGATATTTCCTTTTTCACCATAGGCCTCAAAGCGCTCGAAATGTCCGCTTCCAGGTAGTGCAGAAAGAGTGTTTCAAACCTGCTCTATGAAAGGAAGTGTTCAACTCTACTGAGTTGAATGCAAACATCACAGAGATGTTTCCGAGAATGCTTCTGTCTTGATTTTATATGAAGATATTCCGGTTTCCAACGAAATCTTCAAAGCTATCCAAATATCCACCTGCAGATTCTACAAAAGGAGTGTTTCCAAAATGCTGTATCAAAACAAAGGTTCAACTCTGTTAGTTGAGGACACACATCACAAATAAGTTTCTGAGAATGCTTCTGTCTAGTTTTTATTTGAAGGTATTTCCTTTCTCTCCATAGGCCTGAAAGCGCTTGAAATGCCCACTTCCAGATACTAGAGAAAGAGTGTTTCAAACCTGCTCTATGAAAGGGAATGTTCAATTCTGTGACTTGAATGCAAACATCACAAAGAAGTTCCTGAGAATGCTTCTGTCTAGATTTAATATGAAGATAACCCGTTTCCAACGAAATCCTCAAAGCTATCCAAATATCCACTGGCAGATTCTACAAAAAGAGTGTTTCAAAACTGCTCTGTCAAAAGGATGGTTCAACACTGTTACATGAGTACACACAACACAAAGAAGTTTCTGAGAACGCTTCTTTCTGGTTTCTATGAGAAGATATTTCCTTTTTCACCATAGGACTCAAAGCGCTCGAAATGTCCTCTTCCAGGTAGTGCAGAAAGAGTGTTTCAAACCTGCTCTATGAAAGGAAGTGTACAACTCCATGAGCTGAATGCAAACATCACTGAGAAGTTTCTGAGAATGCTTCTGTTTGATTTTATATGAAGAAATTCCCGTTTCCAACGAAATCTTCAGAGCTATCCACATATCCACCTGCAGATTCTACAAAAGGAGTGTTTCCAAAATGCTGTATCAAAACCAAGGTTCAACTCTGTTAGTTGAGGACACACATCACAAATAAGTTTCTGAGAATGCTTCTGTCTAGATTTTATATGAAGATATCCCCTTTCCAACGAATCCCACTAAGCTATCCAAATATCCACCTGCAGATTCTACAAAAAGAGTGTTTCCAAAATGCTGTATCAAAACAAAGTTTCAACTCTGTTAGTTGAGGACACACATCACAAATAAGTTTCTGAGGATGCTTCTGTCTAGTTTTTATTCGAAGATATTTCCTTTCTCACCATAGGCCTGAAAGCGCTTGAAATGTCCACTTCCAGATACTACAGAATGAGTGTTTCAAACCTGCTCTATCAAAGTGAATGTTCAATTCTGTGACTTCAATGCAAACATCAGAAAGAAGTTTCTGAGAATGCTTCTCTCTAGATTTTATACGTAATCCCGCTTCCAACGAAATCCTCAGAGCCATCCGAATATCCACTTTCTGATTCCACAAAAAGAGTGTTTTAAAACGGCTCTGTAAAAACAAAAGTTCAACTCTGTTAGTTGAATACACACATCACAAACAAGTTTCTGAGAATGCTTCCGTCTAGTTTTTATGGGAAGATATTTCCTTTTTCACCATAGGCCTCAAAGCGCTCGAAATCTCCACTTCCAGGTAGTGTAGAAAGAGTGTTTCAAACCTGCTCTATAAAAGACTATTTAACTCAGTGACTTGAATGCAAACATCACAAAGCAGTTTCTGACAATGCTTCCGTCTAGATTTTTTATGAAGATATTCCCGTTTCCAACGAAATCTTCAAAGCTATCTAAATATCCACTTGCAGATCCTACTAAAGGAATGTTTCCAAAATGCTGTATCCAAACAAAGGTTCAACTCTGTGAATTGAGGACATACAGCACAAAGAAGTTTCTCAGAATGCTTCTGTCTAGATTTAATATGAAGATAACCCGTTTCCAACGAAATCCTCAAAGCTATCCAAATATCCACTTGCAGATTCTACAAAAAGACTGTTTCAAAACTGCTCTGTCAAAAGGATGGTTCAACACTGTTACATGAGTACACACAACACAAAGAAGTTTCTGAGAATGCTTCCTTCTGGTTTTTATGAGAAGATATTTCCTTTTTCACCATAGGCCTCAAAGCGCTCGAAATGTCCACTTCCAGGTAGTGCAGAAAGAGTTTTTCAAACCTGCTCTATGAAAGGAAGTGTTCAACTCCATGAGCTGAATGCAAACATCACAGAGAAGTTTCTGAGAATGCTTCTGTTTGATTTTATATGAAGAAATTCCCGTTTCCAACGAAATCTTCAGAGCTATCCACATATCCACCTGCAGATTCTACAAAAGGAGTGTTTCCAAAATGCTGTATCAAAACCAAGGTTCAACTCTGTTAGTTGAGGACACACATCACAAATAAGTTTCTGAGAATGCTTCTGTCTAGATTTTATATGAAGATATCCCCTTTCCAACGAATCCCTCTAAGCTATCCAAATATCCACCTGCAGATTCTACAAAAAGAGTGTTTCCAAAATGCTGTATCAAAACAAAGTTTCAACTCTGTTAGTTGAGGACACACATCACAAATAAGTTTCTGAGGATGCTTCTGTCTAGTTTTTATTTGAAGATATTTCCTTTCTCCCCATAGGCCTGAAAGCGCTTGAATTGTCCACTTCCAGATACTACAGAATGAGTGTTTCAAACCTGCTCTATCAAAGTGAATGTTCAATTCTGTGACTTCAATGCAAACATCACAAAGTAGTTCCTGAGAATGCTTCTCTCTAGATTTTATATGTAATCCCGCTTCCAACGAAATCCTCAAAGCCATCCGAATATCCACTTTCTGATTCCACAAAAGGATTGTCTTAAAACTGCTCTGTAAAAACAAAAGTTCAAGTCTGTTAGTTGAATACACACATCACAAACAAGTTTCTGAGAATGCTTCCGTCTAGTTTTTATGGGAAGATATTTCCTTTTTCACCATAGGCCTCAAAGCGCTTGAAATCTCCACTTCCAGGGAGTGCAGAAAGAGTGTTTCAAACCTGCTCTGTAAAAGAATATTTAACTCTGTGACTTGAATGCAAACATCACAAAGCAGTTTCTGACAATGCTTCCCTCTAGATTTTATATGGAGATATTCCCTTTTCCAACGAAATCTTCAAATCTATCTAAATATCAACTTGCAGATTCTACTCAAGGAATGTTTCCAAAATGCTGTATCCAGGCAATGGTTCAACTCTGTTAATTGAGGACATACAGCACAAAGAAGTTTCTGAGAATGCTTCTGTCTAGATTTTATATGAAGATATCCCGTTTCCAACGAAATCCTCAAAGCTATCCAAATATCCACTTGCAGATTCTACAAAAAGATTGTTTCAAAACTGCTGTGTCAAAAGGAAGGTTCAACTCTGTTACTTGAGTACACACATCAAAAAGAAGTTTCTGAGAATGCTTGTTTCTGGTTTTTATGAGAAGATATTTCCTTTTTCACCATAGGCCTCAAAGCGCTGCAAATGTCCACTTCCAAATATTACAAAAAGAGTGTTTCAAACCTGCTCTATG
Organism: Homo sapiens; assembly: GCF_000001405.40. Lineage (NCBI taxonomy): Eukaryota > Metazoa > Chordata > Mammalia > Primates > Hominidae > Homo > Homo sapiens. The sequence goes on along the minus strand of NC_000004.12, from coordinate 51,605,546 downwards.
AAAGGAAGTTTTCAACTCTATGAGTGGAATGCAAACATCACAGAGAAGTTTCGGAGAATGCATCTGTCTTGAGCTTCTATGAAGAAATTCCCGTTTCCAACGAAATCTTAAAATCTATCCAAATATCCACCTGCAGATCCTACAAAAGGAGTGTTTCCAAAATGCTGTATCAAAACAAAGGTTCAACTGTGTTCGTTTAGGACACACATCACAAATAAGTTTCTGAGAATCCTTCTGTCTAGTTTTTATTTGAAGATATTTCCTTTCTCCCCGTAGGCCTGAAAGCGCTTGAAATGTCCACTTCCAGATACTACAGAAAGAGTGTTTCAAACCTGCACTATGAAAAGGAATGTTCAATTCTGTGACTTGAATGCAAACATCAGAAAGAAGTTCCTGAGAATGCTTCTCTCTAGATTTTATACGTCATCCCGTTTCCAACGAAATCCACAAAGCTATCCAATTATCCACTTTCAGATTCCACAAAAAGAGTGTTTTCAAATTGCTCTGTAACAGAAATGTTCAACTCTGTTAGATGAATACACACATCACAAACAAGTTTCTGAGACGGCTTCTGTCTAGTTTTTATGGGAAGATATTTCCTTTTAACCATAGGCCTCAAAGAGCTCGAAATATCCACTTCCAGGTAGTGCCGAAAGAGTGTTTCAAACCTACTCTATAAAAGGGAATATTCAACTCTGTGACTTGAATGCAAACATCACAAAGCAGTTTCTGAGAATGCTTCCGTCTAGATTTTCTATGAAGATATTCCCGTTTCCAACGAAATCTTCAAAGCTATCTAAATATCAACTTGCAGATTCTACTAAAGGAATGTCTCCAAAATGCTGTATCCAAACAAAGGTTCAGCTCTGTGAATTGAGGACATACAGCACAAAGAAGTTTCTGAGAATGCTCCTGTCTGGATTTTATAGGAAGATAACCCGTTTCCAACGAAATCCTCAAAGCTATCCAAATATCCACTTGCAGATTCTACCAAAAGAGTGTTTCAAAACTACTCTGTCAAAAGGAAGGTTCAACACTGTTACTTGAGTACACACAACACAAAGAAGTTTCTGAGAATGCTTCTTTCTGGTTTTTATGAGAAGATATTTCCTTTTTCACCATAGGCCTCAAAGCGCTCGAAATGTCCGCTTCCAGGTAGTGCAGAAAGAGTGTTTCAAACCTGCTCTATGAAAGGAAGTGTTCAACTCTACTGAGTTGAATGCAAACATCACAGAGATGTTTCCGAGAATGCTTCTGTCTTGATTTTATAGGAAGATATTCCGGTTTCCAACGAAATCTTCAAAGCTATCCACATATCCACCTGCAGATTCTACAAAAGGAGTGTTTCCAAAATGCTGTATCAAAACAAAGGTTCAACTCTGTTAGTTGAGGACACACATCACAAATAAGTTTCTGAGAATGCTTCTGTCTAGTTTTTATTTGAAGGTATTTCCTTTCTCTCCATAGGCCTGAAAGCGCTTGAAATGCCCACTTCCAGATACTAGAGAAAGAGTGTTTCAAACCTGCTCTATGAAAGGGAATGTTCAATTCTGTGACTTGAATGCAAACATCACAAAGAAGTTCCTGAGAATGCTTCTGTCTAGATTTAATATGAAGATAACCCGTTTCCAACGAAATCCTCAAAGCTATCCAAATATCCACTGGCAGATTCTACAAAAAGAGTGTTTCAAAACTGCTCTGTCAAAAGGATGGTTCAACACTGTTACATGAGTACACACAACACAAAGAAGTTTCTGAGAACGCTTCTTTCTGGTTTTTATGAGAGGATATTTCCTTTTTCACCATAGGCCTCAAAGCGCTCGAAATGTCCACTTCCAGGTAGTGCAGAAAGAGTGTTTCAAACCTGCTCTATGAAAGGAAGTGTTCAACTCCATGAGCTGAATGCAAACATCACAGAGAAGTTCCTGAGAATGCTTCTGTTTGATTTTATATGAAGAAATTCCCGTTTCCAACGAAATCTTCAGAGCTATCCACATATCCACCTGCAGATTCTACAAAAGGAGTGTTTCCAAAATGCTGTATCAAAACCAAAGTTCAACTCTGTTAGTTGAGGACACACATCACAAATAAGTTTCTGAGAATGCTTCTGTCTAGATTCTATATGAAGATATCCCCTTTCCAACGAATCCCTCTAAGCTATCCAAATATCCACCTGCAGATTCTACAAAAAGAGTGTTTCCAAAATGCTGTATCAAAACAAAGTTTCAACTCTGTTAGTTGAGGACACACATCACAAATAAGTTTGAGGATGCTTCTGTCTAGTTTTTATTCGAAGATATTTCCTTTCTCACCATAGGCCTGAAAGCGCTTGAAATGTCCACATCCAGATACTACAGAATGAGTGTTTCAAACCTGCTCTATCAAAGTGAATGTTCAATTCTGTGACTTCAATGCAAACATCACAAAGAAGTTCCTGAGAATGCTTCTCTCTAGATTTTATATGTAATCCCGCTTCCAACGAAATCCTCAGAGCCATCCGAATATCCACTTTCTGATTCCACAAAAAGAGTGTTTTAAAACTGCTCTGTAAAAACAAAAGTTCAACTCTGTTAGTTGAATACACACATCACAAACAAGTTTCTGAGAATGCTTCTGTCTAGTTTTTATGGGAAGATATTTCCTTTTTCACCATAGGCCTCAAAGCGCTCGAAATGTCCACTTCCAGATAGTGCAGAAAGAGTGTTTCAAACGTGCTCTATAAAAGAGAATATTCAACCCTGTGACTTGAATGGAAACATCACAAAGCAGTTTCTGAGAATGCTTCCGTCTAGATTTTATATGAAGATATTCCCGTTTCCAACGAAATCTTCAAATGTATCTAAATATCAACTTGCAGATTCTACTAAAGGAATGTCTCCAAAATGCTGTATCCAAGCAATGGTTCAACTCTGTTAATTGAGGACATACAGCACAAAGAAGTTTCTGAGAATGATTCTGTCTAGATTTTATATGAAGATACCCCGTTTGCAACGAAATCCTCAAAGCTATCCAAATATCCACTTGCAGATTCTACAAAAAGATTGTTTCAAAACTGCTGTGTCAAAAGGAAGGTTCAACTCTGTTACTTGAGTACACACATCAAAAAGAAGTTTCTGAGAATGCTTGTTTCTGGTTTTTATGAGAAGATATTTCCTTTTTCACCATAGGCCTCAAAGCGCTGCAAATGTCCACTTCCAAATATTACAAAAAGAGTGTTTCAAACGTGCTCTATGAAAGGAAGTTTTCAACTCTATGAGTGGAATGCAAACATCACGGAGAAGTTTCTGAGAATGCATCTGTCTTGATTTTATATGAGGAAATTCCCGTTTCCAACGAAATCTTAAAATCTATCCAAATATCCACCTGCAGATTCCACAAAAGGAGTGTTTCCAAAATGCTGTATCAAAACAAAGGTTCAACTCTGTTCGTTTAGGACACACATCACAAATAAGTTTCTGAGAATCCTTCTGTCTAGTTTTTAATTTGAAGATATTTCCTTTCTCCCCATAGGCCTGAAAGCGCTTGAAATGTCCACTTCCAGATAGTACAGAAAGAGTGTTTCAAACCTGCACTATGAAAAGGAATGTTCAATTCTGTGACTTGAATGCAAACATCAGAAAGAAGTTTCTGAGAATGCTTCTCTCTAGATTTTATACGTAATCCCGTTTCCAACGAAATCCACAAAGCTATCCAATTATCCACTTTCAGATTCCACAAAAAGAGTGTTTTAAAACTGCTGTGTAGAAGGAAATGTTCAAAGCTCTTAGTTGAATACACACATCTCAAACAAGTTTCTGAGAAGGCTTCCGTCTAGTTTTTATGGGAAGATATTTCCTTTTTCACCAAAGGCCTCAAAGCGCTCGAAATCTCCACTTCCAGGGAGTGCAGAAAGAGTGTTTCAAACCTGCTCTGTAAAAGAATATTTAACTCTGTGACTTGAATGCAAACATCACAAAGCAGTTTCTGACAATGCTTCCGTCTAGATTTTTTATGAAGATATTCCCGTTTCCAACGAAATCTTCAAAGCTATCTAAATATCAACTTGCAGATTCTACTAAAGGAATGTTTCCAAAATGCTGTATCCAAACAAAGGTTCAACTCTGTGAATTGAGGACATACAGCACAAAGAAGTTTCTGAGAATGCTTCTGTCCAGATTTAATATGAAGATAACCCGTTTCCAACGAAAACCTCAAAGCTATCCAAATATGCACTTGCAGATTCTACAAAAAGAGTGTTTCAAAACTGCTCTGTCAAAAGGATGGTTCAACACTGTTACATGAGTACACACAACACAAAGAAGTTTCTGAGAACGCTTCTTTCCGGTTTTTATGAGAAGATATTTCCTTTTTCACCATAGGCCTCAAAGCGCTCGAAAGGTCCACTTCCAGGTAGTGCAGAAAGAGTGTTTCAAACCTGCTCTATGAAAGGAAGTGTTCAACTCCATGAGCTGAATGCAAACATCACAGAGAAGTTTCTGAGAATGCTTCTGTTTGATTTTATATGAAGAAATTCCCGTTTCCAACGAAATCTTCAAAGCTATCCACATATCCACCTGCAGATTCTTCAAAAGGAGTGTTTCCAAAATGCTGTATCAAAACCAAGGTTCAACTCTGTTAGTTGAGGACACACATCACAAATAAGTTTCTGAGAAAGCTTCTGTCTAGATTTTATATGAAGATATCCCCTTTCCAACGAATCCCTCTAAGCTATCCAAATATCCACCTGCAGATTCTACAAAAAGAGTGTTTCCAAAATGCTGTATCAAAACAAAGTTTCAACTCTGTTAGTTGAGGACACACATCACAAATAAGTTTGAGGATGCTTCTGTCTAGTTTTTATTCGAAGATATTTCCTTTCTCACCATAGGCCTGAAAGCGCTTGAAATGTCCACTTCCAGATCCTACAGAATGAGTGTTTCAAACCTGCTCTATCAAAGTGAATGTTCAATTCTGTGACTTCAATGCAAACATCACAAAGAAGTTCCTGAGAATGCTTCTCTCTAGATTTTATACGTAATCCCGCTTCCAACGAAATCCTCAGAGCCATCCGAATATCCACTTTCTGATTCCACAAAAAGAGTGTTTTAAAACGGCTCTGTAAAAACAAAAGTTCAACTCTGTTAGTTGAATACACACATCACAAACAAGTTTCTGAGAATGCTTCTGTCTAGTTTTTATGGGAAGATATTTCCTTTTTCACCATAGGCCTCAAAGCGCTCGAAATGTCCACTTCCAGATAGTGCAGAAAGAGTGTTTCAAACGTGCTCTATAAAAGGGAATATTCAACTCTGTGACTTGAATGGAAACATCACAAAGCAGTTTCTGAGAATGCTTCCCTCTAGATTTTATATGGAGATATTCCCTTTTCCAACGAAATCTTCAAATCTATCTAAATATCAACTTGCAGATTCTACTCAAGGAATGTTTCCAAAATGCTGTATCCAGGCAATGGTTCAACTCTGTTAATTGAGGACATACAGCACAAAGAAGTTTCTGAGAATGCTTCTGTCTAGATTTTATATGAAGATATCCCGTTTCCAACGAAATCCTCAAAGCTATCCAAATATCCACTTGCAGATTCTACAAAAAGATTGTTTCAAAACTGCTGTGTCAAAAGGAAGGTTCAACTCTGTTACTTGAGTACACACATCAAAAAGAAGTTTCTGAGAATGCTTGTTTCTGGTTTTTATGAGAAGATATTTCCTTTTTCACCATAGGCCTCAAAGCGCTGCAAATGTCCACTTCCAAATATTACAAAAAGAGTGTTTCAAACCTGCTCTATGAAAGGAAGTTTTCAACTCTATGAGTGGAATGCAAACATCACAGAGAAGTTTCTGAGAATGCATCTGTCTTGAGTTTATATGCAGAAATTCCCGTTTCCAACGAAATCTTAAAATCTATCCAAATATCCACCTGCAGATCCTACAAAAGGAGTGTTTCCAAAATGCTGTATCAAAACAAAGGTTCAACTGTGTTCGTTTAGGACACACATCACAAATAAGTTTCTGAGAATCCTTCTGTCTAGTTTTTATTTGAAGATATTTCCTTTCTCCCCGTAGGCCTGAAAGCGCTTGAAATGTCCACTTCCAGATACTACAGAAAGAGTGTTTCAAACCTGCACTCTGAAAAGGAATGTTCAATTCTGTGACTTGAATGCAAACATCAGAAAGAAGTTCCTGAGAATGCTTCTCTCTAGATTTTAAACGTAATCCCGTTTCCAACGAAATCCACAAAGCTATCCAATTATCCACTTTCAGATTGCACCAAAAGAGTGTTTTAAAACTGCTCTGTAAAAAGAAATGTTCAACGCTCTTAGTTGAATACACACATCTCAAACAAGTTTCTGAGAAGGCTTCCGTCTAGTTTTTACAGGAAGATATTTCCTTTTTCACCATAGGCCTCAAAGCGCTCGAAATCTCCACTTCCAGGGAGTGCAGAAAGAGTGTTTCAAACCTGCTCTATAAAAGAATATTTAACTCTGTGACTTGAATGCAAACATCACAGAGCAGTTTCTGACAATGCTTCCGTCTAGATTTTTTATGAAGATATTCCCGTTTCCAACGAAATCTTCAAAGCTATCTAAATATCAACTTGCAGATTCTACTAAAGGAATGTTTCTAAAATGCTGTATCCAAACAAAGGTTCAACTCTGTGAATTGAGGACATACAGCACAAAGAAGTTTCTGAGAATGCTCCTGTCTGGATTTTATAGGAAGATAACCCGTTTCCAACGAAATCCTCAAAGCTCTCCAAATATCCACTTGCAGATTCTACCAAAAGAGTGTTTCAAAACTGCTCTGTCAAAAGGAAGGTTCAACACTGTTACTTGAGTACACACAACACAAAGAAGTTTCTGAGAATGCTTCTTTCTGGTTTTTATGAGAAGATATTTCCTTTTTCACCATAGGCCTCAAAGCGCTCGAAATGTCCGCTTCCAGGTAGTGCAGAAAGAGTGTTTCAAACCTGCTCTATGAAAGGAAGTGTTCAACTCTACTGAGTTGAATGCAAACATCACAGAGATGTTTCCGAGAATGCTTCTGTCTTGATTTTATATGAAGATATTCCGGTTTCCAACGAAATCTTCAAAGCTATCCAAATATCCACCTGCAGATTCTACAAAAGGAGTGTTTCCAAAATGCTGTATCAAAACAAAGGTTCAACTCTGTTAGTTGAGGACACACATCACAAATAAGTTTCTGAGAATGCTTCTGTCTAGTTTTTATTTGAAGGTATTTCCTTTCTCTCCATAGGCCTGAAAGCGCTTGAAATGCCCACTTCCAGATACTAGAGAAAGAGTGTTTCAAACCTGCTCTATGAAAGGGAATGTTCAATTCTGTGACTTGAATGCAAACATCACAAAGAAGTTCCTGAGAATGCTTCTCTCTAGATATTATATGTCATCCCGTTTCCAACGAAATCCTCAAAGCTATCCAAATATCCACTTGCAGATTCTACAAAAAGAGTGTTTCAAAACTGCTCTGTCAAAAGGATGGTTCAACACTGTTACATGAGTACACACAGCACAAAGAAGTTTCTGAGAATGCTTCTTTCTGGTTTCTATGAGAAGATATTTCCTTTTTCACCATAGGACTCAAAGCGCTCGAAATGTCCTCTTCCAGGTAGTGCCGAAAGAGTGTTTCAAACCTGCTCTATGAAAGGAAGTGTACAACTCCATGAGCTGAATGCAAACATCACTGAGAAGTTTCTGAGAATGCTTCTGTTTGATTTTATATGAAGAAATTCCCGTTTCCAACGAAATCTTCAGAGCTATCCACCTATCCACCTGCAGATTCTACAAAAGGAGTGTTTCCAAAATGCTGTATCAAAACCAAGGTTCAACTCTGTTAGTTGAGGACACACATCACAAATAAGTTTCTGAGAATGCTTCTGTCTAGATTTTATATGAAGATATCCCCTTTCCAACGAATCCCTCTAAGCTATCCAAATATCCACCTGCAGATTCTACAAAAAGAGTGTTTCCAAAATGCTGTATCAAAACAAAGTTTCAACTCTGTTAGTTGAGGACACACATCACAAATAAGTTTGAGGATGCTTCTGTCTAGTTTTAATTTGAAGATATTTCCTTTCTCCCCATAGGCCTGAAAGCGCTTGAAATGTCCACTTCCAGATACTACAGCATGAGTGTTTCAAACCTGCTCTATCAAAGTGAATGTTCAATTCTGTGACTTCAATGCAAACATCACAAAGTAGTTCCTGAGAATGCTTCTCTCTAGATTTTATATGTAATCCCGCTTCCAACGAAGTCCTCAAAGCCATCCGAATATCCACTTTCTGATTCCACAAAAAGATTGTCTTAAAACTGCTTTGTAAAAACAAATGTTCAAGTCTGTTAGTTGAAGACACACATCATAAACAAGTTTCTGAGAATGCTTCTGTCTAGTTTTTATGGGAAGATATTTCCTTTTTCACCATAGGCCTCAAAGCGCTCGAAATGTCCACTTCCAGATAGTGCAGAAAGAGTGTTTCAAACGTGCTCTATAAAAGGGAATATTCAACTCTGTGACTTGAATGGAAACATCACAAAGCAGTTTCTGAGAATGCTTCCCTCTAGATTTTATATGGAGATATTCCCTTTTCCAACGAAATCTTCAAATCTATCTAAATATCAACTTGCAGATTCTACTCAAGGAATGTTTCCAAAATGCTGTATCCAGGCAATGGTTCAACTCTGTTAATTGAGGACATACAGCACAAAGAAGTTTCTGAGAATGCTTCTGTCTAGATTTTATATGAAGATATCCCGTTTCCAACGAAATCATCAAAGCTATCCAAATGTCCACTTGCAGATTCTACAAAAAGATTGTTTCAAAACTGCTGTGTCAAAAGGAAGGTTCAACTCTGATATTTGAGTACACACATCAAAAAGAAGTTTCTGAGAATGCTTGTTTCTGGTTTTTATGAGAAGATATTTCCTTTTTCACCATAGGCCTCAAAGCGCTGCAAATGTCCACTTCCACATATTACAAAAAGAGTGTTTCAAACCTGCTCTATGAAAGGAAGTTTTCAACTCTATGAGTGGAATGCAAACATCACAGAGAAGTTTCTGAGAATGCATCTGTCTTGAGTTTATATGAAGAAATTCCCGTTTCCAACGAAATCTTAAAATCTATCCAAATATCCACCTGCAGATTCTACAAAAGGAGTGTTTCCAAAACGCTGTATCAAAACAAAGGTTCAACTGCGTTCGTTTAGGACACACATCACCAAAAAGTTTCTGAGAATCCTTCTGTCTAGTTTTTATTTGAAGATATTTCCTTTCTCCCCATAGGCCTGAAAGCGCTTGAAATGTCCACTTCCAGATACTACAGAAAGAGTGTTTCAAACCTGCACTATGAAAAGGAATGTTCAATTCTGTGACTTGAATGCAAACATCAGAAAGAAGTTCCTGAGAATGCTTCTCTCTAGATTTTATACGTCATCACGTTTCCAACGAAATCCACAAAGCTATCCAATTATCCACTTTCAGATTCCACAAAAAGAGTGTTTTAAAACTGCTCTGTAAAAAGAAATGTTCAACGCTCTTAGTTGAATACACACATCTCAAACAAGTTTCTGAGAAGGCTTCCGTCTAGTTTTTATGGGAAGATATTTCCTTTTTCACCATAGGCCTCAAAGCGCTCGAAATCTCCACTTCCAGGGAGTGCAGAAAGAGTGTTTCAAACCTGCTCTGTAAAAGAATATTTAACTCTGTGACTTGAATGCAAACATCACAAAGCAGTTTCTGACAATGCTTCCCTCTAGATTTTATATGGAGATATTCCCTTTTCCAACGAAATCTTCAAATCTATCTAAATATCAACTTGCAGATTCTACTCAAGGAATGTTTCCAAAATGCTGTATCCAAGCAATGGTTCAACTCTGTTAATTGAGGACATACAGCACAAAGAAGTTTCTGAGAATGCTTCTGTCTAGATTTTATATGAAGATATCCCGTTTCCAACGAAATCCTCAAAGCTATCCAAATATCCACTTGCAGATTCTACAAAAAGATTGTTTCAAAACTGCTGTGTCAAAAGGAAGGTTCAACTCTGTTACTTGAGTACACACATCAAAAAGAAGTTTCTGAGAATGCTTGTTTCTGGTTTTTATGAGAAGATATTTCCTTTTTCACCATAGGCCTCAAAGCGCTGCAAATGTCCACTTCCAAATATTACAAAAAGAGTGTTTCAAACCTGCTCTATGAAAGGAAGTTTTCAACTCTATGAGTGGAATGCAAACATCACAGAGAAGTTTCTGAGAATGCATCTGTCTTGAGTTTCTATGAAGAAATTCCCGTTTCCAACGAAATCTTAAAATCTATCCAAATATCCACCTGCAGATTCTACAAAAGGAGTGTTTCCAAAATGCTGTATCAAAACAAAGGTTCAACTGTGTTCGTTTAGGACACACATCACAAATAAGTTTCTGAGAATCCTTCTGTCTAGTTTTAAATTTGAATATATTTCCTTTCTCCCCATAGGCCTGAAAGCGCTTGAAATGTCCACTTCCAGATACTACAGAAAGAGTGTTTCAAACCTGCACTATGAAAAGGAATGTTCAATTCTGTGACTTGATTGCAAACATCAGAAAGAAGTTCCTGAGAATGCTTCTCTCTAGATTTTATACGTCATCCCTTTTCCAATGGAATCCACAAAGCTACCCAATTATCCACTTTCAGATTCCACAAAAAGAGTGTTTTAAAACTGCTCTGTAACAGAAATGTTCAGCTCTGTTAGTTGAATGCACACATCACAAACAAGTTTCTGAGACGGCTTCCGTCTAGTTTTTATGGGAAGATATTTCCTTTTTCACCATAGGCCTCAAAGCGCTCGAAATCTCCACTTCCAGGTAGTGCAGAAAGAGTGTTTCAAACCTGCTCTATAAAAGACTATTTAACTCTGTGACTTGAATGCAAACATCACAAAGCAGTTTCTGACAATGCTTCCCTCTAGATTTTATATGGAGATATTCCCTTTTCCAACGAAATCTTCAAATCTATCTAAATATCAACTTGCAGATTCTACTCAAGGAATGTTTCCAAAATGCTGTATCCAGGCAATGGTTCAACTCTGTTAATTGAGGACATACAGCACAAAGAAGTTTCTGAGAATGCTTCTGTCTAGATTTTATATGAAGATATCCCGTTTCCAACGAAATCCTCAAAGCTATCCAAATATCCACTTGCAGATTCTACAAAAAGATTGTTTCAAAACTGCTGTGTCAAAAGGAAGGTTCAACTCTGTTACTTGAGTACACACATCAAAAAGAAGTTTCTGAGAATGCTTGTTTCTGGTTTTTATGAGAAGATATTTCCTTTTTCACCATAGGCCTCAAAGCGCTGCAAATGTCCACTTCCAAATATTACAAAAAGAGTGTTTCAAACCTGCTCTATGAAAGGAAGTTTTCAACTCTATGAGTGGAATGCAAACATCACAGAGAAGTTTCTGAGAATGCATCTGTCTTGAGCTTCTATGAAGAAATTCCCGTTTCCAACGAAATCTTAAAATCTATCCAAATATCCACCTGCAGATCCTACAAAAGGAGTGTTTCCAAAATGCTGTATCAAAACAAAGGTTCAACTGTGTTCGTTTAGGACACACATCACAAATAAGTTTCTGAGAATCCTTCTGTCTAGTTTTTATTTGAAGATATTTCCTTTCTCCCCGTAGGCCTGAAAGCGCTTGAAATGTCCACTTCCAGATACTACAGAAAGAGTGTTTCAAACCTGCACTCTGAAAAGGAATGTTCAATTCTGTGACTTGAATGCAAACATCAGAAAGAAGTTCCTGAGAATGCTTCTCTCTAGATTTTATACGTCATCCCGTTTCCAACGAAATCCACAAAGCTATCCAATTATCCACTTTCAGATTCCACAAAAAGAGTGTTTTAAAATTGCTCTGTAACAGAAATGTTCAACTCTGGTAGTTGAATACACACATCACAAACAAGTTTCTGAGACGGCTTCTGTCTAGTTTTTATGGGAAGATATTTCCTTTTAACCATAGGCCTCAAAGAGCTCGAAATATCCACTTCCAGGTAGTGCCGAAAGAGTGTTTCAAACCTACTCTATAAAAGGGAATATTCAACTCTGTGACTTGAATGCAAACATCACAAAGCAGTTTCTGAGAATGCTTCCGTCTAGATTTTCTATGAAGATATTCCCGTTTCCAACGAAATCTTCAAAGCTATCTAAATATCAACTTGCAGATTCTACTAAAGGAATGTCTCCAAAATGCTGTATCCAAACAAAGGTTCAGCTCTGTGAATTGAGGACATACAGCACAAAGAAGTTTCTGAGAATGCTCCTGTCTGGATTTTATATGAAGATAACACGTTTCCAACGAAATCCTCAAAGCTCTCCAAATATCCACTTGCAGATTCTACCAAAAGAGTGTTTCAAAACTGCTCTGTCAAAAGGAAGGTTCAACACTGTTACTTGAGTACACACAACACAAAGAAGTTTCTGAGAATGCTTCTTTCTGGTTTTTATGAGAAGATATTTCCTTTTTCACCATAGGCCTCAAAGCGCTCGAAATGTCCGCTTCCAGGTAGTGCAGAAAGAGTGTTTCAAACCTCCTCTATGAAAGGAAGTGTTCAACTCTACTGAGTTGAATGCAAACATCACAGAGATGTTTCCGAGAATGCTTCTGTCTTGATTTTATAGGAAGATATTCCGGTTTCCAACGAAATCTTCAAAGCTATCCACATATCCACCTGCAGATTCTACAAAAGGAGTGTTTCCAAAATGCTGTATCAAAACAAAGGTTCAACTCTGTTAGTTGAGGACACACATCACAAATAAGTTTCTGAGAATGCTTCTGTCTAGTTTTTATTTGAAGGTATTTCCTTTCTCTCCATAGGCCTGAAAGCGCTTGAAATGCCCACTTCCAGATACTAGAGAAAGAGTGTTTCAAACCTGCTCTATGAAAGGGAATGTTCAATTCTGTGACTTGAATGCAAACATCACAAAGAAGTTCCTGAGAATGCTTCTGTCTAGATTTAATATGAAGATAACCCGTTTCCAACGAAATCCTCAAAGCTATCCAAATATCCACTTGCAGATTCTACAAAAAGAGTGTTTCAAAACTGCTCTGTCAAAAGGATGGTTCAACACTGTTACATGAGTACACACAACACAAAGAAGTTTCTGAGAACGCTTCTTTCTGGTTTTTATGAGAAGATATTTCCTTTTTCACCATAGGCCTCAAAGCGCTCGAAATGTCCACTTCCAGGTAGTGCAGAAAGAGTGTTTCAAACCTGCTCTATGAAAGGAAGTGTTCAACTCCATGAGCTGAATGCAAACATCACAGAGAAGTTCCTGAGAATGCTTCTGTCTTGATTTTATATGAAGATATTCCGGTTTCCAACGAAATCTTCAAAGCTATCCAAATATCCACCTGCAGATTCTACAAAAGGAGTGTTTCCAAAATGCTGTATCAAAACAAAGGTTCAACTCTGTTAGTTGAGGACACACATCACAAATAAGTTTCTGAGAATGCTTCTGTCTAGTTTTTATTTGAAGGTATTTCCTTTCTCTCCATAGGCCTGAAAGCGCTTGAAATGCCCACTTCCAGATACTAGAGAAAGAGTGTTTCAAACCTGCTCTATGAAAGGGAATGTTCAATTCTGTGACTTGAATGCAAACATCACAAAGAAGTTCCTGAGAATGCTTCTCTCTAGATATTATATGTCATCCCGTTTCCAACGAAATCCTCAAAGCTATCCAAATATCCACTTGCAGATTCTACAAAAAGAGTGTTTCAAAACTGCTCTGTCAAAAGGATGGTTCAACACTGTTACATGAGTACACACAACACAAAGAAGTTTCTGAGAATGCTTCTTTCTGGTTTCTATGAGAAGATATTTCCTTTTTCACCATAGGACTCAAAGCGCTCGAAATGTCCTCTTCCAGGTAGTGCAGAAAGAGTGTTTCAAACCGGCTCTATGAAGGGAAGTGTTCAACTCCATGAACTGAATGCAAACATCACTGAGAAGTTTCTGAGAATGCTTCTGTTTGATTTTATATGAAGAAATTCCCGTTTCCAACGAAATCTTCAGAGCTATCCACATATCCACCTGCAGATTCTACAAAAGGAGTGTTTCCAAAATGCTGTATCAAAACCAAAGTTCAACTCTGTTAGTTGAGGACACACATCACAAATAAGTTTCTGAGAATGCTTCTGTCTAGATTTTATATGAAGATATCCCCTTTCCAACGAATCCCTCTAAGCTATCCAAATATCCACCTGCAGATTCTACAAAAAGAGTGTTTCCAAAATGCTGTATCAAAACAAAGTTTCAACTCTGTTAGTTGAGGACACACATCACAAATAAGTTTCTGAGGATGCTTCTGTCTAGTTTTAATTTGAAGATATTTCCTTTCTCACCATAGGCCTGAAAGCGCTTGAAATGTCCACTTCCAGATAATACAGAATGAGTGTTTCAAACATGCTCTATCAAAGTGAATGTTCAATTCTGTGACTTCAATGCAAACATCACAAAGTAGTTCCTGAGAATGCTTCTCTCTAGATTTTATACGTAATCCCGCTTCCAACGAAATCCTCAGAGCCATCCGAATATCCACTTTCTGATTCCACAAAAAGAGTGTTTTAAAACGGCTCTGTAAAAACAAAAGTTCAACTCTGTTAGTTGAATACACACATCACAAACAAGTTTCTGAGAATGCTTCCATCTAGTTTTTATGGGAAGATATTTCCTTTTTCACCATAGGCCTCAAAGCGCTCGAAATCTCCACTTCCAGGGAGTGCAGAAATAGTGTTTCGAACCTGCTCTGTAAAAGATTATTTAACTCTGTGACTTGAATGCAAACATCACAAAGCAGTTTCTGACAATGCTTCCGTCTAGATTTTTTATGAAGATATTCCCGTTTCCAACGAAATCTTCAAAGCTATCTAAATATCAACTTGCAGATTCTACTAAAGGAATGTTTCCAAAATGCTGTATCCAAACAAAGGTTCAACTCTGTGAATTGAGGACATACAGCACAAAGAAGTTTCTGAGAATGCTCCTGTCTGGATTTTATATGAAGATAACCCGTTTCCAACGAAATCCTCAAAGCTATCCAAATATCCACTTGCAGATTCTACCAAAAGAGTGTTTCAAAACTGCTCTGTCAAAAGGAAGGTTCAACACTGTTACTTGAGTACACACAACACAAAGAAGTTTCTGAGAATGCTTCTTTCTGGTTTTTATGAGAAGATATTTCCTTTTTCACCATAGGCCTCAAAGCGCTCGAAATGTCCGCTTCCAGGTAGTGCAGAAAGAGTGTTTCAAACCTGCTCTATGAAAGGAAGTGTTCAACTCTACTGAGTTGAATGCAAACATCACAGAGATGTTTCCGAGAATGCTTCTGTCTTGATTTTATATGAAGATATTCCGGTTTCCAACGAAATCTTCAAAGCTATCCAAATATCCACCTGCAGATTCTACAAAAGGAGTGTTTCCAAAATGCTGTATCAAAACAAAGGTTCAACTCTGTTAGTTGAGGACACACATCACAAATAAGTTTCTGAGAATGCTTCTGTCTAGTTTTTATTTGAAGGTATTTCCTTTCTCTCCATAGGCCTGAAAGCGCTTGAAATGCCCACTTCCAGATACTAGAGAAAGAGTGTTTCAAACCTGCTCTATGAAAGGGAATGTTCAATTCTGTGACTTGAATGCAAACATCACAAAGAAGTTCCTGAGAATGCTTCTGTCTAGATTTAATATGAAGATAACCCGTTTCCAACGAAATCCTCAAAGCTATCCAAATATCCACTGGCAGATTCTACAAAAAGAGTGTTTCAAAACTGCTCTGTCAAAAGGATGGTTCAACACTGTTACATGAGTACACACAACACAAAGAAGTTTCTGAGAACGCTTCTTTCTGGTTTCTATGAGAAGATATTTCCTTTTTCACCATAGGACTCAAAGCGCTCGAAATGTCCTCTTCCAGGTAGTGCAGAAAGAGTGTTTCAAACCTGCTCTATGAAAGGAAGTGTACAACTCCATGAGCTGAATGCAAACATCACTGAGAAGTTTCTGAGAATGCTTCTGTTTGATTTTATATGAAGAAATTCCCGTTTCCAACGAAATCTTCAGAGCTATCCACATATCCACCTGCAGATTCTACAAAAGGAGTGTTTCCAAAATGCTGTATCAAAACCAAAGTTCAACTCTGTTAGTTGAGGACACACATCACAAATAAGTTTCTGAGAATGCTTCTGTCTAGATTTTATATGAAGATATCCCCTTTCCAACGAATCCCTCTAAGCTATCCAAATATCCACCTGCAGATTCTACAAAAAGAGTGTTTCCAAAATGCTGTATCAAAACAAAGTTTCAACTCTGTTAGTTGAGGACACACATCACAAATAAGTTTGAGGATGCTTCTGTCTAGTTTTTATTCGAAGGATATTTCCTTTCTCACCATAGGCCTGAAAGCGCTTGAAATGTCCACTTCCAGATACTACAGAATGAGTGTTTCAAACCTGCTCTATCAAAGTGAATGTTCAATTCTGTGACTTCAATGCAAACATCACAAAGAAGTTCCTGAGAATGCTTCTCTCTAGATTTTATATGTAATCCCGCTTCCAACGAAATCCTCAGAGCCATCCGAATATCCACTTTCTGATTCCACAAAAAGAGTGTTTTAAAACGGCTCTGTAAAAACAAAAGTTCAACTCTGTTAGTTGAATACACACATCACAAACAAGTTTCTGAGAATGCTTCTGTCTAGTTTTTATGGGAAGATATTTCCTTTTTCACCATAGGCCTCACAGCGCTCGAAATGTCCACTTCCAGATAGCGCAGAAAGAGTGTTTCAAACGTGCTCTATAAAAGGGAATATTCAACTCTGTGACTTGAATGGAAACATCACAAAGCAGTTTCTGAGAATGCTTCCCTCTAGATTTTATATGGAGATATTCCCTTTTCCAACGAAATCTTCAAATCTATCTAAATATCAACTTGCAGATTCTACTCAAGGAATGTTTCCAAAATGCTGTATCCAGGCAATGGTTCAACTCTGTTAATTGAGGACATACAGCACAAAGAAGTTTCTGAGAATGCTTCTGTCTAGATTTTATATGAAGATATCCCGTTTCCAACGAAATCCTCAAAGCTATCCAAATATCCACTTGCAGATTCTACAAAAAGATTGTTTCAAAACTGCTGTGTCAAAAGGAAGGTTCAACTCTGTTACTTGAGTACACACATCAAAAAGAAGTTTCTGAGAATGCTTGTTTCTGGTTTTTATGAGAAGATATTTCCTTTTTCACCATAGGCCTCAAAGCGCTGCAAATGTCCACTTCCAAATATTACAAAAAGAGTGTTTCAAACCTGCTCTATGAAAGGAAGTTTTCAACTCTATGAGTGGAATGCAAACATCACAGAGAAGTTTCTGAGAATGCATCTGTCTTGAGTTTATATGCAGAAATTCCCGTTTCCAACGAAATCTTAAAATCTATCCAAATATCCACCTGCAGATCCTACAAAAGGAGTGTTTCCAAAATGCTGTATCAAAACAAAGGTTCAACTGTGTTCGTTTAGGACACACATCACAAATAAGTTTCTGAGAATCCTTCTGTCTAGTTTTTATTTGAAGATAATTCCTTTCTCCCCGTAGGCCTGAAAGCGCTTGAAATGTCCACTTCCAGATACTACAGAAAGAGTGTGTTTCAAACCTGCACTCTGAAAAGGAATGTTCAATTCTGTGACTTGAATGCAAACATCAGAAAGAAGTTCCTGAGAATGCTTCTCTCTAGATTTTATACGTCATCCCGTTTCCAACGAAATCCACAAAGCTATCCAATTATCCACTTTCAGATTCCACAGAAAGAGTGTTTTAAAATTGCTCTGTAACAGAAATGTTCAACTCTGGTAGTTGAATACACACATCACAAACAAGTTTCTGAGACGGCTTCTGTCTAGTTTTTATGGGAAGATATTTCCTTTTAACCATAGGCCTCAAAGAGCTCGAAATATCCACTTCCAGGTAGTGCCGAAAGAGTGTTTCAAACCTACTCTATAAAAGGGAATATTCAACTCTGTGACTTGAATGCAAACATCACAAAGCAGTTTCTGAGAATGCTTCCGTCTAGATTTTCTATGAAGATATTCCCGTTTCCAACGAAATCTTCAAAGCTATCTAAATATCAACTTGCAGATTCTACTAAAGGAATGTCTCCAAAATGCTGTATCCAAACAAAGGTTCAGCTCTGTGAATTGAGGACATACAGCACAAAGAAGTTTCTGAGAATGCTCCTGTCTGGATTTTATAGGAAGATAACCCGTTTCCAACGAAATCCTCAAAGCTATCCAAATATCCACTTGCAGATTCTACCAAAAGAGTGTTTCAAAACTGCTCTGTCAAAAGGAAGGTTCAACACTGTTACTTGAGTACACACAACACAAAGAAGTTTCTGAGAATGCTTCTTTCTGGTTTTTATGAGAAGATATTTCCTTTTTCACCATAGGCCTCAAAGCGCTCGAAATGTCCGCTTCCAGGTAGTGCAGAAAGAGTGTTTCAAACCTGCTCTATGAAAGGAAGTGTTCAACTCTACTGAGTTGAATGCAAACATCACAGAGATGTTTCCGAGAATGCTTCTGTCTTGATTTTATATGAAGATATTCCGGTTTCCAACGAAATCTTCAAAGCTATCCAAATATCCACCTGCAGATTCTACAAAAGGAGTGTTTCCAAAATGCTGTATCAAAACAAAGTTTCAACTCTGTTAGTTGAGGACACACATCACAAATAAGTTTCTGAGAATGCTTCTGTCTAGTTTTTATTTGAAGGTATTTCCTTTCTCTCCATAGGCCTGAAAGCGCTTGAAATGCCCACTTCCAGATACTAGAGAAAGAGTGTTTCAAACCTGCTCTATGAAAGGGAATGTTCAATTCTGTGACTTGAATGCAAACATCACAAAGAAGTTCCTGAGAATGCTTCTGTCTAGATTTAATATGAAGATAACCCGTTTCCAACGAAATCCTCAAAGCTATCCAAATATCCACTGGCAGATTCTACAAAAAGAGTGTTTCAAAACTGCTCTGTCAAAAGGATGGTTCAACACTGTTACATGAGTACACACAACACAAAGAAGTTTCTGAGAACGCTTTCTTTCTGGTTTCTATGAGAAGATATTTCCTTTTTCACCATAGGACTCAAAGCGCTCGAAATGTCCTCTTCCAGGTAGTGCAGAAAGAGTGTTTCAAACCTGCTCTATGAAAGGAAGTGTTCAACTCCATGAGCTGAATGCAAACATCACTGAGAAGTTTCTGAGAATGCTTCTGTTTGATTTTATATGAAGAAATTCCCGTTTCCAACGAAATCTTCAAAGCTATCCACATATCCACCTGCAGATTCTTCAAAAGGAGTGTTTCCAAAATGCTGTATCAAAACCAAGGTTCAACTCTGTTAGTTGAGGACACACATCACAAATAAGTTTCTGAGAATGCTTCTGTCTAGATTTTATATGAAGATATCCCCTTTCCAACGAATCCCTCTAAGCTATCCAAATATCCACCTGCAGATTCTACAAAAAGAGTGTTTCCAAAATGCTGTATCAAAACAAAGTTTCAACTCTGTTAGTTGAGGACACACATCACAAATAAGTTTCTGAGAATGCTTCTGTCTAGTTTTTATTTGAAGATATCTCCTTTCTCACCATAGGCCTGAAAGCGCTTGAAATGTCCACTTCCAGATACTACAGAATGAGTGTTTCAAACCTGCTCTATAAAAGTGAATGTTCAATTCTGTGACTTCAATGCAAACATCACAAAGAAGTTCCTGAGAATGCTTCTCTCTAGATTTTATATGTAATCCCGCTTCCAACGAAATCCTCAATGCCATCCGAATATCCACTTTCTGATTCCACAAAAAGAGTGTTTTAAAACGGCTCTGTAAAAACAAAAGTTCAACTACTGTTAGTTGAATACACCCATCACAAACAAGTTTCTGAGAATGCTTCCGTCTAGTTTTTATGGGAAGATATTTCCTTTTTCACCATAGGCCTCAAAGCGCTCGAAATCTCCACTTCCAGGGAGTGCAGAAAGAGTGTTTCAAACCTGCTCTATAAAAGAATATTTAACTCTGTGACTTGAATGCAAACATCACAGAGCAGTTTCTGACAATGCTTCCGTCTAGATTTTTTATGAAGATATTCCCGTTTCCAACGAAATCTTCAAAGCTATCTAAATATCAACTTGCAGATTCTACTAAAGGAATGTTTCCAAAATGCTGTATCCAAACAAAGGTTCAACTCTGTGAATTGAGGACATACAGCACAAAGAAGTTTCTGAGAATGCTCCTGTCTGGATTTTATAGGAAGATAACCCGTTTCCAACGAAATCCTCAAAGCTATCCAAATATCCACTTGCAGATTCTACCAAAAGAGTGTTTCAAAACTACTCTGTCAAAAGGAAGGTTCAACACTGTTACTTGAGTACACACAACACAAAGAAGTTTCTGAGAATGCTTCTTTCTGGTTTTTATGAGAAGATATTTCCTTTTTCACCATAGGCCTCAAAGCGCTCGAAATGTCCGCTTCCAGGTAGTGCAGAAAGAGTGTTTCAAACCTGCTCTATGAAAGGAAGTGTTCAACTCTACTGAGTTGAATGCAAACATCACAGAGATGTTTCCGAGAATGCTTCTGTCTTGATTTTATATGAAGATATTCCGGTTTCCAACGAAATCTTCAAAGCTATCCAAATATCCACCTGCAGATTCTACAAAAGGAGTGTTTCCAAAATGCTGTATCAAAACAAAGGTTCAACTCTGTTAGTTGAGGACACACATCACAAATAAGTTTCTGAGAATGCTTCTGTCTAGTTTTTATTTGAAGGTATTTCCTTTCTCTCCATAGGCCTGAAAGCGCTTGAAATGCCCACTTCCAGATACTAGAGAAAGAGTGTTTCAAACCTGCTCTATGAAAGGGAATGTTCAATTCTGTGACTTGAATGCAAACATCACAAAGAAGTTCCTGAGAATGCTTCTCTCTAGATAATATATGTCATCCCGTTTCCAACGAAATCCTCAAAGCTATCCAAATATCCACTTGCAGATTCTACAAAAAGAGTGTTTCAAAACTCCTCTGTCAAAAGGATGGTTCAACACTGTTACATGAGTACACACAACACAAAGAAGTTTCTGAGAATGCTTCTTTCTGGTTTCTATGAGAAGATATTTCCTTTTTCACCATAGGACTCAAAGCGCTCGAAATGTCCTCTTCCAGGTAGTGCAGAAAGAGTGTTTCAAACCTGCTCTATGAAAGGAAGTGTACAACTCCATGAGCTGAATGCATACATCACTGGGAAGTTTCCTGAGAATGCTTCTGTTTGATTTTATATGAAGAAATTCCCGTTTCCAACGAAATCTTCAAAGCTATCCACATATCCACCTGCAGATTCTACAAAAGGAGTGTTTCCAAAATGCTGTATCAAAACCAAGGTTCAACTCTGTTAGTTGAGGACACACATCACAAATAAGTTTCTGAGAATGCTTCTGTCTAGATTTTATATGAAGATATCCCCTTTCCAACGAATCCCTCTAAGCTATCCAAATATCCACCTGCAGATTCTACAAAAAGAGTGTTTCCAAAATGCTGTATCAAAACAAAGTTTCCACTCTGTTAGTTGAGGACACACATCACAAATAAGTTTCTGAGGATGCTTCTGTCTAGTTTTTATTCGAAGATATTTCCTTTCTCACCATAGGCCTGAAAGCGCTTGAAATGTCCACTTCCAGATACTACAGAATGAGTGTTTCAAACCTGCTCTATCAAAGTGAATGTTCAATTCTGTG
This sequence comes from Homo sapiens, assembly GCF_000001405.40. Classification (NCBI taxonomy): domain Eukaryota; kingdom Metazoa; phylum Chordata; class Mammalia; order Primates; family Hominidae; genus Homo; species Homo sapiens. Next base: position 51,583,744 of record NC_000004.12, on the reverse strand, counting down.
ACTTCAATGCAAACATCACAAAGAAGTTCCTGAGAATGCTTCTCTCTAGATTTTATATGTAATCCCGCTTCCAACGAAATCCTCAGAGCCATCCGAATATCCACTTTCTGATTCCACAAAAAGAGTGTTTTAAAACGGCTCTGTAAAAACAAAAGTTCAACTCTGTTAGTTGAATACACACATCACAAACAAGTTTCTGAGAATGCTTCTGTCTAGTTTTTATGGGAAGATATTTCCTTTTTCACCATAGGCCTCAAAGCGCTCGAAATGTCCACTTCCAGATAGTGCAGAAAGAGTGTTTCAAACGTGCTCTATAAAAGAGAATATTCAACTCTGTGACTTGAATGGAAACATCACAAAGCAGTTTCTGAGAATGCCTCCCTCTAGATTTTATATGGAGATATTCCCTTTTCCAACGAAATCTTCAAATCTATCTAAATATCAACTTGCAGATTCTACTCAAGGAATGTTTCCAAAATGCTGTATCCAGGCAATGGTTCAACTCTGTTAATTGAGGACATACAGCACAAAGAAGTTTCTGAGAATGCTTCTGTCTAGATTTTATATGAAGATATCCCGTTTCCAACGAAATCCTCAAAGCTATCCAAATATCCACTTGCAGATTCTACAAAAAGATTGTTTCAAAACTGCTGTGTCAAGAGGAAGGTTCAACTCTGTTACTTGAGTACACACATCAAAAAGAAGTTTCTGAGAATGCTTGTTTCTGGTTTTTATGAGAAGATATTTCCTTTTTCACCATAGGCCTCAAAGCGCTGCAAATGTCCACTTCCAAATATTACAAAAAGAGTGTTTCAAACCTGCTCTATGAAAGGAAGTTTTCAACTCTATGAGTGGAATGCAAACATCACAGAGAAGTTTCTGAGAATGCATCTGTCTTGAGTTTATATGAAGAAATTCCCGTTTCCAACGAAATCTTAAAATCTATCCACATATCCACCTGCAGATTCTACAAAGGGAGTGTTTCCAAAATGCTGTATCAAAACAAAGGTTCAACTGTGTTCGTTGAGGACACACATCACCAATAAGTTTCTGAGAATCCTTCTGTCTAGTTTTTATTTGAAGATATTTCCTTTCTCCCCATAGGCCTGAAAGCGCTTGAAATGTCCACTTCCAGATACTACAGAAAGAGTGTTTCAAACCTGCACTGTGAAAAGGAATGTTCAATTCTGTGACTTGAATGCAAACATCAGAAAGAAGTTCCTGAGAATGCTTCTCTCTAGATTTTATACGTCATCCCGTTTCCAACGAAATCCACGAAGCTATCCAATTATCCACTTTCAGATTCCACAAAAGAGTGTTTTAAAACTGCTCTGTAAAAAGAAATGTTCAACGCTCTTAGTTGAATACACACATCTCAAACAAGTTTCTGAGAAGGCTTCTGTCTAGTTTTTATGGGAAGATATTTCCTTTTAACCATAGGCCTCAAAGAGCTCGAAATATCCACTTCCAGGTAGTGCCGAAAGAGTGTTTCAAACCTACTCTATAAAAGGGAATATTCAACTCTGTGACTTGAATGCAAACATCACAAAGCAGTTTCTGAGAATGCTTCCGTCTAGATTTTCTATGAAGATATTCCCGTTTCCAACGAAATCTTCAAAGCTATCTAAATATCAACTTGCAGATTCTACTAAAGGAATGTCTCCAAAATGCTGTATCCAAACAAAGGTTCAGCTCTGTGAATTGAGGACATACAGCACAAAGAAGTTTCTGAGAATGCTCCTGTCTGGATTTTATAGGAAGATAACCCGTTTCCAACGAAATCCTCAAAGCTATCCAAATATCCACTTGCAGATTCTACCAAAAGAGTGTTTCAAAACTGCTCTGTCAAAAGGAAGGTTCAACACTGTGACTTGAATGCAAACATCACAAAGAAGTTCCTGAGAATGCTTCTTTCTGGTTTTTATGAGAAGATATTTCCTTTTTCACCATAGGCCTCAAAGCGCTCGAAATGTCCGCTTCCAGGTAGTGCAGAAAGAGTGTTTCAAACCTGCTCTATGAAAGGAAGTGTTCAACTCTACTGAGTTGAATGCAAACATCACAGAGATGTTTCCGAGAATGCTTCTGTCTTGATTTTATATGAAGATATTCCGGTTTCCAACGAAATCTTCAAAGCTATCCAAATATCCACCTGCAGATTCTACAAAAGGAGTGTTTCCAAAATGCTGTATCAAAACAAAGGTTCAACTCTGTTAGTTGAGGACACACATCACAAATAAGTTTCTGAGAATGCTTCTGTCTAGTTTTTATTTGAAGGTATTTCCTTTCTCTCCATAGGCCTGAAAGCGCTTGAAATGCCCACTTCCAGATACTAGAGAAAGAGTGTTTCAAACCTGCTCTATGAAAGGGAATGTTCAATTCTGTGACTTGAATGCAAACATCACAAAGAAGTTCCTGAGAATGCTTCTCTCTAGATATTATATGTCATCCCGTTTCCAACGAAATCCTCAAAGCTATCCAAATATCCACTTGCAGATTCTACAAAAAGAGTGTTTCAAAACTGCTCTGTCAAAAGGATGGTTCAACACTGTTACATGAGTACACACAACACAAAGAAGTTTCTGAGAATGCTTCTTTCTGGTTTATATGAGAAGATATTTCCTTTTTCACCATAGGACTCAAAGCGCTCGAAATGTCCTCTTCCAGGTAGTGCAGAAAGAGTGTTTCAAACCGGCTCTATGAAGGGAAGTGTTCAACTCCATGAACTGAATGCAAACATCACTGAGAAGTTTCTGAGAATGCTTCTGTTTGATTTTATATGAAGAAATTCCCGTTTCCAACGAAATCTTCAGAGCTATCCACATATCCACCTGCAGATTCTACAAAAGGAGTGTTTCCAAAATGCTGTATCAAAACCAAAGTTCAACTCTGTTAGTTGAGGACACACATCACAAATAAGTTTCTGAGAATGCTTCTGTCTAGATTTTATATGAAGATATCCCCTTTCCAACGAATCCCTCTAAGCTATCCAAATATCCACCTGCAGATTCTACAAAAAGAGTGTTTCCAAAATGTGGTAGCAAAACAAAGTTTCAACTCTGTTAGTTGAGGACACACATCACAAATAAGTTTCTGAGGATGCTTCTGTCTAGTTTTTATTCAAAGATATTTCCTTTCTCACCATAGGCCTGAAAGCGCTTGAAATGTCCACTTCCAGATCCTACAGAATGAGTGTTTCAAACCTGCTCTATCAAAGTGAATGTTCAATTCTGTGACTTCAATGCAAACATCACAAAGAAGTTCCTGAGAATGCTTCTCTCTAGATTTTATATGTAATCCCGCTTCCAACGAAATCCTCAGAGCCATCCGAATATCCACTTTCTGATTCCACAAAAAGAGTGTTTTAAAACGGCTCTGTAAAAACAAAAGTTCAACTCTGTTAGTTGAATACACACATCACAAACAAGTTTCTGAGAATGCTTCTGTCTAGTTTTTATGGGAAGATATTTCCTTTTTCACCATAGGCCTCAAAGCGCTCGAAATGTCCGCTTCCAGATAGTGCAGAAAGAGTGTTTCAAACGTGCTCTATAAAAGGGAATATTCAACTCTGTGACTTGAATGGAAACATCACAAAGCAGTTTCTGAGAATGCTTCCCTCTAGATTTTATATGGAGATATTCCCTTTTCCAACGAAATCTTCAAATCTATCTAAATATCAACTTGCAGATTCTACTCAAGGAATGTTTCCAAAATGCTGTATCCAGGCAATGGTTCAACTCTGTTAATTGAGGACATACAGCACAAAGAAGTTTCTGAGAATGCTTCTGTCTAGATTTTATATGAAGATATCCCGTTTCCAACGAAATCCTCAAAGCTATCCAAATATCCACTTGCAGATTCTACAAAAAGATTGTTTCAAAACTGCTGTGTCAAAAGGAAGGTTCAACTCTGTTACTTGAGTACACACATCAAAAAGAAGTTTCTGAGAATGCTTGTTTCTGGTTTTTATGAGAAGATATTTCCTTTTTCACCATAGGCCTCAAAGCACTGCAAATGTCCACTTCCAAATATTACAAAAAGAGTGTTTCAAACCTGCTCTATGAAAGGAAGTTTTCAACTCTGTGAGTGGAATGCAAACATCACAGAGAAGTTTCTGAGAATGCATCTGTCTTGAGCTTCTATGAAGAAATTCCCGTTTCCAACGAAATCTTAAAATCTATCCAAATATCCACCTGCAGATCCTACAAAAGGAGTGTTTCCAAAATGCTGTATCAAAACAAAGGTTCAACTGTGTTCGTTTAGGACACACATCACAAATAAGTTTCTGAGAATCCTTCTCTCTAGTTTTTATTTGAAGATATTTCCTTTCTCCCCGTAGGCCTGAAAGCGCTTGAAATGTCCACTTCCAGATACTACAGAAAGAGTGTTTCAAACCTGCACTCTGAAAAGGAATGTTCAATTCTGTGACTTGAATGCAAACATCAGAAAGAAGTTCCTGAGAATGCTTCTCTCTAGATTTTATACGTCATCCCGTTTCCAACGAAATCCACAAAGCTATCCAATTATCCACTTTCAGATTCCACAAAGAGTGTTTTAAAATTGCTCTGTAACAGAAATGTTCAACTCTGTTAGTTGAATACACACATCACAAACAAGTTTCTGAGACGGCTTCTGTCTAGTTTTTATGGGAAGATATTTCCTTTTAACCATAGGCCTCAAAGAGCTCGAAATATCCACTTCCAGGTAGTGCCGAAAGAGTGTTTCAAACCTACTCTATAAAAGGGAATATTCAACTCTGTGACTTGAATGCAAACATCACAAAGCAGTTTCTGAGAATGCTTCCGTCTAGATTTTCTATGAAGATATTCCCGTTTCCAACGAAATCTTCAAAGCTATCTAAATATCAACTTGCAGATTCTACTAAAGGAATGTCTCCAAAATGCTGTATCCAAACAAAGGTTCAGCTCTGTGAATTGAGGACATACAGCACAAAGAAGTTTCTGAGAATGCTCCTGTCTGGATTTTATATGAAGATAACCCGTTTCCAACGAATTCCTCAAAGCTATCCAAATATCCACTTGCAGATTCTACCAAAAGAGTGTTTCAAAACTGCTCTGTCAAAAGGAAGGTTCAACACTGTTACTTGAGTACACACAACACAAAGAAGTTTCTGAGAATGCTTCTTTCTGGTTTTTATGAGAAGATATTTCCTTTTTCACCATAGGCCTCAAAGCGCTCGAAATGTCCGCTTCCAGGTAGTGCAGAAAGAGTGTTTCAAACCTGCTCTATGAAAGGAAGTGTTCAACTCTACTGAGTTGAATGCAAACATCACAGAGATGTTTCCGAGAATGCTTCTGTCTTGATTTTATATGAAGATATTCCGGTTTCCAACGAAATCTTCAAAGCTATCCAAATATCCACCTGCAGATTCTACAAAAGGAGTGTTTCCAAAATGCTGTATCAAAACAAAGGTTCAACTCTGTTAGTTGAGGACACACATCACAAATAAGTTTCTGAGAATGCTTCTGTCTAGTTTTTATTTGAAGGTACTTCCTTTCTCTCCATAGGCCTGAAAGCGCTTGAAATGCCCACTTCCAGATACTAGAGAAAGTGTTTCAAACCTGCTCTATGAAAGGGAATGTTCAATTCTGTGACTTGAATGCAAACATCACAAAGAAGTTCCTGAGAATGCTTCTCTCTAGATATTATATGTCATCCCGTTTCCAACGAAATCCTCAAAGCTATCCAAATATCCACTTGCAGATTCTACAAAAAGAGTGTTTCAAAACTGCTCTGTCAAAAGGATGGTTCAACACTGTTACATGAGTACACACAACACAAAGAAGTTTCTGAGAATGCTTCTTTCTGGTTTTTATGAGAAGATATTTCCTTTTTCACCATAGGCCTCAAAGCGCTCGAAATGTCCGCTTCCAGGTAGTGCAGAAAGAGTGTTTCAAACCGGCTCTATGAAAGGAAGTGTTCAAATCCATGAGCTGAATGCAAAGATCACTGAGAAGTTTCTGAGAATGCTTCTGTTTGATTTTATATGAAGAAATTCCCGTTTCCAACGAAATCTTCAGAGCTATCCACATATCCACCTGCAGATTCTACAAAAGGAGTGTTTCCAAAATGCTGTATCAAAACCAAGGTTCAACTCTGTTAGTTGAGGACACACATCACAAATAAGTTTCTGAGAATGCTTCTGTCTAGATTTTATATGAAGATATCCCCTTTCCAACGAATCCCTCTAAGCTATCCAAATATCCACCTGCAGATTCTACAAAAAGAGTGTTTCCAAAATGCTGTATCAAAACAAAGTTTCAACTCTGTTAGTTGAGGACACACATCACAAATAAGTTTGAGGATGCTTCTGTCTAGTTTTTATTCGAAGATATTTCCTTTCTCACCATAGGCCTGAAAGCGCTTGAAATGTCCACTTCCAGATCCTACAGAATGAGTGTTTCAAACCTGCTCTATCAAAGTGAATGTTCAATTCTGTGACTTCAATGCAAACATCACAAAGAAGTTCCTGAGAATGCTTCTCTCTAGATTTTATACGTAATCCCGCTTCCAACGAAATCCTCAGAGCCATCCGAATATCCACTTTCTGATTCCACAAAAAGAGTGTTTTAAAACGGCTCTGTAAAAACAAAAGTTCAACTCTGTTAGTTGAATACACACATCACAAACAAGTTTCTGAGAATGCTTCCGTCTAGTTTTTATGGGAAGATATTTCCTTTTTCACCATAGGCCTCAAAGCGCTCGAAATCTCCACTTTCAGGGATTGCAGAAAGAGTGTTTCAAACCTGCTCTGTAAAAGAATATTTAACTCTGTGACTTGAATGCAAACATCACAAAGCAGTTTCTGACAATGCTTCCCTCTAGATTTTATATGGAGATATTCCGTTTTCGAACGAAATCTTCAAATCTATCTAAATATCAACTTGCAGATTCTACTCAAGGAATGTTTCCAAAATGCTGTATGCAAGCAATGGTTCAACTCTGTTAATTGAGGTCATACAGCACAAAGAAGTTTCTGAGAATGCTTCTGTCTAGATTTTATATGAAGATATCCCGTTTCCAACGAAATCCTCAAAGCTATCCAAATATCCACTTGCAGATTCTACAAAAAGATTGTTTCAAAACTGCTGTGTCAAGAGGAAGGTTCAACTCTGTTACTTGAGTACACACATCAAAAAGAAGTTTCTGAGAATGCTTGTTTCTGGTTTTTATGAGAAGATATTTCCTTTTTCACCATAGGCCTCAAAGCGCTGCAAATGTCCACTTCCAAATATTACAAAAAGAGTGTTTCAAACCTGCTCTATGAAAGGAAGTTTTCAACTCTATGAGTGGAATGCAAACATCACAGAGAAGTTTCTGAGAATGCATCTGTCTTGAGTTTATATGAAGAAATTCCCGTTTCCAACGAAATCTTAAAATCTATCCAAATATCCACCTGCAGATTCTACAAAGGGAGTTTTTCCAAAATGCTGTATCAAAACAAAGGTTCAACTGTGTTCGTTTAGGACACACATCACCAATAAGTTTCTGAGAATCCTTCTGTCTAGTTTTTATTTGAAGATATTTCCTTTCTCCCCGTAGGCCTGAAAGCGCTTGAAATGTCCACTTCCAGATACTACAGAAAGAGTGTTTCAAACCTGCACTCTGAAAAGGAATGTTCAATTCTGTGACTTGAATGCAAACATCAGAAAGAAGTTCCTGAGAATGCTTCTCTCTAGATTTTATACGTCATCCCGTTTCCAACGAAATCCACAAAGCTATCCAATTATCCACTTTCAGATTCCACAAAAAGAGTGTTTTAAATTGCTCTGTAACAGAAATGTTCAACTCTGTTAGTTGAATACACACATCACAAACAAGTTTCTGAGACGGCTTCTGTCTAGTTTTTATGGGAAGATATTTCCTTTTAACCATAGGCCTCAAAGAGCTCGAAATATCCACTTCCAGGTAGTGCCGAAAGAGTGTTTCAAACCTACTCTATAAAAGGGAATATTCAACTCTGTGACTTGAATGCAAACATCACAAAGCAGTTTCTGAGAATGCTTCCGTCTAGATTTTCTATGAAGATATTCCCGTTTCCAACGAAATCTTCAAAGCTATCTAAATATCAACTTGCAGATTCTACTAAAGGAATGTCTCCAAAATGCTGTATCCAAACAAAGGTTCAGCTCTGTGAATTGAGGACATACAGCACAAAGAAGTTTCTGAGAATGCTCCTGTCTGGATTTTATATGAAGATAACCCGTTTCCAACGAATTCCTCAAAGCTATCCAAATATCCACTTGCAGATTCTACCAAAAGAGTGTTTCAAAACTGCTCTGTCAAAAGGAAGGTTCAACACTGTTACTTGAGTACACACAACACAAAGAAGTTTCTGAGAATGCTTCTTTCTGGTTTTTATGAGAAGATATTTCCTTTTTCACCATAGGCCTCAAAGCGCTCGAAATGTCCGCTTCCAGGTAGTGCAGAAAGAGTGTTTCAAACCTGCTCTATGAAAGGAAGTGTTCAACTCTACTGAGTTGAATGCAAACATCACAGAGATGTTTCCGAGAATGCTTCTGTCTTGATTTTATATGAAGATATTCCGGTTTCCAACGAAATCTTCAAAGCTATCCAAATATCCACCTGCAGATTCTACAAAAGGAGTGTTTCCAAAATGCTGTATCAAAACAAAGGTTCAACTCTGTTAGTTGAGGACACACATCACAAATAAGTTTCTGAGAATGCTTCTGTCTAGTTTTTATTTGAAGGTATTTCCTTTCTCTCCATAGGCCTGAAAGCGCTTGAAATGCCCACTTCCAGATACTAGAGAAAGAGTGTTTCAAACCTGCTCTATGAAAGGGAATGTTCAATTCTGTGACTTGAATGCAAACATCACAAAGAAGTTCCTGAGAATGCTTCTCTCTAGATATTATATGTCATCCCGTTTCCAACGAAATCCTCAAAGCTATCCAAATATCCACTTGCAGATTCTACAAAAAGAGTGTTTCAAAACTGCTCTGTCAAAAGGATGGTTCAACACTGTTACATGAGTACACACAACACAAAGAAGTTTCTGAGAATGCTTCTTTCTGGTTTCTATGAGAAGATATTTCCTTTTTCACCATAGGACTCAAAGCGCTCGAAATGTCCTCTTCCAGGTAGTGCAGAAAGAGTGTTTCAAACCTGCTCTATGAAAGGAAGTGTTCAACTCCATGAGCTGAATGCAAACATCACTGAGAAGTTTCTGAGAATGCTTCTGTTTGATTTTATATGAAGAAATTCCCGTTTCCAACGAAATCTTCAGAGCTATCCACATATCCACCTGCAGATTCTACAAAAGGAGTGTTTCCAAAATGCTGTATCAAAACCAAAGTTCAACTCTGTTAGTTGAGGACACACATCACAAATAAGTTTCTGAGAATGCTTCTGTCTAGATTTTATATGAAGATATCCCCTTTCCAACGAATCCCTCTAAGCTATCCAAATATCCACCTGCAGATTCTACAAAAAGAGTGTTTCCAAAATGCTGTATCAAAACAAAGTTTCAACTCTGTTAGTTGAGGACACACATCACAAATAAGTTTCTGAGGATGCTTCTGTCTAGTTTTTATTCGAAGATATTTCCTTTCTCACCATAGGCCTGAAAGCGCTTGAAATGTCCACTTCCAGATACTACAGAATGAGTGTTTCAAACCTGCTCTATCAAAGTGAATGTTCAATTCTGTGACTTCAATGCAAACATCAGAAAGAAGTTTCTGAGAATGCTTCTCTCTAGATTTTATACGTAATCCCGCTTCCAACGAAATCCTCAGAGCCATCCGAATATCCACTTTCTGATTCCACAAAAAGAGTGTTTTAAAACGGCTCTGTAAAAACAAAAGTTCAACTCTGTTAGTTGAATACACACATCATAAACAAGTTTCTGAGAATGCTTCTGTCTAGTTTTTATGGGAAGATATTTCCTTTTTCACCATAGGCCTCAAAGCGCTGCAAATGTCCACTTCCAAATATTACAAAAAGAGTGTTTCAAACCTGCTCTATGAAAGGGAATATTCAACTCTGTGACTTGAATGGAAACATCACAAAGCAGTTTCTGAGAATGCTTCCCTCTAGATTTTATATGGAGATATTCCGTTTTCGAACGAAATCTTCAAATCTATCTAAATATCAACTTGCAGATTCTACTCAAGGAATGTTTCCAAAATGCTGTATGCAAGCAATGGTTCAACTCTGTTAATTGAGGTCATACAGCACAAAGAAGTTTCTGAGAATGCTTCTGTCTAGATTTTATATGAAGATATCCCGTTTCCAACGAAATCCTCAAAGCTATCCAAATATCCACTTGCAGATTCTACAAAAAGATTGTTTCAAAACTGCTGTGTCAAGAGGAAGGTTCAACTCTGTTACTTGAGTACACACATCAAAAAGAAGTTTCTGAGAATGCTTGTTTCTGGTTTTTATGAGAAGATATTTCCTTTTTCACCATAGGCCTCAAAGCGCTGCAAATGTCCACTTCCAAATATTACAAAAAGAGTGTTTCAAACCTGCTCTATGAAAGGAAGTTTTCAACTCTATGAGTGGAATGCAAACATCACAGAGAAGTTTCTGAGAATGCATCTGTCTTGAGTTTATATGCAGAAATTCCCGTTTCCAACGAAATCTTAAAATCTATCCAAATATCCACCTGCAGATCCTACAAAAGGAGTGTTTCCAAAATGCTGTATCAAAACAAAGGTTCAACTGTGTTCGTTTAGGACACACATCACAAATAAGTTTCTGAGAATCCTTCTGTCTAGTTTTTATTTGAAGATATTTCCTTTCTCCCCGTAGGCCTGAAAGCGCTTGAAATGTCCACTTCCAGATACTACAGAAAGAGTGTTTCAAACCTGCACTCTGAAAAGGAATGTTCAATTCTGTGACTTGAATGCAAACATCAGAAAGAAGTTCCTGAGAATGCTTCTCTCTAGATTTTATACGTCATCCTGTTTCCAACGAAATCCACAAAGCTATCCAATTATCCACTTTCAGATTCCACAAAGAGTGTTTTAAAATTGCTCTGTAACAGAAATGTTCAACTCTGTTAGTTGAATACACAGATCACAAACAAGTTTCTGAGACGGCTTCTGTCTAGTTTTTATGGGAAGATATTTCCTTTTAACCATAGGCCTCAAAGAGCTCGAAATATCCACTTCCAGGTAGTGCCGAAAGAGTGTTTCAAACCTACTCTATAAAAGGGAATATTCAACTCTGTGACTTGAATGCAAACATCACAAAGCAGTTTCTGAGAATGCTTCCGTCTAGATTTTCTATGAAGATATTCCCGTTTCCAATGAAATCTTCAAAGCTATCTAAATATCAACTTGCAGATTCTACTAAAGGAATGTTTCCACAATGCTGTATCCAAACAAAGGTTCAGCTCTGTGAATTGAGGACATACAGCACAAAGAAGTTTCTGTGAATGCTCCTGTCTGGATTTTATATGAAGATAACCCGTTTCCAACGAAATCCTCAAAGCTATCCAAATATCCACTTGCAGATTCTACCAAAAGAGTGTTTCAAAACTGCTCTGTCAAAAGGAAGGTTCAACACTGTTACTTGAGTACACACAACACAAAGAAGTTTCTGAGAATGCTTCTTTCTGGTTTTTATGAGAAGATATTTCCTTTTTCACCATAGGCCTCAAAGCGCTCGAAATGTCCGCTTCCAGGTAGTGCAGAAAGAGTGTTTCAAACCTGCTCTATGAAAGGAAGTGTTCAACTCTACTGAGTTGAATGCAAACATCACAGAGATGTTTCCGAGAATGCTTCTCTCTTGATTTTATATGAAGATATTCCGGTTTCCAACGAAATCTTCAAAGCTATCCAAATATCCACCTGCAGATTCTACAAAAGGAGTGTTTCCAAAATGCTGTATCAAAACCAAGGTTCAACTCTGTTAGTTGAGGACACACATCACAAATAAGTTTCAGAGAATGCTTCTGTCTAGATTTTATATGAAGATATCCCCTTTCCAACGAATCCCTCTAAGCTATCCAAATATCCACCTGCAGATTCTACAAAAAGAGTGTTCTCAAAAGGCTGTATCAAAACAAAGTTTCAACCCTGTTAGTTGAGGACACACATCACAAATAAGTTTCTGACGATGCTTCTCTCTAGATATTATATGTCATCCCGTTTCCAACGAAATCCTCAAAGCTATCCAAATATCCACTTGCAGATTCTACAAAAAGAGTGTTTCAAAACTCCTCTGTCAAAAGGATGGTTCAACACTGTTACATGAGTACACACAACACAAAGAAGTTTCTGAGAATGCTTCTTTCTGGTTTTTATGAGAAGATATTTCCTTTTTCACCATAGGCCTCAAAGCGCTCGAAATGTCCACTTCCTGGTAGTGCAGAAAGAGTGTTTCAAACCTGCTCTATGAAAGGAAGTGTTCAACTCCATGAGCTGAATGCAAACATCACAGAGAAGTTTCTGAGAATGCTTCTGTTTGATTTTGTATGAAGAAATTCCCGTTTCCAACGAAATCTTCAAAGCTATCCACATATCCACCTGCAGATTCCACAAAAGGAGTGTTTCCAAAATGCTGTATCAAAACCAAGGTTCCACTCTGTTAGTTGAGGACACACATCACAAATAAGTTTCTGAGAATGCTTCTGTCTAGATTTTATATGAAGATATCCCCTTTCCAACGAATCCCTCTAAGCTATCCAAATATCCACCTGCAGATTCTACAAAAAGAGTGTTTCCAAAATGCTGTATCAAAACAAAGTTTCAACTCTGTTACTTGAGGACACACATCACAAATAAGTTTCTGAGGATGCTTCTCTCTAGTTTTTATTTGAAGATATTTCCTTTCTCCCCATAGGCCTGAAAGCGCTTGAATTGTCCGCTTCCAGATACTACAGAATGAGTGTTTCAAACCTGCTCTATCAAAGTGAATGTTCAATTCTGTGACTTCAATACAAACATCACAAAGTAGTTCCTGAGAATGCTTCTCTCTAGATTTTATACGTAATCCCGCTTCCAACGAAATCCTCAGAGCCATCTGAATATCCACTTTCTGATTCCACAAAAAGAGTGTTTTAAAACGGCTCTGTAAAAACAAAAGTTCAACTCTGTTAGTTGAATACACACATCACAAACAAGTTTCTGAGAATGCTTCTGTCTAGTTTTTATGGGAAGATATTTCCTTTTTCACCATAGGCCTCAAAGCGCTCGAAATGTCCACTTCCAGATAGTGCAGAAAGAGTGTTTCAAACGTGCTCTATAAAAGAGAATATTCAACTCCGTGACTTGAATGGGAACGTCACAAAGCAGTTTCTGAGAATGCTTCCGTCTAGATTTTATATGAAGATATTCCCGTTTCCAACGAAATCTTGAAAGCTATCTACATATCAACTTGCAGATTCTACTCAAGGAATGTTTCCAAAATGCTGTATCCAAGCCATGGTTCAACTCTGTTAATTGAGGACATACAGCACAAAGAAGTTTCTGAGAATGCTTCTGTCTAGATTTTATATGAAGATATCCCGTTTCCAACGAAATCCTCAAAGCTATCCAAATATCCACTTGCAGATTCTACAAAAAGATTGTTTCAAAACTGCTGTGTCAAAAGGAAGGTTCAACTCTGTTACTTGAGTACACACATCAAAAAGAAGTTTCTGAGAATGCTTGTTTCTGGTTTTTATGAGAAGATATTTCCTTTTTCACCATAGGCCTCAAAGCGCTGCAAATGTCCACTTCCAAATATTACAAAAAGAGTGTTTCAAACCTGCTCTATGAAAGGAAGTTTTCAACTCTATGAGTGGAATGCAAACATCACAGAGAAGTTTCTGAGAATGCATCTGTCTTGAGCTTCTATGAAGAAATTCCCGTTTCCAACGAAATCTTAAAATCTATCCAAATATCCACCTGCAGATCCTACAAAAGGAGTGTTTCCAAAATGCTGTATCAAAACAAAGGTTCAACTGTGTTCGTTTAGGACACACATCACAAATAAGTTTCTGAGAATCCTTCTGTCTAGTTTTTATTTCAAGATATTTCCTTTCTCCCCATAGGCCTGAAAGCGCTTGAAATGTCCACTTCCAGATACTACAGAGTGTTTCAAACCTGCACTATGAAAAGGAATGTTCAATTCTGTGACTTGAATGCAAACATCAGAAAGAAGTTCCTGAGAATGCTTCTCTCTAGATTTTATACGTAATCCCGTTTCCAACGAAATCCACAAAGCTATCCAATTATCCACTTTCAGATTCCACAAAAAGAGTGTTTTAAAACTGCTCTGTAGAAAGAAATGTTCAACGCTCTTAGTTGAATACACACATCTCAAACAAGTTTCTGAGAAGGCTTCTGTCTAGTTTTTATGGGAAGATATTTCCTTTTAACCATAGGCCTCAAAGAGCTCGAAATATCCACTTCCAGGTAGTGCCGAAAGAGTGTTTCAAACCTACTCTATAAAAGGGAATATTCAACTCTGTGACTTGAATGCAAACATCACAAAGCAGTTTCTGAGAATGCTTCCGTCTAGATTTTCTATGAAGATATTCCCGTTTCCAACGAAATCTTCAAAGCTATCTAAATATCAACTTGCAGATTCTACTAAAGGAATGTCTCCAAAATGCTGTATCCAAACAAAGGTTCAGCTCTGTGAATTGAGGACATACAGCACAAAGAAGTTTCTGAGAATGCTCCTGTCTGGATTTTATATGAAGATAACCCGTTTCCAACGAAATCCTCAAAGCTCTCCAAATATCCACTTGCAGATTCTACCAAAAGAGTGTTTCAAAACTGCTCTGTCAAAAGGAAGGTTCAACACTGTTACTTGAGTACACACAACACAAAGAAGTTTCTGAGAATGCTTCTTTCTGGTTTTTATGAGAAGATATTTCCTTTTTCACCATAGGCCTCAAAGCGCTCGAAATGTCCGCTTCCAGGTAGTGCAGAAAGAGTGTTTCAAACCTGCTCTATGAAAGGAAGTGTTCAACTCTACTGAGTTGAATGCAAACATCACAGAGATGTTTCCGAGAATGCTTCTGTCTTGATTTTATATGAAGATATTCCGGTTTCCAACGAAATCTTCAAAGCTATCCAAATATCCACCTGCAGATTCTACAAAAGGAGTGTTTCCAAAATGCTGTATCAAAACAAAGGTTCAACTCTGTTAGTTGAGGACACACATCACAAATAAGTTTCTGAGAATGCTTCTGTCTAGTTTTTATTTGAAGGTATTTCCTTTCTCTCCATAGGCCTGAAAGCGCTTGAAATGCCCACTTCCAGATACTAGAGAAAGAGTGTTTCAAACCTGCTCTATGAAAGGGAATGTTCAATTCTGTGACTTGAATGCAAACATCACAAAGAAGTTCCTGAGAATGCTTCTGTCTAGATTTAATATGAAGATAACCCGTTTCCAACGAAATCCTCAAAGCTATCCAAATATCCACTTGCAGATTCTACAAAAAGAGTGTTTCAAAACTGCTCTGTCAAAAGGATGGTTCAACACTGTTACATGAGTACACACAACACAAAGAAGTTTCTGAGAACGCTTCTTTCTGGTTTCTATGAGAAGATATTTCCTTTTTCACCATAGGACTCAAAGCGCTCGAAATGTCCTCTTCCAGGTAGTGCAGAAAGAGTGTTTCAAACCTGCTCTATGAAAGGAAGTGTTCAACTCCATGAGCTGAATGCAAACATCACTGAGAAGTTTCTGAGAATGCTTCTGTTTGATTTTATATGAAGAAATTCCCGTTTCCAACGAAATCTTCAGAGCTATCCACATATCCACATGCAGATTCTACAAAAGGAGTGTTTCCAAAATGCTGTATCAAAACCAAGGTTCAACTCTGTTAGTTGAGGACACACATCACAAATAAGTTTCTGAGAATGCTTCTGTCTAGATTTTATATGAAGATATCCCCTTTCCAACGAATCCCTCTAAGCTATCCAAATATCCACCTGCAGATTCTACAAAAAGAGTGTTTCCAAAATGCTGTATCAAAACAAAGTTTCAACTCTGTTAGTTGAGGACACACATCACAAATAAGTTTCTGAGGATGCTTCTGTCTAGTTTCTATTTGAAGATATTTCCTTTCTCCCCATAGGCCTGAAAGCGCTTGAATTGTCGGCTTCCAGATACTACAGAATGAGTGTTTCAAACCTGCTCTATCAAAGTGAATGTTCAATTCTGTGACTTCAATGCAAACATCACAAAGTAGTTCCTGAGAATGCTTCTCTCTAGATTTTATACGTAATCCCGCTTCCAACGAAATCCTCAGAGCCATCCGAATATCCACTTTCTGATTCCACAAAAAGAGTGTTTTAAAACGGCTCTGTAAAAACAAAAGTTCAACTCTGTTAGTTGAATACACACATCACAAACAAGTTTCTGAGAATGCTTCTGTCTAGTTTTTATGGGAAGATATTTCCTTTTTCACCATAGGCCTCACAGCGCTCGAAATGTCCACTTCCAGATAGTGCAGAAAGAGTGTTTCAAACGTGCTCTATAAAAGAGAATATTCAACTCTGTGACTAGAATGGAAACATCACAAAGCAGTTTCTGAGAATGCTTCCCTCTAGATTTTATATGGAGATATTCCCTTTTCCAACGAAATCTTCAAATCTATCTAAATATCAACTTGCAGATTCTACTCAAGGAATGTTTCCAAAATGCTGTATGCAAGCAATGGTTCAACTCTGTTAATTGAGGTCATACAGCACAAAGAAGTTTCTGAGAATGCTTCTGTCTAGATTTTATATGAAGATATCCCGTTTCCAACGAAATCCTCAAAGCTATCCAAATATCCACTTGCAGATTCTACAAAAAGATTGTTTCAAAACTGCTGTGTCAAAAGGAAGGTTCAACTCTGTTACTTGAGTACACACATCAAAAAGCAGTTTCTGAGAATGCTTGTTTCTGGTTTTTATGAGAAGATATTTCCTTTTTCACCATAGGCCTCAAAGCGCTGCAAATGTCCACTTCCAAATATTACAAAAAGAGTGTTTCAAACCTGCTCTATGAAAGGAAGTTTTCAACTCTATGAGTGGAATGCAAACATCACAGAGAAGTTTCTGAGAATGCATCTGTCTTGAGTTTATATGAAGAAATTCCCGTTTCCAATGAAATCTTAAAATCTATCCAAATATCCACCTGCAGATTCTACAAAAGAGTGCTTCCAAAATGCTATATCAAAACAAAGGTTCAACTGTGTTCGTTGAGAACACACATCACAAATAAGTTTCTGAGAATCCTTCTGTCTAGTTTTTATTTGAAGATATTTCCTTTCTCCCCGTAGGCCTGAAAGCGCTTGAAATGTCCACTTCCAGATACTACAGAAAGAGTGTTTCAAACCTGCACTCTGAAAAGGAATGTTCAATTCTGTGACTTGAATGCAAACATCAGAAAGAAGTTCCTGAAAATGCTTCTCTCTAGATTTTATACGTCATCCCGTTTCCAACGAAATCCACAAAGCTATCCAATTATCCACTTTCAGATTCCACAAAAAGAGTGTTTTAAATTGCTCTGTAACAGAAATGTTCAACTCTGTTAGTTGAATACACACATCACAAACAAGTTTCTGAGACGGCTTCTGTCTAGTTTTTATGGGAAGATATTTCCTTTTAACCATAGGCCTCAAAGAGCTCGAAATATCCACTTCCAGGTAGTGCCGAAAGAGTGTTTCAAACCTACTCTATAAAAGGGAATATTCAACTCTGTGACTTGAATGCAAACATCACAAAGCAGTTTCTGAGAATGCTTCCGTCTAGATTTTCTATGAAGATATTCCCGTTTCCAACGAAATCTTCAAAGCTATCTAAATATCAACTTGCAGATTCTACTAAAGGAATGTCTCCAAAATGCTGTATCCAAACAAAGGTTCAGCTCTGTGAATTGAGGACATACAGCACAAAGAAGTTTCTGAGAATGCTCCTGTCTGGATTTTATAGGAAGATAACCCGTTTCCAACGAAATCCTCAAAGCTATCCAAATATCCACTTGCAGATTCTACCAAAAGAGTGTTTCAAAACTGCTCTGTCAAAAGGAAGGTTCAACACTGTTACTTGAGTACACACAACACAAAGAAGTTTCTGAGAATGCTTCTTTCTGGTTTTTATGAGAAGATATTTCCTTTTTCACCATAGGCCTCAAAGCGCTCGAAATGTCCGCTTCCAGGTAGTGCAGAAAGAGTGTTTCAAACCTGCTCTATGAAAGGAAGTGTTCAACTCCATGAGCTGAATGCAAACATCACAGAGAAGTTTCTGAGAATGCTTCTGTCTTGATTTTATATGAAGATATTCCGGTTTCCAACGAAATCTTCAAAGCTATCCAAATATCCACCTGCAGATTCTACAAAAGGAGTGTTTCCAAAATGCTGTATCAAAACAAAGGTTCAACTCTGTTAGTTGAGGACACACATCACAAATAAGTTTCTGAGAATGCTTCTGTCTAGTTTTTATTTGAAGGTATTTCCTTTCTCTCCATAGGCCTCAAAGCGCTTGAAATGCCCACTTCCAGATACTAGAGAAAGAGTGTTTCAAACCTGCTCTATGAAAGGGAATGTTCAATTCTGTGACTTGAATGCAAACATCACAAAGAAGTTCCTGAGAATGCTTCTCTCTAGATATTATATGTCATCCCGTTTCCAACGAAATCCTCAAAGCTATCCAAATATCCACTTGCAGATTCTACAAAAAGAGTGTTTCAAAACTCCTCTGTCAAAAGGATGGTTCAACACTGTTACATGAGTACACACAACACAACGAAGTTTCTGAGAATGCTTCTTTCTGGTTTCTATGAGAAGATATTTCCTTTTTCACCATAGGACTCAAAGCGCTCGAAATGTCCTCTTCCAGGTAGTGCAGAAAGAGTGTTTCAAACCGGCTCTATGAAAGGAAGTGTTCAACTCCATGAACTGAATGCAAACATCACTGAGAAGTTTCTGAGAATGCTTCTGTTTGATTTTATATGAAGAAATTCCCGTTTCCAACGAAATCTTCAAAGCTATCCACATATCCACCTGCAGATTCTTCAAAAGGAGTGTTTCCAAAATGCTGTATCAAAACCAAGGTTCAACTCTGTTAGTTGAGGACACACATCACAAATAAGTTTCTGAGAATGCTTCTGTCTAGATTTTATATGAAGATATCCCCTTTCCAACGAATCCCTCTAAGCTATCCAAATATCCACCTGCAGATTCTACAAAAAGAGTGTTTCCAAAATGCTGTATCAAAACAAAGTTTCAACTCTGTTAGTTGAGGACACACATCACAAATAAGTTTGAGGATGCTTCTGTCTAGTTTTTATTCGAAGATATTTCCTTTCTCACCATAGGCCTGAAAGCGCTTGAAATGTCCACTTCCAGATACTACAGAATGAGTGTTTCAAACCTGCTCTATCAAAGTGAATGTTCAATTCTGTGACTTCAATGCAAACATCACAAAGAAGTTCCTGAGAATGCTTCTCTCTAGATTTTATATGTAATCCCGCTTCCAACGAAATCCTCAGAGCCATCCGAATATCCACTTTCTGATTCCACAAAAAGAGTGTTTTAAAACGGCTCTGTAAAAACAAAAGTTCAACTCTGTTAGTTGAATACACACATCACAAACAAGTTTCTGAGAATGCTTCTGTCTAGTTTTTATGGGAAGATATTTCCTTTTTCACCATAGGCCTCAAAGCGCTCGAAATGTCCGCTTCCAGATAGTGCAGAAAGAGTGTTTCAAACGTGCTCTATAAAAGGGAATATTCAACTCTGTGACTTGAATGGAAACATCACAAAGCAGTTTCTGAGAATGCTTCCCTCTAGATTTTATATGGAGATATTCCGTTTTCGAACGAAATCTTCAAATCTATCTAAATATCAACTTGCAGATTCTACTCAAGGAATGTTTCCAAAATGCTGTATGCAAGCAATGGTTCAACTCTGTTAATTGAGGTCATACAGCACAAAGAAGTTTCTGAGAATGCTTCTGTCTAGATTTTATATGAAGATATCCCGTTTCCAACGAAATCCTCAAAGCTATCCAAATATCCACTTGCAGATTCTACAAAAAGATTGTTTCAAAACTGCTGTGTCAAAAGGAAGGTTCAACTCTGTTACTTGAGTACACACATCAAAAAGCAGTTTCTGAGAATGCTTGTTTCTGGTTTTTATCAGAAGATATTTCCTTTTTCACCATAGGCCTCAAAGCGCTGCAAATGTCCACTTCCAAATATTACAAAAAGAGTGTTTCAAACCTGCTCTATGAAAGGAAGTTTTCAACTCTATGAGTGGAATGCAAACATCACAGAGAAGTTTCTGAGAATGCATCTGTCTTGAGTTTATATGCAGAAATTCCCGTTTCCAACGAAATCTTAAAATCTATCCAAATATCCACCTGCAGATCCTACAAAAGGAGTGTTTCCAAAATGCTGTATCAAAACAAAGGTTCAACTGTGTTCGTTTAGGACACACATCACAAATAAGTTTCTGAGAATCCTTCTGTCTAGTTTTTATTTGAAGATATTTCCTTTCTCCCCGTAGGCCTGAAAGCGCTTGAAATGTCCACTTCCAGATACTACAGAAAGAGTGTTTCAAACCTGCACTCTGAAAAGGAATGTTCAATTCTGTGACTTGAATGCAAACATCAGAAAGAAGTTCCTGAGAATGCTTCTCTCTAGATTTTATACGTCATCCCGTTTCCAACGAAATCCACAAAGCTATCCAATTATCCACTTTCAGATTCCACAAAGAGTGTTTTAAAATTGCTCTGTAACAGAAATGTTCAACTCTGTTAGTTGAATACACACATCACAAACAAGTTTCTGAGACGGCTTCTGTCTAGTTTTTATGGGAAGATATTTCCTTTTAACCATAGGCCTCAAAGAGCTCGAAATATCCACTTCCAGGTAGTGCCGAAAGAGTGTTTCAAACCTACTCTATAAAAGGGAATATTCAACTCTGTGACTTGAATGCAAACATCACAAAGCAGTTTCTGAGAATGCTTCCGTCTAGATTTTCTATGAAGATATTCCCGTTTCCAACGAAATCTTCAAAGCTATCTAAATATCAACTTGCAGATTCTACTAAAGGAATGTCTCCAAAATGCTGTATCCAAACAAAGGTTCAGCTGCTGTGAATTGAGGACATACAGCACAAAGAAGTTTCTGAGAATGCTCCTGTCTGGATTTTATAGGAAGATAACCCGTTTCCAACGAAATCCTCAAAGCTATCCAAATATCCACTTGCAGATTCTACCAAAAGAGTGTTTCAAAACTACTCTGTCAAAAGGAAGGTTCAACACTGTTACTTGAGTACACACAACACAAAGAAGTTTCTGAGAATGCTTCTTTCTGGTTTTTATGAGAAGATATTTCCTTTTTCACCATAGGCCTCAAAGAGCTCGAAATGTCCGCTTCCAGGTAGGGCAGAAAGAGTGTTTCAAACCTGCTCTAGGAAAGGAAGTGTTCAACTCTACTGAGTTGAATGCAAACATCACAGAGATGTTTCCGAGAATGCTTCTGTCTTGATTTTATATGAAGATATTCCGGTTTCCAACGAAATCTTCAAAGCTATCCAAATATCCACCTGCAGATTCTACAAAAGGAGTGTTTCCAAAATGCTGTATCAAAACAAAGGTTCAACTCTGTTAGTTGAGGACACACATCACAAATAAGTTTCTGAGAATGCTTCTGTCTAGTTTTTATTTGAAGGTATTTCCTTTCTCTCCATAGGCCTGAAAGCGCTTGAAATGCCCACTTCCAGATACTAGAGAAAGAGTGTTTCAAACCTGCTCTATGAAAGGGAATGTTCAATTCTGTGACTTGAATGCAAACATCACAAAGAAGTTCCTGAGAATGCTTCTCTCTAGATATTATATGTCATCCCGTTTCCAACGAAATCCTCAAAGCTATCCAAATATCCACTTGCAGATTCTACAAAAAGAGTGTTTCAAAACTGCTCTGTCAAAAGGATGGTTCAACACTGTTACATGAGTACACACAACACAAAGAAGTTTCTGAGAATGCTTCTTTCTGGTTTTTATGAGAAGATATATCCTTTTTCACCATAGGACTCAAAGCGCTCGAAATGTCCACTTCCTGGTAGTGCAGAAAGAGTGTTTCAAACCTGCTCTATGAAAGGAAGTGTTCAACTCCATGGGCTGAATGCAAACATCACTGAGAAGTTTCTGAGAATGCTTCTGTTTGATTTTATGTGAAGATATCCCCTTTCCAACGAATCCCTGTAAGCTATCCAAATATCCACCTGCAGATTCTACAAAAGGAGTGTTTCCAAAATGCTGTATCAAAACCAAGGTTCAACTCTGTTAGTTGAGGACACACATCACAAATAAGTTTCTGAGAATGCTTCTGTTTGATTTTATGTGAAGATATCCCCTTTCCAACGAATCCCTGTAAGCTATCCAAATATCCACCTGCAGATCCTACAAAAGGAGTGTTTCCAAAATGCTGTATCAAAACGAAGTTTCAACTCTGTTACTTGAGGACACACATCACAAATAAGTTTCTGAGGATGGTTCTGTCTAGTTTTTATTTGACGATATCCCCTTTCCAACGAATCCCTCTAAGCTATCCAAATATCCACCTGCAGATTCTACAAAAAGAGTGTTTCCAAAATGCTGTATCAAAACAAAGTTTCAACTCTGTTAGTTGAGGACACACATCACAAATAAGTTTCTGAGGATGCTTCTGTCTAGTTTTTATTTGAAGATATTTCCTTTCTCCCCATAGGCCTGAAAGCGCTTGAAATGTCCACTTCCAGATACTACAGAATGAGTGTTTCAAACCTGCTCTATCAAAGTGAATGTTCAATTCTGTGACTTCAATGCAAACATCACAAAGTAGTTCCTGAGAATGCTTCTCTCTAGATTTTATATGTAATCCCGCTTCCAACGAAATCCTCAAAGCCATCCGAATATCCACTTTCTGATTCCACAAAAAGATTGTCTTAAAACTGCTCTGTAAAAACAAAAGTTCAAGTCTGTTAGTTGAATACACACATCACAAACAAGCTTCTGAGAATGCTTCTGTCTAGTTTTTATGGGAAGATATTTCCTTTTTCATCATAGGCCTCAAAGCGCTCGAAATGTCCACTTCCAGATAGTGCAGAAAGAGTGTTTCAAACGTGCTCTATAAAAGAGAATATTCAACTCTGTGACTTGAATGGAAACATCACAAAGCAGTTTCTGAGAATGCCTCCGTCTAGATTTTATATGAAGATATTCCCGTTTCCAACGAAATCTTCAAATCTATCTAAATATCAACTTGCAGATTCTACTAAAGGAATGTTTCCAAAATGCTGTATCCAAGCAATGGTTCAACTCTGTTAATTGAGGACATACAGCACAAAGAAGTTTCTGAGAATGCTTCTGTCTAGATTTTATATGAAGATATCCCGTTTGCAACGAAATCCTCAAAGCTATCCAAATATCCACTTGCAGATTCTACAAAAAGATTGTTTCAAAACTGCTGTGTCAAAAGGAAGGTTCAACTCTGTTACTTGAGTACACACATCAAAAAGAAGTTTCTGAGAATGCTTGTTTCTGGTTTTTATGAGAAGATATTTCCTTTTTCACCATAGGCCTCAAAGCGCTGCAAATGTCCACTTCCAAATATTACAAAAAGAGTGTTTCAAACCTGCTCTATGAAAGGAAGTTTTCAACTCTATGAGTGGAATGCAAACATCACAGAGAAGTTTCTGAGAATGCATCTGTCTTGAGTTTATATGAAGAAATTCCCGTTTCCAATGAAATCTTAAAATCTATCCAAATATCCACCTGCAGATTCTACAAAAGGAGTGTTTCCAAAATGCTGTATCAAAACAAAGGTTCAACTGTGTTCGTTTAGGACACACATCACAAATAAGTTTCTGAGAATCCTTCTGTCTAGTTTTTATTTCAAGATATTTCCTTTCTCCCCATAGGCCTGAAAGCGCTTGAAATGTCCACTTCCAGATACTACAGAGTGTTTCAAACCTGCACTATGAAAAGGAATGTTCAATTCTGTGACTTGAATGCAAACATCAGAAAGAAGTTCCTGAGAATGCTTCTCTCTAGATTTTAAACGTAATCCCGTTTTCAACGAAATCCACAAAGCTATCCAATTATCCACTTTCAGATTCCACCAAAAGACTGTTTTAAAACTGCTCTGTAAAAAGAAATGTTCAACGCTCTTAGTTGAATACACACATCTCAAACAAGTTTCTGAGAAGGCTTCCGTCTAGTTTTTATGGGAAGATATTTCCTTTTTCACCATAGGCCTCAAAGCGCTCGAAATCTCCACTTCCAGGGAGTGCAGAAAGAGTGCTTCAAACCTGCTCTATAAAAGAATATTTAACTCTGTGACTTGAATGCAAACATCACAAAGCAGTTTCTGACAATGCTTCCGTCTAGATTTTTTATGAAGATATTCCCGTTTCCAACGAAATCTTCAAAGCTATCTAAATATCAACTTGCAGATTCTACTAAAGGAATGTTTCCAAAATGCTGTATCCAAGCAATGGTTCAACTCTGTTAATTGAGGACATACAGCACAAATAAGTTTCTGAGAATGCCTCTGTCTAGATTTTATATGAATTTATCCCCTTTCCAACGAATCCCTCTAAGCTATCCAAATATCCACCTGCAGATTCTACAAAAAGAGTGTTTCCAAAATGCTGTATCAAAACAAAGTTTCAACTCTGTTAGTTGAGGACACACATCACAAATAAGTTTACTGAGGATGCTTTTTTCTGGTTTTTATGAGAAGATATTTCCTTTTTCACCATAGACCTCAAAGCGCCCGAAATGTCCGCTTCCAGGTAGAGCAGAAAGAGTGTTTCAAACCTGCTCTATGAAAGGAAGTGTTCAACTTTACTGAGTTTAATGCAAACATCACCGAGATGTTTCCGAGAATGCTTCTGTCTTGATTTTTTATGAAGATATTCCGGTTTCCAACGAAATCTTCAAAGCTATCCAAATATCCACCTGCAGATTCTACAAAAGGAGTGTTTCCAAAATGCTGTATCAAAACAAAGGTTCAACTCTGTTAGTTGAGGACACACATCACAAATAAGTTTCTGAGGATGCTTCTGTCTAGTTTTTATTCGAAGATATTTCCTTTCTCACCATAGGCCTGAAGCGCTTGAAATGTCCACTTCCAGATACTACAGAATGAGTGTTTCAAACCTGCTCTATCAAAGTGAATGTTCAATTCTGTGACTTCAATGCAAACATCACAAAGAAGTTCCTGAGAATGCTTCTCTCTAGATTTTATACGTAATCCCGCTTCCAACGAAATCCTCAGAGCCATCCGAATATCCACTTTCTGATTCCACAAAAAGAGTGTTTTAAAACGGCTCTGTAAAAACAAAAGTTCAACTCTGTTAGTTGAATACACACATCACAAACAAGTTTCTGAGAATGCTTCTGTCTAGTTTTTATGGGAAGATATTTCCTTTTTCACCATAGGCCTCACAGCGCTCGAAATGTCCACTTCCAGAGAGTGCAGAAAGAGTGTTTCAAACGTGCTCTATAAAGAGAATATTCAACTCTGTGACTTGAATGGAAACATCACAAAGCAGTTTCTGAGAATGCCTCCGTCTAGATTTTATATGAAGATATTCCCGTTTCCAACGAAATCTTCAAATCTATCTAAATATCAACTTGCAGATTCTACTAAAGGAATGTTTCCAAAATGCTGTATCCAAGCAATGGTTCAACTCTGTTAATTGAGGACATACAGCACAAAGAAGTTTCTGAGAATGCTTCTGTCTAGATTTTATATGAAGATATCCCGTTTCCAACGAAATCCTCAAAGCTATCCAAATATCCACTTGCAGATTCTACAGAAAGATTGTTTCAAAACTGCTGTGTCAAAAGGAAGGTTCAACTCTGTTACTTGAGTACACACATCAAAAAGCAGTTTCTCAGAATGCTTGTTTCTGGTTTTTATGAGAAGATATTTCCTTTTTCACCATAGGCCTCAAAGCGCTGCAAATGTCCACTTCCAAATATTACAAAAAGAGTGTTTCAAACCTGCTCTATGAAAGGAAGTTTTCAACTCTATGAGTGGAATGCAAACATCACAGAGAAGTTTCTGAGAATGCATCTGTCTTGAGTTTCTATGCAGAAATTCCCGTTTCCAACGAAATCTTAAAATCTATCCAAATATCCACCTGCAGATCCTACAAAAGGAGTGTTTCCAAAATGCTGTATCAAAACAAAGGTTCAACTGTGTTCGTTTAGGACACACATCACAAATAAGTTTCTGAGAATCCTTCTGTCTAGTTTTTATTTGAAGATATTTCCTTTCTCCCCATAAGGCCTGAAAGCGCTTGAAATGTCCACTTCCAGATACTACAGAAAGAGTGTTTCAAACCTGCACTATGAAAAGGAATGTTCAATTCTGTGACTTGAATGCAAACATCAGAAAGAAGTTCCTGAGAATGCTTCTCTCTAGATTTTATACGTCATCCCGTTTCCAACGAAATCCACAAAGCTATCCAATTATCCACTTTCAGATTCCACAGAAAGAGTGTTTTAAAATTGCTCTGTAACAGAAATGTTCAACTCTGGTAGTTGAATACACACATCACAAACAAGTTTCTGAGACGGCTTCTGTCTAGTTTTTATGGGAAGATATTTCCTTTTAACCATAGGCCTCAAAGAGCTCGAAATATCCACTTCCAGGTAGTGCCGAAAGAGTGTTTCAAACCTACTCTATAAAAGGGAATATTCAACTCTGTGACTTGAATGCAAACATCACAAAGCAGTTTCTGAGAATGCTTCCGTGTAGATTTTCTATGAAGATATTCCCGTTTCCAACGAAATCTTCAATGCTATCTAAATATCAACTTGCAGATTCTACTAAAGGAATGTTTCCAAAATGCTGTATCCAAACAAAGGTTCAGCTCTGTGAATTGAGGACATACAGCACAAAGAAGTTTCTGAGAATGCTCCTGTCTGGGTTTTATATGAAGATAACCCGTTTCCAATGAAATCCTCAAAGCTATCCAGATATCCACTTGCAGATTCTACCAAAAGAGTGTTTCAAAACTGCTCTGTCAAAAGGAAGGTTCAACACTGTTACTTGAGTACACACAACACAAAGAAGTTTCTGAGAATGCTTCTTTCTGGTTTTTATGAGAAGATATTTCCTTTTTCACCATAGGCCTCAAAGCGCTCGAAATGTCCGCTTCCAGGTAGTGCAGAAAGAGTGTTTCAAACCTGCTCTATGAAAGGAAGTGTTCAACTCTACTGAGTTGAATGCAAACATCACAGAGATGTTTCCGAGAATGCTTCTGTCTTGATTTTATATGAAGATATTCCGGTTTCCAACGAAATCTTCAAAGCTATCCAAATATCCACCTGCAGATTCTACAAAAGGAGTGTTTCCAAAATGCTGTATCAAAACAAAGGTTCAACTCTGTTAGTTGAGGACACACATCACAAATAAGTTTCTGAGAATGCTTCTGTCTAGTTTTTATTTGAAGGTATTTCCTTTCTCTCCATAGGCCTGAAAGCGCTTGAAATGCCCACTTCCAGATACTAGAGAAAGAGTGTTTCAAACCTGCTCTATGAAAGGGAATGTTCAATTCTGTGACTTGAATGCAAACATCACAAAGAAGTTCCTGAGAATGCTTCTCTCTAGATATTATATGTCATCCCGTTTCCAACGAAATCCTCAAAGCTATCCAAATATCCACTTGCAGATTCTACAAAAAGAGTGTTTCAAAACTCCTCTGTCAAAAGGATGGTTCAACACTGTTACATGAGTACACACAACACAAAGAAGTTTCTGAGAATGCTTCTTTCTGGTTTCTATGAGAAGATATTTCCTTTTTCACCATAAGACTCAAAGCGCTCGAAATGTCCTCTTCCAGGCAGTGCAGAAAGAGTGTTTCAAACCGGCTCTATGAAAGGAAGTGTTCAACTCCATGAACTGAATGCAAACATCACTGAGAAGTTTCTGAGAATGCTTCTGTTTGATTTTATATGAAGAAATTCCCGTTTCCAACGAAATCTTCAGAGCTATCCACATATCCACCTGCAGATTCTACAAAAGGAGTGTTTCCAAAATGCTGTATCAAAACCAAAGTTCAACTCTGTTAGTTGAGGACACACATCACAAATAAGATTCTGAGAATGCTTCTGTCTAGATTTTATATGAAGATATCCCCTTTCCAACGAATCCCTCTAAGCTATCCAAATATCCACCTGCAGATTCTACAAAAAGAGTGTTTCCAAAATGCTGTATCAAAACAAAGTTTCAACTCTGTTAGTTGAGGACACACATCACAAATAAGTTTGAGGATGCTTCTGTCTAGTTTTAATTTGAAGATATTTCCTTTCTCCCCATAGGCCTGAAAGCGCTTGAAATGTCCACTTCCAGATACTACAGAATGAGTGTTTCAAACCTGCTCTATCAAAGTGAATGTTCAATTCTGTGACTTCAATGCAAACATCACAAAGTAGTTCCTGAGAATGCTTCTCTCTAGATTTTATACGTAATCCCGCTTCCAACGAAATCCTCAGAGCCATCCGAATATCCACTTTCTGATTCCACAAAAAGAGTGTTTTAAAACGGCTCTGTAAAAACAAAAGTTCAACTCTGTTAGTTGAATACACACATCACAAACAAGTTTCTGAGAATGCTTCTGTCTAGTTTTTATGGGAAGATATTTCCTTTTTCACCATAGGCCTCAAAGCGCTCGAAATGTCCACTTCCAGATAGTGCAGAAAGAGTGTTTCAAACGTGCTCTATAAAAGAGAATATTCAACTCCGTGACTTGAATGGAAACGTCACAAAGCAGTTTCTGAGAATGCTTCCGTCTAGATTTTATATGAAGATATTCCCGTTTCCAACGAAATCTTCAAAGCTATCTACATATCAACTTGCAGATTCTACTCAAGGAATGTTTCCAAAATGCTGTATCCAAGCCATGGTTCAACTCTGTTAATTGAGGACATACAGCACAAAGAAGTTTCTGAGAATGCTTCTGTCTAGATTTTATATGAAGATATCCCGTTTCCAATGAAATCCTCAAAGCTATCCAAATATCCACTTGCAGATTCTACAAAAAGATTGTTTCAAAACTGCTGTGTCAAAAGGAAGGTTCAACTCTGTTACTTGAGTACACACATCAAAAAGAAGTTTCTGAGAATGCTTGTTTCTGGTTTTTATGAGAAGATATTTCCTTTTTCACCATAGGCCTCAAAGCGCTGCAAATGTCCACTTCCAAATATTACAGAAAGAGTGTTTCAAACCTGCTCTATGAAAGGAAGTTTTCAACTCTATGAGTGGAATGCAAACATCACAGAGAAGTTTCTGAGAATGCATCCGTCTTGAGTTTCTATGAAGAAATTCCCGTTTCCAACGAAATCTTAAAATCTATCCAAATATCCACCTGCAGATTCTACAAAAGGAGTGTTTCCAAAATGCTGTATCAAAACAAAGGTTCAAATGTGTTCGTTTAGGACACACATCACAAATAAGTTTCTGAGAAGCCTTCTGTCTAGTTTTTATTTGAAGATATTTCCTTTCTCCCCGTAGGCCTGAAAGCGCTTGAAATGTCCACTTCCAGATACTACAGAAAGAGTGTTTCAAACCTGCACTCTGAAAAGGAATGTTCAATTCTGTGACTTGAATGCAAACATCAGAAAGAAGTTCCTGAGAATGCTTCTCTCTAGATTTTAAACGTAATCCCGTTTCCAACGAAATCCACAAAGCTATCCCGTTAACCACTTTCAGATTCCACCAAAAGAGTGTTTTAAAACAGCTCTGTAAAAAGAAATGTTCAACGCTCTTAGTTGAATACACACATCTCAAACAAGTTTCTGAGAAGGCTTCTGTCTAGTTTTTATGGGAAGATATTTCCTTTTAACCATAGGCCTCAAAGAGCTCGAAATATCCACTTCCAGGTAGTGCCGAAAGAGTGTTTCAAACCTACTCTATAAAAGGGAATATTCAACTCTGTGACTTGAATGCAAACATCACAAAGCAGTTTCTGAGAATGCTTCCGTCTAGATTTTCTATGAAGATATTCCCGTTTCCAACGAAATCTTCAAAGCTATCTAAATATCAACTTGCAGATTCTACTAAAGGAATGTCTCCAAAATGCTGTATCCAAACAAAGGTTCAGCTCTGTGAATTGAGGACATACAGCACAAAGAAGTTTCTGAGAATGCTCCTGTCTGGATTTTATAGGAAGATAACCCGTTTCCAACGAAATCCTCAAAGCTATCCAAATATCCACTTGCAGATTCTACCAAAAGAGTGTTTCAAAACTGCTCTGTCAAAAGGAAGGTTCAACACTGTTACTTGAGTACACACAACACAAAGAAGTTTCTGAGAATGCTTCTTTCTGGTTTTTATGAGAAGATATTTCCTTTTTCACCATAGGCCTCAAAGCGCTCGAAATGTCCGCTTCCAGGTAGTGCAGAAAGAGTGTTTCAAACCTGCTCTATGAAAGGAAGTGTTCAACTCTACTGAGTTGAATGCAAACATCACAGAGATGTTTCCGAGAATGCTTCTGTCTTGATTTTATATGAAGATATTCCGGTTTCCAACGAAATCTTCAAAGCTATCCAAATATCCACCTGCAGATTCTACAAAAGGAGTGTTTCCAAAATGCTGTATCAAAACAAAGGTTCAACTCTGTTAGTTGAGGACACACATCACAAATAAGTTTCTGAGAATGCTTCTGTCTAGTTTTTATTTGAAGGTATTTCCTTTCTCTCCATAGGCCTGAAAGCGCTTGAAATGCCCACTTCCAGATACTAGAGAAAGAGTGTTTCAAACCTGCTCTATGAAAGGGAATGTTCAATTCTGTGACTTGAATGCAAACATCACAAAGAAGTTCCTGAGAATGCTTCTGTCTAGATTTAATATGAAGATAACCCGTTTCCAACGAAATCCTCAAAGCTATCCAAATATCCACTGGCAGATTCTACAAAAAGAGTGTTTCAAAACTGCTCTGTCAAAAGGATGGTTCAACACTGTTACATGAGTACACACAACACAAAGAAGTTTCTGAGAACGCTTCTTTCTGGTTTTTATGAGAAGATATTTCCTTTTTCACCATAGGCCTCAAAGCGCTCGAAATGTCCACTTCCAGGTAGTGCAGAAAGAGTGTTTCAAACCTGCTCTATGAAAGGAAGTGTTCAACTCCATGAGCTGAATGCAAACATCACAGAGAAGTTCCTGAGAATGCTTCTGTTTGATTTCATATGAAGAAATTCCCGTTTCCAACGAAATCTTCAGAGCTATCCACATATCCACCTGCAGATTCTACAAAAGGAGTGTTTCCAAAATGCTGTATCAAAACCAAGGTTCAACTCTGTTAGTTGAGGACACACATCACAAATAAGTTTCTGAGAATGCTTCTGTCTAGATTTTATATGAAGATATCCCCTTTCCAACGAATCCCTCTAAGCTATCCAAATATCCACCTGCAGATTCTACAAAAAGAGTGTTTCCAAAATGCTGTATCAAAACAAAGTTTCAACTCTGTTAGTTGAGGACACACATCACAAATAAGTTTCTGAGAATGCTTCTCTCTAGTTTTTATTTGAAGATATTTCCTTTCTCCCCATAGGCCTGAAAGCGCTTGAATTGTCCGCTTCCAGATACTACAGAATGAGTGTTTCAAACCTGCTCTATCAAAGTGAATGTTCAATTCTGTGACTTCAATGCAAACATCACAAAGAAGTTGCTGAGAATGCTTCTCTCTAGATTTTATATGTAATCCCGCTTCCAACGAAGTCCTCAAAGCCATCCGAATATCCACTTTCTGATTCCACAAAAAGATTGTCTTAAAACTGCTCTGTAAAAACAAAAGTTCTAGTCTGTTAGTTGAATACACACATCACAAACAAGTTTCTGAGAATGCTTCTGTCTAGTTTTTATGGGAAGATATTTCCTTTTTCACCATAGGCCTCACAGCGCTCGAAATGTCCACTTCCAGATGGTGCAGAAAGAGTGTTTCAAACGTGCTCTATAAAAGAGAATATTCAACTCTGTGACTTGAATGGAAACATCACAAAGCAGTTTCTGAGAATGCCTCCGTCTAGATTTTATATGAAGATATTCCCGTTTCCAACGAAATCTTCAAATCTATCTAAATATCAACTTGCAGATTCTACTCAAGGAATGTTTCCAAAATGCTGTATCCAAGCAATGGTTCAACTCTGTTAATTGAGGACATACAGCATAAAGAAGTTTCTGAGAATGCTTCTGTCTAGATTTTATATGAAGATATCCCGTTTCCAACGAAATCCTCAAAGCTATCCAAATATCCACTTGCAGATTCTACAAAAAGATTGTTTCAAAACTGCTGTGTCAAAAGGAAGGTTCAACTCTGTTACTTGAGTACACACATCAAAAAGCAGTTTCTGAGAATGCTTGTTTCTGGTTTTTATGAGAAGATATTTCCTTTTTCACCATAGGCCTCAAAGCGCTGCAAATGTCCACTTCCAAATATTACAAAAAGAGTGTTTCAAACCTGCTCTATGAAAGGAAGTTTTCAACTCTGTGAGTGGAATGCAAACATCACAGAGAAGTTTCTGAGAATGCATCTGTCTTGAGTTTATATGAAGAAATTCCCGTTTCCAATGAAATCTTAAAACCTATCCAAATATCCACCTGCAGATTCTACAAAAGGAGTGTTTCCAAAATGCTGTATCAAAACAAAGGTTCAACTGTGTTCGTTTAGGACACACATCACAAATAAGTTTCTGAGAATCCTTCTGTCTAGTTTTTATTTCAAGATATTTCCTTTCTCCCCATAGGCCTGAAAGCGCTTGAAATGTCCACTTCCAGATACTACAGAGTGTTTCAAACCTGCACTATGAAAAGGAATGTTCAATTCTGTGACTTGAATGCAAACATCAGAAAGAAGTTCCTGAGAATGCTTCTCTCTAGATTTTAAACGTAATCCCGTTTCCAACGAAATCCACAAAGCTATCCAATTATCCACTTTCAGATTGCACCAAAAGAGTGTTTTAAAACTGCTCTGTAAAAAGAAATGTTCAACGCTCTTAGTTGAATACACACATCTCAAACAAGTTTCTGAGAAGGCTTCCGTCTAGTTTTTACAGGAAGATATTTCCTTTTTCACCATAGGCCTCAAAGCGCTCGAAATCTCCACTTCCAGGGAGTGCAGAAAGAGTGTTTCAAACCTGCTCTATAAAAGAATATTTAACTCTGTGACTTGAATGCAAACATCACAGAGCAGTTTCTGACAATGCTTCCATCTAGATTTTATATGAAGATATTCCCGTTTCCAACGAAATCTTCAAATCTATCTAAATATCAACTTGCAGATTCTACTAAAGGAATGTTTCCAAAATGCTGTATCCAAGCAATGGTTCAACTCTGTTAATTGAGGACATACAGCACAAAGAAGTTTCTGAGAATGCTTCTTTCTAGATTTTATATGAAGATATCCCGTTTCCAACGAAATCCTCAAAGCTATCCAAATATCCACTTGCAGATTCTACAGAAAGATTGTTTCAAAACTGCTGTGTCAAAAGGAAGGTTCAACTCTGTTACTTGAGTACACACATCAAAAAGCAGTTTACTGAGAATGCTTGTTTCTGGTTTTTATGAGAAGATATTTCCTTTTTCACCATAGGCCTCAAAGCGCTGCAAATGTCCACTTCCAAATATTACAAAAAGAGTGTTTCAAACCTGCTCTATGAAAGGAAGTTTTCAACTCTATGAGTGGAATGCAAACATCACAGAGAAGTTTCGGAGAATGCATCTGTCTTGAGTTTCTATGCAGAAATTCCCGTTTCCAACGAAATCTTAAAATCTATCCAAATATCCACCTGCAGATCCTACAAAAGGAGTGTTTCCAAAATGCTGTATCAAAACAAAGGTTCAACTGTGTTCGTTTAGGACACACATCACAAATAAGTTTCTGAGAATCCTTCTCTCTAGTTTTTATTTGAAGATATTTCCTTTCTCCCCGTAGGCCTGAAAGCGCTTGAAATGTCCACTTCCAGATACTACAGAAAGAGTGTTTCAAACCTGCACTCTGAAAAGGAATGTTCAATTCTGTGACTTGAATGCAAACATCAGAAAGAAGTTCCTGAGAATGCTTCTCTCTAGATTTTATACGTCATC
This sequence comes from Homo sapiens, assembly GCF_000001405.40. Classification (NCBI taxonomy): domain Eukaryota; kingdom Metazoa; phylum Chordata; class Mammalia; order Primates; family Hominidae; genus Homo; species Homo sapiens. The sequence continues at coordinate 51,549,682 of NC_000004.12, read as the reverse complement.
CCGTTTCCAACGAAATCCACAAAGCTATCCAATTATCCACTTTCAGATTCCACAAAAAGAGTGTTTTAAAATTGCTCTGTAACAGAAATGTTCAACTCTGGTAGTTGAATACACACATCACAAACAAGTTTCTGAGACGGCTTCTGTCTAGTTTTTATGGGAAGATATTTCCTTTTAACCATAGGCCTCAAAGAGCTCGAAATATCCACTTCCAGGTAGTGCCGAAAGAGTGTTTCAAACCTACTCTATAAAAGGGAATATTCAACTCTGTGACTTGAATGCAAACATCACAAAGCAGTTTCTGAGAATGCTTCCGTCTAGATTTTCTATGAAGATATTCCCGTTTCCAATGAAATCTTCAAAGCTATCTAAATATCAACTTGCAGATTCTACTAAAGGAATGTTTCCACAATGCTGTATCCAAACAAAGGTTCAGCTCTGTGAATTGAGGACATACAGCACAAAGAAGTTTCTGTGAATGCTCCTGTCTGGATTTTATAGGAAGATAACCCGTTTCCAACGAAATCCTCAAAGCTATCCAAATATCCACTTGCAGATTCTACCAAAAGAGTGTTTCAAAACTACTCTGTCAAAAGGAAGGTTCAACACTGTTACTTGAGTACACACAACACAAAGAAGTTTCTGAGAATGCTTCTTTCTGGTTTTTATGAGAAGATATTTCCTTTTTCACCATAGGCCTCAAAGCGCTCGAAATGTCCGCTTCCAGGTAGTGCAGAAAGAGTGTTTCAAACCTGCTCTATGAAAGGAAGTGTTCAACTCTACTGAGTTGAATGCAAACATCACAGAGATGTTTCCGAGAATGCTTCTGTCTTGATTTTATATGAAGATATTCCGGTTTCCAACGAAATCTTCAAAGCTATCCAAATATCCACCTGCAGATTCTACAAAAGGAGTGTTTCCAAAATGCTGTATCAAAACAAAGGTTCAACTCTGTTAGTTGAGGACACACATCACAAATAAGTTTCTGAGAATGCTTCTGTCTAGTTTTTATTTGAAGGTATTTCCTTTCTCTCCATAGGCCTGAAAGCGCTTGAAATGCCCACTTCCAGATACTAGAGAAAGAGTGTTTCAAACCTGCTCTATGAAAGGGAATGTTCAATTCTGTGACTTGAATGCAAACATCACAAAGAAGTTCCTGAGAATGCTTCTCTCTAGATATTATATGTCATCCCGTTTCCAACGAAATCCTCAAAGCTATCCAAATATCCACTTGCAGATTCTACAAAAAGAGTGTTTCAAAACTCCTCTGTCAAAAGGATGGTTCAACACTGTTACATGAGTACACACAACACAAAGAAGTTTCTGAGAATGCTTCTTTCTGGTTTCTATGAGAAGATATTTCCTTTTTCACCATAGGACTCAAAGCGCTCGAAATGTCCTCTTCCAGGTAGTGCAGAAAGAGTGTTTCAAACCGGCTCTATGAAGGGAAGTGTTCAACTCCATGAACTGAATGCAAACATCACTGAGAAGTTTCTGAGAATGCTTCTGTTTGATTTTATATGAAGAAATTCCCGTTTCCAACGAAATCTTCAGAGCTATCCACATATCCACCTGCAGATTCTACAAAAGGAGTGTTTCCAAAATGCTGTATCAAAACCAAGGTTCAACTCTGTTAGTTGAGGACACACATCACAAATAAGTTTCTGAGAATGCTTCTGTCTAGTTTTTATTCGAAGATATTTCCTTTCTCACCATAGGCCTGAAAGCGCTTGAAATGTCCACTTCCAGATCCTACAGAATGAGTGTTTCAAACCTGCTCTATCAAAGTGAATGTTCAATTCTGTGACTTCAATGCAAACATCACAAAGAAGTTCCTGAGAATGCTTCTCTCTAGATTTTATACGTAATCCCGCTTCCAACGAAATCCTCAGAGCCATCCGAATATCCACTTTCTGATTCCACAAAAAGAGTGTTTTAAAACGGCTCTGTAAAAACAAAAGTTCAACTCTGTTAGTTGAATACACACATCACAAACAAGTTTCTGAGAATGCTTCTGTCTAGTTTTTATGGGAAGATATTTCCTTTTTCACCATAGGCCTCAAAGCGCTCGAAATGTCCACTTCCAGATAGTGCAGAAAGAGTGTTTCAAACGTGCTCTATAAAAGAGAATATTCAACTCTGTGACTTGAATGGAAACATCACAAAGCAGTTTCTGAGAATGCTTCCGTCTAGATTTTATATGAAGATATTCCCGTTTCCAACGAAATCTTTAAAGCTATCTAAATATCAACTTGCAGATTCTACTAAAGGAATGTTTCCAAAATGCTGTATCCAAGCAATGGTTCAACTCTGTTAATTGAGGACATACAGCACAAAGAAGTTTCTGAGAATGCTTCTGTCTAGATTTTATATGAAGATAACCCGTTTCCAACGAAATCCTCAAAGCTATCCAAATATCCACTTGCAGATTCTACAAAAAGATTGTTTCAAAACTGCTGTGTCAAAAGGAAGGTTCAACTCTGTTACTTGAGTACACACATCAAAAAGAAGTTTCTGAGAATGCTTGTTTCTGGTTTTTATGAGAAGTATATTTCCTTTTTCACCATAGGCCTCAAAGCGCTGCAAAGGTCCACTTCCAAATATTACAAAAAGAGTGTTTCAAACGTGCTCTATGAAAGGAAGTTTTCAACTCTATGAGTGGAATGCAAACATCACAGAGAAGTTTCTGAGAATGCATCTGTCTTGAGTTTCTATGCAGAAATTCCCGTTTCCAACGAAATCTTAAAATCTATCCAAATATCCACCTGCAGATCCTACAAAAGGAGTGTTTCCAAAATGCTGTATCAAAACAAAGGTTCAACTGTGTTCGTTTAGGACACACATCACAAATAAGTTTCTGAGAATCCTTCTGTCTAGTTTTTATTTGAAGATATTTCCTTTCTCCCCGTAGGCCTGAAAGCGCTTGAAATGTCCACTTCCAGATACTACAGAAAGAGTGTTTCAAACCTGCACTCTGAAAAGGAATGTTCAATTCTGTGACTTGAATGCAAACATCAGAAAGAAGTTCCTGAGAATGCTTCTCTCTAGATTTTATACGTCATCCCGTTTCCAACGAAATCCACAAAGCTATCCAATTATCCACTTTCAGATTCCACAAAAAGAGTGTTTTAAAATTGCTCTGTAACAGAAATGTTCAACTCTGGTAGTTGAATACACACATCACAAACAAGTTTCTGAGACGGCTTCTGTCTAGTTTTTATGGGAAGATATTTCCTTTTAACCATAGGCCTCAAAGAGCTCGAAATATCCACTTCCAGGTAGTGCCGAAAGAGTGTTTCAAACCTACTCTATAAAAGGGAATATTCAACTCTGTGACTTGAATGCAAACATCACAAAGCAGTTTCTGAGAATGCTTCCGTCTAGATTTTCTATGAAGATATTCCCGTTTCCAACGAAATCTTCAAAGCTATCTAAATATCAACTTGCAGATTCTACTAAAGGAATGTCTCCAAAATGCTGTATCCAAACAAAGGTTCAGCTCTGTGAATTGAGGACATACAGCACAAAGAAGTTTCTGAGAATGCTCCTGTCTGGATTTTATAGGAAGATAACCCGTTTCCAACGAAATCCTCAAAGCTATCCAAATATCCACTTGCAGATTCTACCAAAAGAGTGTTTCAAAACTGCTCTGTCAAAAGGAAGGTTCAACACTGTTACTTGAGTACACACAACACAAAGAAGTTTCTGAGAATGCTTCTTTCTGGTTTTTATGAGAAGATATTTCCTTTTTCACCATAGGCCTCAAAGCGCTCGAAATGTCCGCTTCCAGGTAGTGCAGAAAGAGTGTTTCAAACCTGCTCTATGAAAGGAAGTGTTCAACTCTACTGAGTTGAATGCAAACATCACAGAGATGTTTCCGAGAATGCTTCTGTCTTGATTTTATATGAAGATATTCCGGTTTCCAACGAAATCTTCAAAGCTATCCAAATATCCACCTGCAGATTCTACAAAAGGAGTGTTTCCAAAATGCTGTATCAAAACAAAGGTTCAACTCTGTTAGTTGAGGACACACATCACAAATAAGTTTCTGAGAATGCTTCTGTCTAGTTTTTATTTGAAGGTATTTCCTTTCTCTCCATAGGCCTGAAAGCGCTTGAAATGCCCACTTCCAGATACTAGAGAAAGAGTGTTTCAAACCTGCTCTATGAAAGGGAATGTTCAATTCTGTGACTTGAATGCAAACATCACAAAGAAGTTCCTGAGAATGCTTCTCTCTAGATATTATATGTCATCCCGTTTCCAACGAAATCCTCAAAGCTATCCAAATATCCACTTGCAGATTCTACAAAAAGAGTGTTTCAAAACTGCTCTGTCAAAAGGATGGTTCAACACTGTTACATGAGTACACACAACACAAAGAAGTTTCTGAGAATGCTTCTTTCTGGTTTCTATGAGAAGATATTTCCTTTTTCACCATAGGACTCAAAGCGCTCGAAATGTCCTCTTCCAGGTAGTGCAGAAAGAGTGTTTCAAACCTGCTCTATGAAAGGAAGTGTACAACTCCATGAGCTGAATGCAAACATCACTGAGAAGTTTCTGAGAATGCTTCTGTTTGATTTTATATGAAGAAATTCCCGTTTCCAACGAAATCTTCAGAGCTATCCACATATCCAACTGCAGATTCTACAAAAGGAGTGTTTCCAAAATGCTGTATCAAAACCAAGGTTCAACTCTGTTAGTTGAGGACACACATCACAAATAAGTTTCTGAGAATGCTTCTGTCTAGTATTTTATATGAATTTATCCCCTTTCCAACGAATCCCTCTAAGCTATCCAAGTATCCACCTGCAGATTCTACAAAAAGAGTGTTTCCAAAATGCTGTATCAAAACAAAGTTTCAACTCTGTTAGTTGAGGACACACATCACAAATAAGTTTCTGAGGATGCTTCTCTCTAGTTTTTATTTGAAGATATTTCCTTTCTCCCCATAGGCCTGAAAGCGCTAGAATTGTCCGCTTCCAGATACTACAGAATGAGTGTTTCAAACCTGCTCTATCAAAGTGAATGTTCAATTCTGTGACTTCAATGCAAACATCACAAAGAAGTTGCTGAGAATGCTTCTCTCTAGATTTTATACGTAATCCCGCTTCCAACGAAATCCTCAGAGCCATCCGAATATCCACTTTCTGATTCCACAAAAAGAGTGTTTTAAAACGGCTCTGTAAAAACAAAAGTTCAACTCTGTTAGTTGAATACACACATCACAAACAAGTTTTCTGAGAATGCTTCTGTCTAGTTTTTATGGGAAGATATTTCCTTTTTCACCATAGGCCTCAAAGCGCTCGAAATGTCCACTTCCAGATAGCGCAGAAAGAGTGTTTCAAACGTGCTCTATAAAAGGGAATATTCAACTCTGTGACTTGAATGGAAACATCACAAAGCAGTTTCTGAGAATGCTTCCGTCTAGATTTTATATGAAGATATTCCCGTTTCCAACGAAATCTTCAAATCTATCTAAATATCAACTTGCAGATTCTACTAAAGGAATGTTTCCAAAATGCTGTATCCAAGCAATGGTTCAACTCTGTTAATTGAGGACATACAGCACAAAGAAGTTTCTGAGAATGCTTCTGTCTAGATTTTATATGAAGATATCCCGTTTCCAACGAAATCCTCAAAGCTATCCAAATATCCACTTGCAGATTCTACAAAAAGATTGTTTCAAAACTGCTGTGTCAAAAGGAAGGTTCAACTCTGTTACTTGAGTACACACATCAAAAAGAAGTTTCTGAGAATGCTTGTTTCTGGTTTTTATCAGAAGATATTTCCTTTTTCACCATAGGCCTCAAAGCGCTGCAAATGTCCACTTCCAAATATTACAAAAAGAGTGTTTCAAACCTGCTCTATGAAAGGAAGTTTTCAACTCTATGAGTGGAATGCAAACATCACAGAGAAGTTTCTGAGAATGCATCTGTCTTGAGCTTCTATGAAGAAATTCCCGTTTCCAACGAAATCTTAAAATCTATCCAAATATCCACCTGCAGATCCTACAAAAGGAGTGTTTCCAAAATGCTGTATCAAAACAAAGGTTCAACTGTGTTCGTTTAGGACACACATCACAAATAAGTTTCTGAGAATCCTTCTGTCTAGTTTTTATTTGAAGATATTTCCTTTCTCCCCGTAGGCCTGAAAGCGCTTGAAATGTCCACTTCCAGATACTACAGAAAGAGTGTTTCAAACCTGCACTCTGAAAAGGAATGTTCAATTCTGTGACTTGAATGCAAACATCAGAAAGAAGTTCCTGAGAATGCTTCTCTCTAGATTTTATACGTCATCCCGTTTCCAACGAAATCCACAAAGCTATCCAATTATCCACTTTCAGATTCCACAAAAAGAGTGTTTTAAAATTGCTCTGTAACACAAATGTTCCACTCTGGTAGTTGAATACACACATCACAAACAAGTTTCTGAGACGGCTTTCTGTCTAGTTTTTATGGGAAGATATTTCCTTTTAACCATAGGCCTCAAAGAGCTCGAAATATCCACTTCCAGGTAGTGCCGAAAGAGTGTTTCAAACCTACTCTATAAAAGGGAATATTCAACTCTGTGACTTGAATGCAAACATCACAAAGCAGTTTCTGAGAATGCTTCCGTCTAGATTTTCTATGAAGATATTCCCGTTTCCAACGAAATCTTCAAAGCTATCTAAATATCAACTTGCAGATTCTACTAAAGGAATGTCTCCAAAATGCTGTATCCAAACAAAGGTTCAGCTCTGTGAATTGAGGACATACAGCACAAAGAAGTTTCTGAGAATGCTCCTGTCTGGATTTTATAGGAAGATAACCCGTTTCCAACGAAATCCTCAAAGCTATCCAAATATCCACTTGCAGATTCTACCAAAAGAGTGTTTCAAAACTGCTCTGTCAAAAGGAAGGTTCAACACTGTTACTTGAGTACACACAACACAAAGAAGTTTCTGAGAATGCTTCTTTCTGGTTTTTATGAGAAGATATTTCCTTTTTCACCATAGGCCTCAAAGCGCTCGAAATGTCCGCTTCCAGGTAGTGCAGAAAGAGTGTTTCAAACCTGCTCTATGAAAGGAAGTGTTCAACTCTACTGAGTTGAATGCAAACATCACAGAGATGTTTCCGAGAATGCTTCTGTCTTGATTTTATATGAAGATATTCCGGTTTCCAACGAAATCTTCAAAGCTATCCAAATATCCACCTGCAGATTCTACAAAAGGAGTGTTTCCAAAATGCTGTATCAAAACAAAGGTTCAACTCTGTTAGTTGAGGACACACATCACAAATAAGTTTCTGAGAATGCTTCTGTCTAGTTTTTATTTGAAGGTATTTCCTTTCTCTCCATAGGCCTGAAAGCGCTTGAAATGCCCACTTCCAGATACTAGAGAAAGAGTGTTTCAAACCTGCTCTATGAAAGGGAATGTTCAATTCTGTGACTTGAATGCAAACATCACAAAGAAGTTCCTGAGAATGCTTCTCTCTAGATATTATATGTCATCCCGTTTCCAACGAAATCCTCAAAGCTATCCAAATATCCACTTGCAGATTCTACAAAAAGAGTGTTTCAAAACTGCTCTGTCAAAAGGATGGTTCAACACTGTTACATGAGTACACACAACACAAAGAAGTTTCTGAGAATGCTTCTTTCTGGTTTATATGAGAAGCATATTTCCTTTTTCACCATAGGACTCAAAGCGCTCGAAATGTCCTCTTCCAGGTAGTGCAGAAAGAGTGTTTCAAACCGGCTCTATGAAGGGAAGTGTTCAACTCCATGAACTGAATGCAAACATCACTGAGAAGTTTCTGAGAATGCTTCTGTTTGATTTTATATGAAGAAATTCCCGTTTCCAACGAAATCTTCAGAGCTATCCACATATCCACCTGCAGATTCTACAAAAGGAGTGTTTCCAAAATGCTGTATCAAAACCAAAGTTCAACTCTGTTAGTTGAGGACACACATCACAAATAAGTTTCTGAGAATGCTTCTGTCTAGATTTTATATGAAGATATCCCCTTTCCAACGAATCCCTCTAAGCTATCCAAATATCCACCTGCAGATTCTACAAAAAGAGTGTTTCCAAAATGCTGTATCAAAACAAAGTTTCAACTCTGTTAGTTGAGGACACACATCACAAATAAGTTTCTGAGGATGCTTCTGTCTAGTTTTGATTCGAAGATATTTCCTTTCTCACCATAGGCCTGAAAGCGCTTGAAATGTCCACTTCCAGATACTACAGAATGAGTGTTTCAAACCTGCTCTATAAAAGTGAATGTTCAATTCTGTGACTTCAATGCAAACATCAGAAAGAAGTTCCTGCGAATGCTTCTCTCTAGATTTTATATGTAATCCCGCTTCCAACGAGGTCCTCAAAGCCATCCGAATATCCACTTTCTGATTCCACAAAAAGATTGTCTTAAAACTGCTCTGTAAAAACAAAAGTTCAAGTCTGTTAGTTGAATACACACATCACAAACAAGATTCTGAGAATGCTTCTGTCTAGTTTTTATGGGAAGATATTTCCTTTTTCACCATAGGCCTCAAAGCGCTCGAAATGTCCACTTCCAGATAGTGCAGAAAGAGTGTTTCAAACCTGCTCTATAAAAGAGAATATTCAACTCTGTGACTTGAATGGAAACATCACAAAGCAGTTTCTGAGAATGCCTCCCTCTAGATTTTATATGGAGATATTCCCTTTTCCAACGAAATCTTCAAATCTATCTAAATATCAACTTGCAGATTCTACTCAAGGAATGTTTCCAAAATGCTGTATCCAGGCAATGGTTCAACTCTGTTAATTGAGGACATACAGCACAAAGAAGTTTCTGAGAATGCTTCTGTCTAGATTTTATATGAAGATATCCCGTTTCCAACGAAATCCTCAAAGCTATCCAAATATCCACTTGCAGATTCTACAAAAAGATTGTTTCAAAACTGCTGTGTCAAGAGGAAGGTTCAACTCTGTTACTTGAGTACACACATCAAAAAGAAGTTTCTGAGAATGCTTGTTTCTGGTTTTTATGAGAAGATATTTCCTTTTTCACCATAGGCCTCAAAGCGCTGCAAATGTCCACTTCCAAGTATTACAAAAAGAGTGTTTCAAACCTGCTCTATGAAAGGAAGTTTTCAACTGCTGTGATTGGAATGCAAACATCACAGAGAAGTTTCTGAGAATGCATCTGTCTTGAGTTTATATGAAGAAATTCCCGTTTCCAATGAAATCTTAAAATCTATCCAAATATCCACCTGCAGATTCTACAAAAGGAGTGTTTCCAAAATGCTGTATCAAAACAAAGGTTCAACTGTGTTCGTTTAGGACACACATCACAAATAAGTTTCTGAGAATCCTTCTGTCTAGTTTTTATTTCAAGATATTTCCTTTCTCCCCATAGGCCTGAAAGCGCTTGAAATGTCCACTTCCAGATACTACAGAGTGTTTCAAACCTGCACTATGAAAAGGAATGTTCAATTCTGTGACTTGAATGCAAACATCAGAAAGAAGTTCCTGAGAATGCTTCTCTCTAGGATTTTAAACGTAATCCCGTTTCCAACGAAATCCACAAAGCTATCCAATTATCCACTTTCAGATTGCACCAAAAGAGTGTTTTAAAACTGCTCTGTAAAAAGAAATGTTCAACGCTCTTAGTTGAATACACACATCTCAAACAAGTTTCTGAGAAGGCTTCCGTCTAGTTTTTACAGGAAGATATTTCCTTTTTCACCATAGGCCTCAAAGCGCTCGAAATCTCCACTTCCAGGGAGTGCAGAAAGAGTGTTTCAAACCTGCTCTATAAAAGAATATTTAACTCTGTGACTTGAATGCAAACATCACAGAGCAGTTTCTGACAATGCTTCCGTCTAGATTTTTTATGAAGATATTCCCGTTTCCAACGAAATCTTCAAAGCTATCTAAATATCAACTTGCAGATTCTACTAAAGGAATGTTTCCAAAATGCTGTATCCAAACAAAGGTTCAACTCTGTGAATTGAGGACATACAGCACAAAGAAGTTTCTGAGAATGCTTCTGTCTAGATTTAATATGAAGATAACCCGTTTCCAACGAAATCCTCAAAGCTATCCAAATATCCACATGCAGATTCTACAAAAAGAGTGTTTCAAAACTGCTCTGTCAAAAGGATGGTTCAACACTGTTACATGAGTACACACAACACAAAGAAGTTTCTGAGAACGCTTCTTTCTGGTTTTTATGAGAAGATATTTCCTTTTTCACCATAGGCCTCAAAGCGCTCGAAATGTCCACTTCCTGGTAGTGCAGAAAGAGTGTTTCAAAGCTGCTCTATGAAAGGAAGTGTTCAACTCCATGAGCTGAATGCAAACATCACAGAGAAGTTTCTGAGAATGCTTCTGTTTGATTTTATATGAAGAAATTCCCGTTTCCAACGAAATCTTCAAAGCTATCCAAATATCCACCTGCAGATTCTACAAAAGGATTGTTTCCAAAACGCTGTATCAAAACCAAGGTTCAACTCTGTTAGTTGAGGACACACATCACAAATAAGTTTCTGAGAATGCTTCTGTCTAGATTTTCTATGAAGATATCCCCTTTCCAACGAATCCCTCTAAGCTATCCAAATATCCACCTGCAGATTCTACAAAAAGAGTGTTTCCAAAATGCTGTATCAAAACAAAGTTTCAACTCTGTTAGTTGAGGACACACATCACAAATAAGTTTCTGAGGATGCTTCTGTCTAGTTTTCATTTGAAGATATTTCCTTTCTCCCCATAGGCCTGAAAGCGCTTGAATTGTCCGCTTCCAGATACTACAGAATGAGTGTTTCAAACCTGCTCTATCAAAGTGAATGTTCAATTCTGTGACTTCAATGCAAACATCACAAAGTAGTTCCTGATAATGCTTCTCTCTAGATTTTATACGTAATCCCGCTTCCAACGAAATCCTCAGAGCCATCCGAATATCCACTTTCTGATTCCACAAAAAGAGTGTTTTAAAACGGCTCTGTAAAAACAAAAGTTCAACTCTGTTAGTTGAATACACACATCACAAACAAGTTTCTGAGAATGCTTCTGTCTAGTTTTTATGGGAAGATATTTCCTTTTTCACCATAGGCCTCAAAGCGCTCGAAATGTCCACTTCCAGATAGTGCAGAAAGAGTGTTTCAAACGTGCTCTATAAAAGGGAATATTCAACTCTGTGACTTGAATGGAAACATCACAAAGCAGTTTCTGAGAATGCTTCCGTCTAGATTTTATATGAAGATATTCCCGTTTCCAACGAAATCTTCAAATCTATCTAAATATCAACTTGCAGATTCTACTAAAGGAATGTTTCCAAAATGCTGTATCCAAGCAATGGTTCAACTCTGTTAATTGAGGACATACAGCACAAAGAAGTTTCTGAGAATGCTTCTGTCTAGATTTTATACGAAGATATCCCGTTTGCAACGAAATCCTCAAAGCTATCCAAATATCCACTTGCAGATTCTACAAAAAGATTGTTTCAAAACTGCTGTGTCAAAAGGAAGGTTGAACTCTGTTACTTGAGTACACACATCAAAAAGAAGTTTCTGAGAATGCTTGTTTCTGGTTTTTATGAGAAGATATTTCCTTTTTCACCATAGGCCTCAAAGCGCTGCAAAGGTCCACTTCCAAATATTACAAAAAGAGTGTTTCAAACGTGCTCTATGAAAGGAAGTATTCAACTCTATGAGTGGAATGCAAACATCACAGAGAAGTTTCTGAGAATGCATCTGTCTTGAGTTTATATGAAGAAATTCCCGTTTCCAACGAAATCTTAAAATCTATCCAAATATCCACCTGCAGATTCTACAAAAGGAGTGTTTCCAAAATGCTGTATCAAAACAATGGTTCAACTGTGGTCGTTTAGGACACACATCACAAATAAGTTTCTGAGAATCCTTCTGTCTAGTTTTTATTTGAAGATATTTCCTTTCTCCCCATAGGCCTGAAAGCGCTTGAAATGTCCACTTCCAGATACTACAGAAAGAGTGTTTCAAACCTGCACTATGAAAAGGAATGTTCAATTCTGTGACTTGAATGCAAACATCAGAAAGAAGTTCCTGAGAATGCTTCTCTCTAGATTTTATACGTCATCCCGTTTCCAACGAAATCCACAAAGCTATCCAATTATCCACTTTCAGATTCCACAAAAAGAGTGTTTTAAAACTGCTCTCTAAAAAGAAATGTTCAACGCTCCTTAGTTGAATACACACATCTCAAACAAGTTTCTGAGAAGGCTTCTGTCTAGTTTTTATGGGAAGATATTTCCTTTTAACCATAGGCCTCAAAGAGCTCGAAATATCCACTTCCAGGTAGTGCCGAAAGAGTGTTTCAAACCTACTCTATAAAAGGGAATATTCAACTCTGTGACTTGAATGCAAACATCACAAAGCAGTTTCTGAGAATGCTTCCGTCTAGATTTTCTATGAAGATATTCCCGTTTCCAACGAAATCTTCAAAGCTATCTAAATATCAACTTGCAGATTCTACTAAAGGAATGTCTCCAAAATGCTGTATCCAAACAAAGGTTCAGCTCTGTGAATTGAGGACATACAGCACAAAGAAGTTTCTGAGAATGCTCCTGTCTGGATTTTATAGGAAGATAACCCGTTTCCAACGAAATCCTCAAAGCTATCCAAATATCCACTTGCAGATTCTACCAAAAGAGTGTTTCAAAACTGCTCTGTCAAAAGGAAGGTTCAACACTGTTACTTGAGTACACACAACACAAAGAAGTTTCTGAGAATGCTTCTTTCTGGTTTTTATGAGAAGATATTTCCTTTTTCACCATAGGCCTCAAAGCGCTCGAAATGTCCGCTTCCAGGTAGTGCAGAAAGAGTGTTTCAAACCTGCTCTATGAAAGGAAGTGTTCAACTCTACTGAGTTGAATGCAAACATCACAGAGATGTTTCCGAGAATGCTTCTGTCTTGATTTTATATGAAGATATTCCGGTTTCCAACGAAATCTTCAAAGCTATCCAAATATCCACCTGCAGATTCTACAAAAGGAGTGTTTCCAAAATGCTGTATCAAAACAAAGGTTCAACTCTGTTAGTTGAGGACACACATCACAAATAAGTTTCTGAGAATGCTTCTGTCTAGTTTTTATTTGAAGGTATTTCCTTTCTCTCCATAGGCCTGAAAGCGCTTGAAATGCCCACTTCCAGATACTAGAGAAAGAGTGTTTCAAACCTGCTCTATGAAAGGGAATGTTCAATTCTGTGACTTGAATGCAAACATCACAAAGAAGTTCCTGAGAATGCTTCTCTCTAGATATTATATGTCATCCCGTTTCCAACGAAATCCTCAAAGCTATCCAAATATCCACTTGCAGATTCTACAAAAAGAGTGTTTCAAAACTCCTCTGTCAAAAGGATGGTTCAACACTGTTACATGAGTACACACAACACAAAGAAGTTTCTGAGAATGCTTCTTTCTGGTTTCTATGAGAAGATATTTCCTTTTTCACCATAGGACTCAAAGCGCTCGAAATGTCCTCTTCCAGGTAGTGCAGAAAGAGTGTTTCAAACCGGCTCTATGAAAGGAAGTGTTCAACTCCATGAACTGAATGCAAACATCACTGAGAAGTTTCTGAGAATGCTTCTGTTTGATTTTATATGAAGAAATTCCCGTTTCCAACGAAATCTTCAGAGCTATCCACATATCCACCTGCAGATTCTACAAAAGGAGTGTTTCCAAAATGCTGTATCAAAACCAAGGTTCAACTCTGTTAGTTGAGGACACACATCACAAATAAGTTTCTGAGAATGCTTCTGTCTAGATTTTATATGAAGATATCCCCTTTCCAACGAATCCCTCTAAGCTATCCAAATATCCACCTGCAGATTCTACAAAAAGAGTGTTTCCAAAATGCTGTATCAAAACAAAGTTTCAACTCTGTTAGTTGAGGACACACATCACAAATAAGTTTCTGAGGATGCTTCTGTCTAGTTTTAATTTGAAGATATTTCCTTTCTCCCCATAGGCCTGAAAGCGCTTGAAATGTCCACTTCCAGATACTACAGAATGAGTGTTTCAAACCTGCTCTATCAAAGTGAATGTTCAATTCTGTGACTTCAATGCAAACATCACAAAGTAGTTCCTGAGAATGCTTCTCTCTACATTTTATATGTAATCCCGCTTCCAACGAAATCCTCAAAGCCATCCGAATATCCACTTTCTGATTCCACAAAAAGATTGTTTTAAAACTGCTCTGTAAAAACAAAAGTTCAAGTCTGTTAGTTGAATACACACATCACAAACAAGTTTCTGACAATGCTTCTGTCTAGTTTTTATGGGAAGATATTTCCTTTTTCACCATAGGCCTCAAAGCGCTCGAAATGTCCGCTTCCAGATAGTGCAGAAAGAGTGTTTCAAACGTGCTCTATAAAAGGGAATATTCAACTCTGTGACTTGAATGGAAACATCACAAAGCAGTTTCTGAGAATGCTTCCGTCTAGATTTTATATGAAGATATTCCTGTTTCCAACGAAATCTTCAAATCTATCTAAATATCAACTTGCAGATTCTACTAAAGGAATGTTTCCAAAATGCTGTATGCAAGCAATGGTTCAACTCTGTTAATTGAGGACATACAGCACAAAGAAGTTTCTGAGAATGCTTCTGTCTAGATTTTATATGAAGATATCCCGTTTCCAACGAAATCATCAAAGCTATCCAAATGTCCACTTGCAGATTCTACAAAAAGATTGTTTCAAAACTGCTGTGTCAAAAGGAAGGTTCAACTCTGATATTTGAGTACACACATGAAAAAGAAGTTTCTGAGAATGCTTGTTTCTGGTTTTTATGAGAAGATATTTCCTTTTTCACCATAGGCCTCAAAGCGCTGCAAAGTTCCACTTCCAAATATTACAAAAAGAGTGTTTCACACGTGCTCTATGAAAGGAAGTTTTCAACTCTATGAGTGGAATGCAAACATCACAGAGAAGTTTCTGAGAATGCATCTGTCTTGAGTTTATATGAAGAAATTCCCGTTTCCAATGAAATCTTAAAATCTATCCAAATATCCACCTGCAGATTCTACAAAAGGAGTGTTTCCAAAATGCTGTATCAAAACAAAGGTTCAACTGTGTTCGTTTAGGACACACATCACAAATAAGTTTCTGAGAATCCTTCTGTCTAGTTTTTATTTGAAGATATTTCCTTCCTCCTCAGAGGCCTGAAAGCGCTTGAAATGTCCCCTTCCAGATACTACAGAAAGAGTGTTTCAAACCTGCACTATGAAGAGGAATGTTCAATTCTGTGACTTGAATGCAAACATCAGAAAGAAGTTCCTGAGAATGCTTCTCTCTAGATTTTATTCGTAATCCCGTTTCCAACGAAATCCACAAAGCTATCCAGTTATCCACTTTCAGATTCCACAAAAAGAGTGTTTTAAAACTGCTCTGTAAAAAGAAATGTTCAACGCTCTTAGTTGAATACACACATCTCAAACAAGTTTCTGAGAAGGCTTCTGTCTAGTTTTTATGGGAAGATATTTCCTTTTAACCATAGGCCTCAAAGAGCTCGAAATATCCACTTCCAGGTAGTGCCGAAAGAGTGTTTCAAACCTACTCTATAAAAGGGAATATTCAACTCTGTGACTTGAATGCAAACATCACAAAGCAGTTTCTGAGAATGCTTCCGTCTAGATTTTCTATGAAGATATTCCCGTTTCCAACGAAATCTTCAAAGCTATCTAAATATCAACTTGCAGATTCTACTAAAGGAATGTCTCCAAAATGCTATATCCAAACAAAGGTTCAGCTCTGTGAATTGAGGAAATACAGCACAAAGAAGTTTCTGAGAATGCTCCTGTCTGGATTTTATATGAAGATAACCCGTTTCCAACGAAATCCTCAAAGCTCTCCAAATATCCACTTGCAGATTCTACCAAAAGAGTGTTTCAAAACTGCTCTGTCAAAAGGAAGGTTCAACACTGTTACTTGAGTACACACAACACAAAGAAGTTTCTGAGAATGCTTCTTTCTGGTTTTTATGAGAAGA
The DNA here is from genome assembly GCF_000001405.40 of Homo sapiens. NCBI lineage: Eukaryota > Metazoa > Chordata > Mammalia > Primates > Hominidae > Homo > Homo sapiens. The sequence goes on along the minus strand of NC_000004.12, from coordinate 51,533,691 downwards.
TATTTCCTTTTTCACCATAGGCCTCAAAGCGCTCGAAATGTCCGCTTCCAGGTAGTGCAGAAAGAGTGTTTCAAACCTGCTCTATGAAAGGAAGTGTTCAACTCTACTGAGTTGAATGCAAACATCACAGAGATGTTTCCGAGAATGCTTCTGTCTTGATTTTATATGAAGATATTCCGGTTTCCAACGAAATCTTCAAAGCTATCCAAATATCCACCTGCAGATTCTACAAAAGGAGTGTTTCCAAAATGCTGTATCAAAACAAAGGTTCAACTCTGTTAGTTGAGGACACACATCACAAATAAGTTTCTGAGAATGCTTCTGTCTAGTTTTTATTTGAAGGTATTTCCTTTCTCTCCATAGGCCTGAAAGCGCTTGAAATGCCCACTTCCAGATACTAGAGAAAGAGTGTTTCAAACCTGCTCTATGAAAGGGAATGTTCAATTCTGTGACTTGAATGCAAACATCACAAAGAAGTTCCTGAGAATGCTTCTGTCTAGATTTTATATGAAGATATCCCATTTCCAACGAAATCCTCAAAGCTATCCAAATATCCACTTGCAGATTCTACAAAAAGATTGTTTCAAAACTGCTCTGTCAAAAGGATGGTTCAACACTGTTACATGAGTACACACAACACAAAGAAGTTTCTGAGAACGCTTCTTTCTGGTTTCTATGAGAAGATATTTCCTTTTTCACCATAGGACTCAAAGCGCTCGAAATGTCCTCTTCCAGGTAGTGCAGAAAGAGTGTTTCAAACCGGCTCTATGAAAGGAAGTGTTCAACTCCATGAACTGAATGCAAACATCACTGAGAAGTTTCTGAGAATGCTTCTGTTTGATTTTATATGAAGAAATTCCCGTTTCCAACGAAATCTTCAAAGCTATCCACATATCCACCTGCAGATTCTACAAAAGGAGTGTTTCCAAAATGCTGTATCAAAACCAAGGTTCCACTCTGTTAGTTGAGGACACACATCACAAATAAGTTTCTGAGAATGCTTCTGTCTAGATTTTATATGAAGATATCCCCTTTCCAACGAATCCCTCTAAGCTATCCAAATATCCACCTGCAGATTCTACAAAAAGAGTGTTTCCAAAATGCTGTATCAAAACAAAGTTTCAACTCTGTTAGTTGAGGACACACATCACCAATTAGTTTGAGGATGCTTCTGTCTAGTTTTTATTCGAAGATATTTCCTTTCTCACCATAGGCCTGAAAGCGCTTGAAATGTCCACTTCCAGATCCTACAGAATGAGTGTTTCAAACCTGCTCTATCAAAGTGAATGTTCAATTCTGTGACTTCAATGCAAACATCACAAAGAAGTTCCTGAGAATGCTTCTCTCTAGATTTTATATGTAATCCCGCTTCCAACGAAATCCTCAGAGCCATCCGAATATCCACTTTCTGATTCCACAAAAAGAGTGTTTTAAAACGGCTCTGTAAAAACAAAAGTTCAACTACTGTTAGTTGAATACACACATCACAAACAAGTTTCTGAGAATGCTTCTGTCTAGTTTTTATGGGAAGATATTTCCTTTTTCACCATAGGCCTCAAAGCGCTCGAAATGTCCACTTCCAGATAGTGCAGAAAGAGTGTTTCAAACGTGCTCTATAAAAGAGAATATTCAACTCTGTGACTTGAATGGAAACATCACAAAGCAGTTTCTGAGAATGCCTCCCTCTAGATTTTATATGGAGATATTCCCTTTTCCAACGAAATCTTCAAATCTATCTAAATATCAACTTGCAGATTCTACTAAAGGAATGTTTCCAAAATGCTGTATCCAGGCAATGGTTCAACTCTGTTAATTGAGGACATACAGCACAAAGAAGTTTCTGAGAATGCTTCTGTCTAGATTTTATATGAAGATATCCCGTTTCCAACGAAATCCTCAAAGCTATCCAAATATCCACTTGCAGATTCTACAAAAAGATTGTTTCAAAACTGCTGTGTCAAGAGGAAGGTTCAACTCTGTTACTTGAGTACACACATCAAAAAGAAGTTTCTGAGAATGCTTGTTTCTGGTTTTTATGAGAAGATATTTCCTTTTTCACCATAGGCCTCAAAGCGCTGCAAATGTCCACTTCCAAATATTACAAAAAGAGTGTTTCAAACCTGCTCTATGAAAGGAAGTTTTCAACTCTATGAGTGGAATGCAAACATCACAGAGAAGTTTCTGAGAATGCATCTGTCTTGAGCGTCTATGAAGAAATTCCCGTTTCCAACGAAATCTTAAAATCTATCCAAATATCCACCTGCAGATCCTACAAAAGGAGTGTTTCCAAAATGCTGTATCAAAACAAAGGTTCAACTGTGTTCGTTTAGGACACACATCACAAATAAGTTTCTGAGAATCCTTCTGTCTAGTTTTTATTTGAAGATATTTCCTTTCTCCCCACAGGCCTGAAAGCGCTTGAAATGTCCACTTCCAGATACTACAGAAAGAGTGTTTCAAACCTGCACTATGAAAAGGAATGTTCAATTCTGTGACTTGAATGCAAACATCAGAAAGAAGTTCCTGAGAATGCTTCTCTCTAGATTTTATACGTCATCCCGTTTCCAACGAAATCCACAAAGCTATCCAATTATCCACTTTCAGATTCCACAAAAAGAGTGTTTTAAAACTGCTCTGTAAAAAGAAATGTTCAACGCTCTTAGTTGAATACACACATCTCAAACAAGTTTCTGAGAAGGCTTCCGTCTAGTTTTTATGGGAAGATATTTCCTTTTTCACCATAGGCCTCAAAGCGCTCGAAATCTCCACTTCCAGGGAGTGCAGAAAGAGTGTTTCAAACCTGCTCTGTAAAAGAATATTTAACTCTGTGACTTGAATGCAAACATCACAAAGCAGTTTCTGACAATGCTTCCGTCTAGATTTTATATGAAGATATTCCCGTTTCCAACGAAATCTTCAAATCTATCTAAATATCAACTTGCAGATTCTACTAAAGGAATGTTTCCAAAATGCTGTATCCAAGCAATGGTTCAACTTTGTTAATTGAGGACATATAGCACAAAGAAGTTTCTGACAATGCTTCTGTCTAGATTTTATATGAAGATATCCCGTTTGCAACGAAATCCTCAAAGCTATCCAAATATCCACTTGCAGATTCTACAAAAAGATTGTTTCAAAACTGCTGTGTCAAAAGGAAGGTTCAACTCTGTTACTTGAGTACACACATCAAAAAGAAGTTTCTGAGAATGCTTGTTTCTGGTTTTTATGAGAAGATATTTCCTTTTTCACCATAGGCCTCAAAGCGCTGCAAATGTCCACTTCCAAATATTACAAAAAGAGTGTTTCAAACGTGCTCTATGAAAGGAAGTTTTCAACTCTATGAGTGGAATGCAAACATCACAGAGAAGTTTCTGAGAATGCATCTGTCTTGAGTTTCTATGAAGAAATTCCCATTTCCAACGAAATCTTAAAATCTATCCAAATATCCACCTGCAGATTCTACAAAAGGAGTGTTTCCAAAATCCTGTATCAAAACAAAGGTTCAACTGTGTTCGTTTACGACACACATCACAAATAAGTTTCTGAGAATCCTTCTGTCTAGTTTTTAATTTGAAGGTATTTCCTTTCTCCCTATAGGCCTGAAAGCGCTTGAAATGTCCACTTCCAGATACTACAGAAAGAGTGTTTCAAACCTGCACTATGAAAAGGAATGTTCAATTCTGTGACTTGAATGCAAACATCAGAAAGAAGTTCCTGAGAATGCTTCTCTCTAGATTTTATTCGTAATCCCGTTTCCAACGAAATCCACAAAGCTATCCAGTTATCCACTTTCAGATTCCACAAAAAGAGTGTTTTAAAACTGCTCTGTAAAAAGAAATGTTCAACGCTCTTAGTTGAATACACACATCTCAAACAAGTTTCTGAGAAGGCTTCCGACTAGTTTTTCTGGGAAGATATTTCCTTTTTCACCATAGGCCTCAAAGCGCTCGAAATCTCCACTTCCAGGTAGTGCAGAAAGAGTGTTTCAAACCTGCTCTGTAAAAGACTATTTAACTCAGTGACTTGAATGCAAACATCACAAAGCAGTTTCTGACAATGCTTCCCTCTAGATTTTATATGGAGATATTCCCTTTTCCAACGAAATCTTCAAATCTATCTAAATATCAACTTGCAGATTCTACTCAAGGAATGTTTCCAAAATGCTGTATCCAGGCAATGGTTCAACTCTGTTAATTGAGGACATACAGCACAAAGAAGTTTCTGAGAATGCTTCTGTCTAGATTTTATATGAAGATATCCCGTTTCCAACGAAATCCTCAAAGCTATCCAAATATCCACTTGCAGATTCTACAAAAAGATTGTTTCAAAACTGCTGTGTCAAAAGGAAGGTTCAACTCTGTTACTTGAGTACACACATCAAAAAGCAGTTTCTGAGAATGCTTGTTTCTGGTTTTTATGAGAAGATATTTCCTTTTTCACCATAGGCCTCAAAGCGCTGCAAATGTCCACTTCCAAATATTACAGAAAGAGTGTTTCAAACCTGCTCTATGAAAGGAAGTTTTCAACTCTATGAGTGGAATGCAAACATCACAGAGAAGTTTCTGAGAATGCATCTGTCTTGAGTTTATATGAAGAAATTCCCGTTTCCAATGAAATCTTAAAATCTATCCAAATATCCACCTGCAGATTCTACAAAAGGAGTGTTTCCAAAATGCTGTATCAAAACAAAGGTTCAACTGTGTTCGTTTAGGACACACATCACAAATAAGTTTCTGAGAATCCTTCTGTCTAGTTTTTATTTCAAGATATTTCCTTTCTCCCCATAGGCCTGAAAGCGCTTGAAATGTCCACTTCCAGATACTACAGAGTGTTTCAAACCTGCACTATGAAAACGAATGTTCAATTCTGTGACTTGAATGCAAACATCAGAAAGAAGTTTCTGAGAATGCTTCTCTCTAGATTTTATACGTAATCCCGTTTCCAAAGAAATCCACAAAGCTATCCAATTATCCACTTTCAGATTCCACAAAAAGAGTGTTTTAAAACTGCTCTGTAAAAAGAAATGTTCAACGCTCTTAGTTGAATACACACATCTCAAACAAGTTTCTGAGAAGGCTTCTGTCTAGTTTTTATGGGAAGATATTTCCTTTTAACCATAGGCCTCAAAGAAGCTCGAAATATCCACTTCCAGGTAGTGCCGAAAGAGTGTTTCAAACCTACTCTATAAAAGGGAATATTCAACTCTGTGACTTGAATGCAAACGTCACAAAGCAGTTTCTGAGAATGCTTCCGTCTAGATTTTCTATGAAGATATTCCCGATTCCAACGAAATCTTCAAAGCTATCTAAATATCAACTTGCAGATTCTACTAAAGGAATGTTTCCAAAATACTGTATCCAAACAAAGGTTCAGCTCTGTGAATTGAGGACATACAGCACAAAGAAGTTTCTGAGAATGCTCCTGTCTGGATTTTATATGAAGATAACCCGTTTCCAACGAAATCCTCAAAGCTATCCAAATATCCACTTGCAGATTCTACCAAAAGAGTGTTTCAAACCTGCTCTGTCAAAAGGAAGGTTCAACACTGTTACTTGAGTACACACAACACAAAGAAGTTTCTGAGAATGCTTCTTTCTGGTTTTTATGAGAAGATATTTCCTTTTTCACCATAGGCCTCAAAGCGCTCGAAATGTCCGCTTCCAGGTAGTGCAGAAAGAGTGTTTCAAACCTGCTCTATGAAAGGAAGTGTTCAACTCTACTGAGTTGAATGCAAACATCACAGAGATGTTTCCGAGAATGCTTCTGTCTTGATTTTATATGAAGATATTCCGGTTTCCAACGAAATCTTCAAAGCTATCCAAATATCCACCTGCAGATTCTACAAAAGGAGTGTTTCCAAAATGCTGTATCAAAACAAAGGTTCAACTCTGTTAGTTGAGGACACACATCACAAATAAGTTTCTGAGAATGCTTCTGTCTAGTTTTTATTTGAAGGTATTTCCTTTCTCTCCATAGGCCTGAAAGCGCTTGAAATGCCCACTTCCAGATACTAGAGAAAGAGTGTTTCAAACCTGCTCTATGAAAGGGAATGTTCAATTCTGTGACTTGAATGCAAACATCACAAAGAAGTTCCTGAGAATGCTTCTCTCTAGATATTATATGTCATCCCGTTTCCAACGAAATCCTCAAAGCTATCCAAATATCCACTTGCAGATTCTACAAAAAGAGTGTTTCAAAACTCCTCTGTCAAAAGGATGGTTCAACACTGTTACATGAGTACACACAACACAAAGAAGTTTCTGAGAATGCTTCTTTCTGGTTTCTATGAGAAGATATTTCCTTTTTCACCATAGGACTCAAAGCGCTCGAAATGTCCTCTTCCAGGTAGTGCAGAAAGAGTGTTTCAAACCTGCTCTATGAAAGGAAGTGTACAACTCCATGAGCTGAATGCAAACATCACTGAGAAGTTTCTGAGAATGCTTCTGTTTGATTTTATATGAAGAAATTCCCGATTCCAACGAAATCTTCAAAGCTATCCACATATCCACCTGCAGATTCTACAAAAGGAGTGTTTCCAAAATGCTGTATCAAAACCAAGGTTCAACTCTGTTAGTTGAGGGCACACATCACAAATAAGTTTCTGAGAATGCTTCTGTCTAGATTTTATATGAAGATATCCCCTTTCCAACGAATCCCTCTAAGCTATCCAAATAGCCACCTGCAGATTCTACAAAAGGAGTGTTTCCAAAAGGCTGTATCAAAACAAAGTTTCAACTCTGTTAGTTGAGGACACACATCACAAATAAGTTTCTGAGGATGCTTCTGTCTAGTTTTTATTTGAAGATATCTCCTTTCTCACCATAGGCCTGAAAGCGCTTGAAATGTCCACTTCCAGATACTACAGAATGAGTGTTTCAACCCTGCTCTATAAAAGTGAATGTTCAATTCTGTGACTTCAATGCAAACATCACAAAGAAGTTCCTGAGAATGCTTCTCTCTAGATTTTATATGTAATCCCGCTTCCAACGAAATCCTCAGAGCCATCCGAATATCCACTTTCTGATTCCACAAAAAGAGTGTTTTAAAACGGCTCTGTAAAAACAAAAGTTCAACTCTGTTAGTTGAATACACACATCACAAACAAGTTTCTGAGAATGCTTCCGTCTAGTTTTTATGGGAAGATATTTCCTTTTTCACCATAGGCCTCAAAGCGCTCGAAATGTCCACTTCCAGATAGTGCAGAAAGAGTGTTTCAAACGTGCTCTATAAAAGGGAATATTCAACTCTGTGACTTGAATGGAAACATCACAAAGCAGTTTCTGAGAATGCTTCCCTCTAGATTTTATATGGAGATATTCCGTTTTCGAACGAAATCTTCAAATCTATCTAAATATCAACTTGCAGATTCTACTCAAGGAATGTTTCCAAAATGCTGTATGCAAGCAATGGTTCAACTCTGTTAATTGAGGTCATACAGCACAAAGAAGTTTCTGAGAATGCTTCTGTCTAGATTTTATATGAAGATATCCCGTTTCCAACGAAATCCTCAAAGCTATCCAAATATCCACTTGCAGATTCTACAAAAAGATTGTTTCAAAACTGCTGTGTCAAAAGGAAGGTTCAACTCTGTTACTTGAGTACACACATCAAAAAGAAGTTTCTGAGAATGCTTGTTTCTGGTTTTTATGAGAAGATATTTCCTTTTTCACCATAGGCCTCAAAGCGCTGCAAATGTCCACTTCCAAATATTACAAAAAGAGTGTTTCAAACCTGCTCTATGAAAGGAAGTTTTCAACTCTATGAGTGGAATGCAAACATCACAGAGAAGTTTCTGAGAATGCATCTGTCTTGAGTTTATATGCAGAAATTCCCGTTTCCAACGAAATCTTAAAATCTATCCAAATATCCACCTGCAGATCCTACAAAAGGAGTGTTTCCAAAATGCTGTATCAAAACAAAGGTTCAACTGTGTTCGTTTAGGACACACATCACAAATAAGTTTCTGAGAATCCTTCTGTCTAGTTTTTATTTGAAGATATTTCCTTTCTCCCCGTAGGCCTGAAAGCGCTTGAAATGTCCACTTCCAGATACTACAGAAAGAGTGTTTCAAACCTGCACTCTGAAAAGGAATGTTCAATTCTGTGACTTGAATGCAAACATCAGAAAGAAGTTCCTGAGAATGCTTCTCTCTAGATTTTATACGTCATCCCGTTTCCAACGAAATCCACAAAGCTATCCAATTATCCACTTTCAGATTCCACAAAGAGTGTTTTAAAATTGCTCTGTAACAGAAATGTTCAACTCTGTTAGTTGAATACACACATCACAAACAAGTTTCTGAGACGGCTTCTGTCTAGTTTTTATGGGAAGATATTTCCTTTTAACAATAGGCCTCAAAGAGCTCGAAATATCCACTTCCAGGTAGTGCCGAAAGAGTGTTTCAAACCTACTCTATAAAAGGGAATATTCAACTCTGTGACTTGAATGCAAACATCACAAAGCAGTTTCTGAGAATGCTTCCGTCTAGATTTTCTATGAAGATATTCCCGTTTCCAACGAAATCTTCAAAGCTATCTAAATATCAACTTGCAGATTCTACTAAAGGAATGTCTCCAAAATGCTGTATCCAAACAAAGGTTCAGCTCTGTGAATTGAGGACATACAGCACAAAGAAGTTTCTGAGAATGCTCCTGTCTGGATTTTATATGAAGATAACCCGTTTCCAACGAATTCCTCAAAGCTATCCAAATATCCACTTGCAGATTCTACCAAAAGAGTGTTTCAAAACTGCTCTGTCAAAAGGAAGGTTCAACACTGTTACTTGAGTACACACAACACAAAGAAGTTTCTGAGAATGCTTCTTTCTGGTTTTTATGAGAAGATATTTCCTTTTTCACCATAGGCCTCAAAGCGCTCGAAATGTCCGCTTCCAGGTAGTGCAGAAAGAGTGTTTCAAACCTGCTCTATGAAAGGAAGTGTTCAACTCTACTGAGTTGAATGCAAACATCACAGAGATGTTTCCGAGAATGCTTCTGTCTTGATTTTATATGAAGATATTCCGGTTTCCAACGAAATCTTCAAAGCTATCCAAATATCCACCTGCAGATTCTACAAAAGGAGTGTTTCCAAAATGCTGTATCAAAACAAAGGTTCAACTCTGTTAGTTGAGGACACACATCACAAATAAGTTTCTGAGAATGCTTCTGTCTAGATTTTATATGAAGATATCCCCTTTCCAACGAATCCCTCTAAGCTATCCAAATATCCACCTGCAGATTCTACAAAAAGAGTGTTTCCAAAATGCTGTATCAAAACAAAGTTTTAACTCTGTTAGTTGAGGACACACATCACAAATAAGTTTCTGAGGATGCTTCTGTCTAGTTTTTATTCGAAGATATTTCCTTTCTCACCATAGGCCTGAAAGCGCTTGAAATGTCCACTTCCAGATACTACAGAATGAGTGTTTCAAACCTGCTCTATCAAAGTGAATGTTCAATTCTGTGACTTCAATGCCAACATCACAAAGAAGTTCCTGAGAATGCTTCTCTCTAGATTTTATATGTAATCCCGCTTCCAACGAAATCCTCAGAGCCATCCGAATATCCACTTTCTGATTCCACAAAAAGAGTGTTTTAAAACGGCTCTGTAAAAACAAAAGTTCAACTCTGTTAGTTGAATACACACATCACAAACAAGTTTCTGAGAATGCTTCTGTCTAGTTTTTATGGGAAGATATTTCCTTTTTCACCATAGGCCTCAAAGCGCTCGAAATGTCCGCTTCCAGATAGTGCAGAAAGAGTGTTTCAAACGTGCTCTATAAAAGGGAATATTCAACTCTGTGACTTGAATGGAAACATCACAAAGCAGTTTCTGAGAATGCTTCCGTCTAGATTTTATATGAAGATATTCCCGTTTCCAACGAAATCTTCAAATCTATCTAAATATCAACTTGCAGATTCTACTAAAGGAATGTTTCCAAAATGCTGTATCCAAGCAATGGTTCAACTCTGTTAATTGAGGACATACAGCACAAAGAAGTTTCTGAGAATGCTTCTGTCTAGATTTTATATGAAGATATCCCGTTTCCAACGAAATCCTCAAAGCTCTCCAAATATCCACTTGCAGATTCTACAAAAAGATTGTTTCAAAACTGCTGTGTCAAAAGGAAGGTTCAACTCTGTTACTTGAGTACACACATCAAAAAGCAGTTTCTGAGAATGCTTTGTTTCTGGTTTTTATGAGAAGATATTTCCTTTTTCACCATAGGCCTCAAAGCGCTGCAAATGTCCACTTCCAAATATTACAAAAAGAGTGTTTCAAACCTGCTCTATGAAAGGAAGTTTTCAACTCTATGAGTGGAATGCAAACATCACAGAGAAGTTTCTGAGAATGCATCTGTCTTGAGTTTATATGCAGAAATTCCCGTTTCCAACGAAATCTTAAAATCTATCCAAATATCCACCTGCAGATCCTACAAAAGGAGTGTTTCCAAAATGCTGTATCAAAACAAAGGTTCAACTGTGTTCGTTTAGGACACACATCACAAATAAGTTTCTGAGAATCCTTATCTGTCTAGTTTTTATTTGAAGATATTTCCTTTCTCCCCATAGGCCTGAAAGCGCTTGAAATGTCCACTTCCAGATACTACAGAAAGAATGTTTCAAACCTGCACTATGAAAAGGAATGTTCAATTCTGTTACTTGAATGCAAACATCAGAAAGAAGTTCCTGAGAATGCTTCTCTCTAGATTTTATACGTCATCCCGTTTCCAACGAAATCCACAAAGCTATCCAATTATCCACTTTCAGATTCCACAAAGAGTGTTTTAAAATTGCTCTGTAACAGAAATGTTCAACTCTGTTAGTTGAATACACACATCACAAACAAGTTTCTGAGACGGCTTCTGTCTAGTTTTTATGGGAAGATATTTCCTTTTAACCATAGGCCTCAAAGAGCTCGAAATATCCACTTCCAGGTAGTGCCGAAAGAGTGTTTCAAACCTACTCTATAAAAGGGAATATTCAACTCTGTGACTTGAATGCAAACATCACAAAGCAGTTTCTGAGAATGCTTCCGTCTAGATTTTCTATGAAGATATTCCCGTTTCCAACGAAATCTTCAAAGCTATCTAAATATCAACTTGCAGATTCTACTAAAGGAATGTCTCCAAAATGCTGTATCCAAACAAAGGTTCAGCTCTGTGAATTGAGGACATACAGCACAAAGAAGTTTCTGAGAATGCTCCTGTCTGGATTTTATATGAAGATAACCCGTTTCCAACGAAATCCTCAAAGCTATCCAAATATCCACTTGCAGATTCTACCAAAAGAGTGTTTCAAAACTGCTCTGTCAAAAGGAAGGTTCAACACTGTTACTTGAGTACACACAACACAAAGAAGTTTCTGAGAATGCTTCTTTCTGGTTTTTAGGAGAAGATATTTCCTTTTTCACCATAGGCCTCAAAGCGCTCGAAATGTCCGCTTCCAGGTAGTGCAGAAAGAGTGTTTCAAACCTGCTCTATGAAAGGAAGTGTTCAACTCTACTGAGTTGAATGCAAACATCACAGAGATATTTCCGAGAATGCTTCTGTCTTGATTTTATATGAAGATATTCCGGTTTCCAACGAAATCTTCAAAGCTATCCAAATATCCACCTGCAGATTCTACAAAAGGAGTGTTTCCAAAATGCTGTATCAAAACAAAGGTTCAACTCTGTTAGTTGAGGACACACATCACAAATAAGTTTCTGAGAATGCTTCTGTCTAGTTTTTATTTGAAGGTATTTCCTTTCTCTCCATAGGCCTGAAAGCGCTTGAAATGCCCACTTCCAGATACTAGAGAAAGAGTGTTTCAAACCTGCTCTATGAAAGGGAATGTTCAATTCTGTGACTTGAATGCAAACATCACAAAGAAGTTCCTGAGAATGCTTCTGTCTAGATTTAATATGAAGATAACCCGTTTCCAACGAAATCTTCAAATCTATCCAAATGTCCACTGGCAGATTCTACAAAAAGAGTGTTTCAAAACTGCTCTGTCAAAAGGATGGTTCAACACTGTTACATGAGTACACACAACACAAAGGAGTTTCTGAGAACGCTTCATTCTGGTTTTTATGAGAAGATATTTCCTTTTTCACCATAGGCCTCAAAGCGCTCGAAATGTCCACTTCCAGGTAGTGCAGAAAGAGTGTTTCAAACCTGCTCTATGAAAGGAAGTGTTCAACTCCATGAGCTGAATGCAAACATCACAGAGAAGTTCCTGAGAATGCTTCTGTTTGATTTTATATGAAGAAATTCCCGTTTCCAACGAAATCTTCAAAGCTATCCACATATCCACCTGCAGATCCTTCAAAAGGAGTGTTTCCAAAATGCTGTATCAAAACCAAGGTTCAACTCTGTTAGTTGAGGACACACATCACAAATAAGTTTCTGAGAATGCCTTCTGTCTAGATTTTATATGAAGATATCCCCTTTCCAACGAATCCCTCTAAGCTATCCAAGTATCCACCTGCAGATTCTACAAAAAGAGTGTTTCCAAAATGCTGTATCAAAACAAAGTTTCAACTCTGTTAGTTGAGGACACACATCAGAAATAAGTTTCTGAGGATGCTTCTGTCTAGTTTTTATTTGAAGGTATTTCCTTTCTCACCATAGGCCTGAAAGCGCTTGAAATGTCCACTTCCAGATACTACAGAATGAGTGTTTCAAACCTGGTCTATAAAAGTGAATGTTCAATTCTGTGACTTCAATGCAAACATCACAAAGAAGTTCCTGAGAATGCTTCTCTCTAGATTTTATACGTAATCCCGCTTCCAACGAAATCCTCAGTAGCCATCCGAATATCCACTTTCTGATTCCACAAAAAGAGTGTTTTAAAACGGCTCTGTAAAAACAAAAGTTCAACTCTGTTAGTTGAATACACACATCACAAACAAGTTTCTGAGAATGCTTCCGTCTAGTTTTTATGGGAAGATATTTCCTTTTTCACCATAGGCCTCAAAGCGCTCGAAATCTCCACTTCCAGGGAGTGCAGAAAGAGTGTTTCAAACCTGCTCTATAAACGAATATTTAACTCTGTGACTTGAATGCAAACATCACAGAGCAGTTTCTGACAATGCTTCCGTCTAGATTTTTTATGAAGATATTCCCGTTTCCAACGAAATCTTCAAAGCTATCTAAATATCAACTTGCAGATTCTACTAAAGGAATGTTTCCAAAATGCTGTATCCAAACAAAGGTTCAACTCTGTGAATTGAGGACATACAGCACAAAGAAGTTTCTGAGAATGCTCCTGTCTGGATTTTATATGAAGATAACCCGTTTCCAACGAAATCCTCAAAGCTATCCAAATATCCACTTGCAGATTCTACCAAAAGAGTGTTTCAAAACTGCTCTGTCAAAAGGAAGGTTCAACACTGTTACTTGAGTACACACAACACAAAGAAGTTTCTGAGAATGCTTCTTTCTGGTTTTTATGAGAAGATATTTCCTTTTTCACCATAGGCCTCAAAGCGCTCGAAATGTCCGCTTCCAGGTAGTGCAGAAAGAGTGTTTCAAACCTGCTCTATGAAAGGAAGTGTTCAACTCTACTGAGTTGAATGCAAACATCACAGAGATGTTTCCGAGAATGCTTCTGTCTTGATTTTATATGAAGATATTCCGGTTTCCAACGAAATCTTCAAAGCTATCCAAATATCCACCTGCAGATTCTACAAAAGGAGTGTTTCCAAAATGCTGTATCAAAACAAAGGTTCAACTCTGTTAGTTGAGGACACACATCACAAATAAGTTTCTGAGAATGCTTCTGTCTAGTTTTTATTTGAAGGTATTTCCTTTCTCTCCATAGGCCTGAAAGCGCTTGAAATGCCCACTTCCAGATACTAGAGAAAGAGTGTTTCAAACCTGCTCTATGAAAGGGAATGTTCAATTCTGTGACTTGAATGCAAACATCACAAAGAAGTTCCTGAGAATGCTTCTCTCTAGATATTATATGTCATCCCGTTTCCAACGAAATCCTCAAAGCTATCCAAATATCCACTTGCAGATTCTACAAAAAGAGTGTTTCAAAACTGCTCTGTCAAAAGGATGGTTCAACACTGTTACATGAGTACACACAACACAAAGAAGTTTCTGAGAATGCTTCTTTCTGGTTTTTATGAGAGGATATTTCCTTTTTCACCATAGGCCTTAAAGCGCTCGAAATGTCCACTTCCAGGTAGTGCAGAAAGAGTGTTTCAAACCTGCTCTATGAAAGGAAGTGTTCAACTCCATGAGCTGAATGCAAACATCACAGAGAAGTTCCTGAGAATGCTTCTGTTTGATTTTATATGAAGAAATTCCCGTTTCCAACGAAATCTTCAGAGCTATCCACATATCCACCTGCAGATTCTACAAAAGGAGTGTTTCCAAAATGCTGTATCAAAACCAAGGTTCAACTCTGTTAGTTGAGGACACACATCACAAATAAGTTTCTGAGAATGCTTCTGTCTAGATTTTATATGAAGATATCCCCTTTCCAACGAATCCCTCTAAGCTATCCAAATATCCACCTGCAGATTCTACAAAAAGAGTGTTTCCAAAATGCTGTATCAAAACAAAGTTTCAACTCTGTTAGTTGAGGACACACATCACAAATAAGTTTCTGAGGATGCTTCTGTCTAGTTTTAATTTGAAGATATTTCCTTTCTCCCCATAGGCCTGAAAGCGCTTGAAATGTCCACTTCCAGATACTACAGAATGAGTGTTTCAAACCTGCTCTATCAAAGTGAATGTTCAATTCTGTGACTTCAATGCAAACATCACAAAGTAGTTCCTGAGAATGCTTCTCTCTAGATTTTATATGTAATCCCGCTTCCAACGAAATCCTCAAAGCCATCCGAATATCCACTTTCTGATTCCACAAAAAGATTGTTTTAAAACTGCTCTGTAAAAACAAAAGTTCAAGTCTGTTAGTTGAATACACACATCACAAACAAGTTTCTGAGAAGGCTTCTGTCTAGTTTTTATGGGAAGATATTTCCTTTTTCACCATAGGCCTCAAAGCGCTCGAAATGTCCACTTCCAGATAGCGCAGAAAGAGTGTTTCAAACGTGCTCTATAAAAGGGAATATTCAACTCTGTGACTTGAATGGAAACATCACAAAGCAGTTTCTGAGAATGCTTCCGTCTAGATTTTATATGAAGATATTCCCGTTTCCAACGAAATCTTCAAATCTATCTAAATATCAACTTGCAGATTCTACTAAAGGAATGTTTCCAAAATGCTGTATCCAAGCAATGGTTCAACTCTGTTAATTGAGGACATACAGCACAAAGAAGTTTCTGAGAATGCTTCTGTCTAGATTTTATATGAAGATATCCCGTTTCCAACGAAATCCTCAAAGCTATCCAAATATCCACTTGCAGATTCTACAAAAAGATTGTTTCAAAACTGCTGTGTCAAAAGGAAGGTTCAACTCTGTTACTTGAGTACACACATCAAAAAGAAGTTTCTGAGAATGCTTGTTTCTGGTTTTTATGAGAAGATATTTCCTTTTTCACCATAGGCCTCAAAGCGCTGCAAATGTCCACTTCCAAATATTACAGAAAGAGTGTTTCAAACCTGCTCTATGAAAGGAAGTTTTCAACTCTATGAGTGGAATGCAAACATCACAGAGAAGTTTCTGAGAATGCATCTGTCTTGAGTTTATATGCAGAAATTCCCGTTTCCAACGAAATCTTAAAATCTATCCAAATATCCACCTGCAGATCCTACAAAAGGAGTGTTTCCAAAATGCTGTATCAAAACAAAGGTTCAACTGTGTTCGTTTAGGACACACATCACAAATAAGTTTCTGAGAATCCTTCTGTCTAGTTTTTATTTGAAGATATTTCCTTTCTCCCCGTAGGCCTGAAAGCGCTTGAAATGTCCACTTCCAGATACTACAGAAAGAGTGTTTCAAACCTGCACTCTGAAAAGGAATGTTCAATTCTGTGACTTGAATGCAAACATCAGAAAGAAGTTCCTGAGAATGCTTCTCTCTAGATTTTATACGTCATCCCGTTTCCAACGAAACCCACAAAGCTATCCAATTATCCACTTTCAGATTCCACAAAAAGAGTGTTTTAAAATTGCTCTGTAACAGAAATGTTCAACTCTGTTAGTTGAATACACACATCACAAACAAGTTTCTGAGACGGCTTCTGTCTAGTTTTTATGGGAAGATATTTCCTTTTAACCATAGGCCTCAAAGAGCTCGAAATATCCACTTCCAGGTAGTGCCGAAAGAGTGTTTCAAACCTACTCTATAAAAGGGAATATTCAACTCTGTGACTTGAATGCAAACATCACAAAGCAGTTTCTGAGAATGCTTCCGTCTAGATTTTTTATGAAGATATTCCCGTTTCCAACGAAATCTTCAATGCTATCTAAATATCAACTTGCAGATTCTACTAAAGGAATGTTTCCAAAATGCTGTATCCAAGCAATGGTTCAACTCTGTTAATTGAGGACATACAGCACAAAGAAGTTTCTGAGAATGCTCCTGTCTGGATTTTATAGGAAGATAACCCGTTTCCAACGAAATCCTCAAAGCTATCCAAATATCCACTTGCAGATTCTACCAAAAGAGTGTTTCAAAACTGCTCTGTCAAAAGGAAGGTTCAACACTGTTACTTGAGTACACACAACACAAAGAAGTTTCTGAGAATGCTTCTTTCTGGTTTTTATGAGAAGATATTTCCTTTTTCACCATAGGCCTCAAAGCGCTCGAAATGTCCGCTTCCAGGTAGTGCAGAAAGAGTGTTTCAAACCTGCTCTATGAAAGGAAGTGTTCAACTCTACTGAGTTGAATGCAAACATCACAGAGATGTTTCCGAGAATGCTTCTGTCTTGATTTTATAGGAAGATATTCCGGTTTCCAACGAAATCTTCAAAGCTATCCACATATCCACCTGCAGATTCTACAAAAGGAGTGTTTCCAAAATGCTGTATCAAAACAAAGGTTCAACTCTGTTAGTTGAGGACACACATCACAAATAAGTTTCTGAGAATGCTTCTGTCTAGTTTTTATTTGAAGGTATTTCCTTTCTCTCCATAGGCCTGAAAGCGCTTGAAATGCCCACTTCCAGATACTAGAGAAAGAGTGTTTCAAACCTGCTCTATGAAAGGGAATGTTCAATTCTGTGACTTGAATGCAAACATCACAAAGAAGTTCCTGAGAATGCTTCTCTCTAGATATTATATGTCATCCCGTTTCCAACGAAATCCTCAAAGCTATCCAAATATCCACTTGCAGATTCTACAAAAAGAGTGTTTCAAAACTGCTCTGTCAAAAGGATGGTTCAACACTGTTACATGAGTACACACAACACAAAGAAGTTTCTGAGAATGCTTCTTTCTGGTTTCTATGAGAAGATATTTCCTTTTTCACCATAGGACTCAAAGCGCTCGAAATGTCCTCTTCCAGGTAGTGCAGAAAGAGTGTTTCAAACCTGCTCTATGAAAGGAAGTGTTCAACTCCATGAGCTGAATGCAAACATCACTGAGAAGTTTCTGAGAATGCTTCTGTTTGATTTTATATGAAGAAATTCCCGTTTCCAACGAAATCTTCAGAGCTATCCACATATCCACCTGCAGATTCTACAAAAGGAGTGTTTCCAAAATGCTGTATCAAAACCAAGGTTCAACTCTGTTAGTTGAGGACACACATCACAAATAAGTTTCTGAGAATGCTTCTGTCTAGATTTTATATGAAGATATCCCCTTTCCAACGAATCCCTCTAAGCTATCCAAATATCCACCTGCAGATTCTACAAAAAGAGTGTTTCCAAAATGCTGTATCAAAACAAAGTTTCAACTCTGTTAGTTGAGGACACACATCACAAATAAGTTTCTGAGGATGCTTCTGTCTAGTTTTAATTTGAAGATATTTCCTTTCTCCCCATAGGCCTGAAAGCGCTTGAAATGTCCACTTCCAGATACTACAGAATGAGTGTTTCAAACCTGCTCTATCAAAGTGAATGTTCAATTCTGTGACTTCAATGCAAACATCACAAAGTAGTTCCTGAGAATGCTTCTCTCTACATTTTATATGTAATCCCGCTTCCAACGAAATCCTCAAAGCCATCCGAATATCCACTTTCTGATTCCACGAAAAGATTGTTTTAAAACTGCTCTGTAAAAACAAAAGTTCAAGTCTGTTAGTTGAATACACACATCACAAACAAGTTTCTGAGAATGCTTCTGTCTAGTTTTTATGGGAAGATATTTCCTTTTTCACCATAGGCCTCAAAGCGCTCGAAATGTCCACTTCCAGATAGTGCCGAAAGAGTGTTTCAAACGTGCTCTATAAAAGGGAATATTCAACTCTGTGACTTGAATGGAAACATCACAAAGCAGTTTCTGAGAATGCCTCCATCTAGATTTTATATGAAGATATTCCCGTTTCCAACGAAATCTTCAAATCTATCTAAATATCAACTTGCAGATTCTACTAAAGGAATGTTTCCAAAATGCTGTATCCAAGCAATGGTTCAACTCTGTTAATTGAGGACATACAGCACAAAGAAGTTTCTGAGAATGCTTCTGTCTAGATTTTATATGAAGATATCCCGTTTCCAACGAAATCCTCAAAGCTATCCAAATATCCACTTGCAGATTCTACAAAAAGATTGTTTCAAAACTGCTGTGTCAAAAGGAAGGTTCAACTCTGTTACTTGAGTACACACATCAAAAAGAAGTTTCTGAGAATGCTTGTTTCTGGTTTTTATGAGAAGATATTTCCTTTTTCACCATAGGCCTCAAAGCGCTGCAAAGGTCCACTTCCAAATATTACAAAAAGAGTGTTTCAAACCTGCTCTATGAAAGGAAGTTTTCAACTCTATGAGTGGAATGCAAACATCACAGAGAAGTTTCTGAGAATGCATCTGTCTTGAGTTTCTATGCAGCAAATTCCCGTTTCCAATGAAATCTTAAAATCTATCCAAATATCCACCTGCAGATTCTACAAAAGGAGTGTTTCCAAAATGCTGTATCAAAACAAAGGTTCAACTGTGTTCGCTTAGGACACACATCACAAATAAGTTTCTGAGAATCCTTCTGTCTAGTTTTTATTTGAAGATATTTCCTTTCTCTCCATAGGCCTGAAAGAGCTTGAAATGTCCACTTCCAGATACTACAGAAAGAGTGTTTCAAACCTGCACTCTGAAAAGGAATGTCAATTCTGTGACTTGAATGCAAACATCAGAAAGAAGTTCCTGAGAATGCTTCTCTCTAGATTTTAAACGTAATCCCGTTTCCAACGAAATCCACAAAGCTATCCAATTATCCACTTTCAGATTCCACCAAAAGACTGTTTTAAAACTGCTCTGTAAAAAGAAATGTTCAACGCTCTTAGTTGAATACACACATCTCAAACAAGTTTCTGAGAAGGCTTCTGTCTAGTTTTTATGGGAAGATATTTCCTTTTAACCATAGGCCTCAAAGAGCTCGAAATATCCACTTCCAGGTAGTGCCGAAAGAGTGTTTCAAACCTACTCTATAAAAGGGAATATTCAACTCTGTGACTTGAATGCAAACATCACAAAGCAGTTTCTGAGAATGCTTCCGTCTAGATTTTCTATGAAGATATTCCCGTTTCCAACGAAATCTTCAAAGCTATCTAAATATCAACTTGCAGATTCTACTAAAGGAATGTCTCCAAAATGCTGTATCCAAACAAAGGTTCAGCTCTGTGAATTGAGGACATACAGCACAAAGAAGTTTCTGAGAATGCTCCTGTCTGGATTTTATAGGAAGATAACCCGTTTCCAACGAAATCCTCAAAGCTCTCCAAATATCCACTTGCAGATTCTACCAAAAGAGTGTTTCAAAACTGCTCTGTCAAAAGGAAGGTTCAACACTGTTACTTGAGTACACACAACACAAAGAAGTTTCTGAGAATGCTTCTTTCTGGTTTTTATGAGAAGATATTTCCTTTTTCACCATAGGCCTCAAAGAGCTCGAAATGTCCGCTTCCAGGTAGGGCAGAAAGAGTGTTTCAAACCTGCTCTATGAAAGGAAGTGTTCAACTCTACTGAGTTGAATGCAAACATCACAGAGATGTTTACCGAGAATGCTTCTGTCTTGATTTTATATGAAGATATTCCGGTTTCCAACGAAATCTTCAAAGCTATCCAAATATCCACCTGCAGATTCTACAAAAGGAGTGTTTCCAAAATGCTGTATCAAAACAAAGGTTCAACTCTGTTAGTTGAGGACACACATCACAAATAAGTTTCTGAGAATGCTTCTGTCTAGTTTTTATTTGAAGGTATTTCCTTTCTCTCCATAGGCCTGAAAGCGCTTGAAATGCCCACTTCCAGATACTAGAGAAAGAGTGTTTCAAACCTGCTCTATGAAAGGGAATGTTCAATTCTGTGACTTGAATGCAAACATCACAAAGAAGTTCCTGAGAATGCTTCTCTCTAGATATTATATGTCATCCCGTTTCCAACGAAATCCTCAAAGCTATCCAAATATCCACTTGCAGATTCTACAAAAAGAGTGTTTCAAAACTGCTCTGTCAAAAGGATGGTTCAACACTGTTACATGAGTACACACAACACAAAGAAGTTTCTGAGAATGCTTCTTTCTGGTTTCTATGAGAAGATATTTCCTTTTTCACCATAGGACTCAAAGCGCTCGAAATGTCCTCTTCCAGGTAGTGCAGAAAGAGTGTTTCAAACTTGCTCTATGAAAGGAAGTGTACAACTCCATGAGCTGAATGCAAACATCACTGAGAAGTTTCTGAGAATGCTTCTGTTTGATTTTATATGAAGAAATTCCCGTTTCCAACGAAATCTTCAGAGCTATCCACATATCCACCTGCAGATTCTACAAAAGGAGTGTTTCCAAAATGCTGTATCAAAACCAAAGTTCAACTCTGTTAGTTGAGGACACACATCACAAATAAGTTTCTGAGAATGCTTCTGTCTAGATTTTATATGAAGATATCCCCTTTCCAACGAATCCCTCTAAGCTATCCAAATATCCACCTGCAGATTCTACAAAAAGAGTGTTTCCAAAATGCTGTATCAAAACAAAGTTTCAACTCTGTTAGTTGAGGACACACATCACAAATAAGTTTGAGGATGCTTCTGTCTAGTTTTTATTCGAAGATATTTCCTTTCTCACCATAGGCCTGAAAGCGCTTGAAATGTCCACTTCCAGATACTACAGAATGAGTGTTTCAAACCTGCTCTATCAAAGTGAATGTTCAATTCTGTGACTTCAATGCAAACATCACAAAGAAGTTCCTGAGAATGCTTCTCTCTAGATTTTATATGCAATCCCGCTTCCAACGAAATCCTCAAAGCCATCCGAATATCCACTTTCTGATTCCACAAAAAGATTGTTTTAAAACTGCTCTGTAAAAACAAAATTTCAAGTCTGTTAGTTGAATACACACATCACAAACAAGTTTCTGAGAATGCTTCTGTCTAGTTTTTATGGGAAGATATTTCCTTTTTCACCATAGGCCTCAAAGCGCTCGAAATGTCCACTTCCAGATAGTGCAGAAAGAGTGTTTCAAACGTGCTCTATAAAAGAGAATATTCAACTCTGTGACTTGAATGGAAACATCACAAAGCAGTTTCTGAGAATGCCTCCCTCTAGATTTTATATGGAGATATTCCCTTTTCCAACGAAATCTTCAAATCTATCTAAATATCAACTTGCAGATTCTACTCAAGGAATGTTTCCAAAATGCTGTATCCAGGCAATGGTTCAACTCTGTTAATTGAGGACATACAGCACAAAGAAGTTTCTGAGAATGCTTCTGTCTAGATTTTATATGAAGATATCCCGTTTCCAACGAAATCCTCAAAGCTATCCAAATATCCACTTGCAGATTCTACAAAAAGATTGTTTCAAAACTGCTGTGTCAAAAGGAAGGTTCAACTCTGTTACTTGAGTACACACATCAAAAAGAAGTTTCTGAGAATGCTTTTTTCTGGTTTTTATGAGAAGATATTTCCTTTTTCACCATAGGTCTCAAAGCGCTGCAAATGTCCACTTCCAAATATTACAAAAAGAGTGTTTCAAACCTGCTCTATGAAAGGAAGTTTTCAGCTCTATGAGTGGAATGCAAACATCACAGAGAAGTTTCGGAGAATGCATCTGTCTTGAGTTTATATGAAGAAATTCCCGTTTCCAACGAAATCTTAAAATCTATCCAAATATCCACCTGCAGATTCTACAAAGGGAGTGTTTCCAAAATGCTGTATCAAAACAAAGGTTCAACTGTGTTCGTTTAGGACACACATCACCTATAAGTTTCTGAGAATCCTTCTGTCTAATTTTTATTTGAAGATATTTCCTTTCTCCCCATAGGCCTGAAAGCACTTGAAATGTCCACTTCCAGATACTACAGCAAGAGTGTTTCAAACCTGCACTATGAAAAGGAATGTTCAATTCTGTGACTTGAATGCAAACCTCAGAAAGAAGTTCCTGAGAATGCTTCTCTCTAGATTTTATACGTCATCCCGTTTCCAACGAAATCCACAAAGCTATCCAATTATCC
Source organism: Homo sapiens (assembly GCF_000001405.40). Lineage (NCBI taxonomy): Eukaryota > Metazoa > Chordata > Mammalia > Primates > Hominidae > Homo > Homo sapiens. The sequence continues at coordinate 51,511,191 of NC_000004.12, read as the reverse complement.
ACTTTCAGATTCCACAGAAAGAGTGTTTTAAAATTGCTCTGTAACAGAAATGTTCAACTCTGGTAGTTGAATACACACATCACAAACAAGTTTCTGAGACGGCTTCTGTCTAGTTTTTATGGGAAGATATTTCCTTTTAACCATAGGCCTCAAAGAGCTCGAAATATCCACTTCCAGGTAGTGCCGAAAGAGTGTTTCAAACCTACTCTATAAAAGGGAATATTCAACTCTGTGACTTGAATGCAAACATCACAAAGCAGTTTCTGAGAATGCTTCCGTCTAGATTTTCTATGAAGATATTCCCGTTTCCAACGAAATCTTCAAAGCTATCTAAATATCAACTTGCAGATTCTACTAAAGGAATGTCTCCAAAATGCTGTATCCAAACAAAGGTTCAGCTCTGTGAATTGAGGACATACAGCACAAAGAAGTTTCTGAGAATGCTCCTGTCTGGATTTTATAGGAAGATAACCCGTTTCCAACGAAATCCTCAAAGCTATCCAAATATCCACTTGCAGATTCTACCAAAAGAGTGTTTCAAAACTGCTCTGTCAAAAGGAAGGTTCAACACTGTTACTTGAGTACACACAACACAAAGAAGTTTCTGAGAATGCTTCTTTCTGGTTTTTATGAGAAGATATTTCCTTTTTCACCATAGGCCTCAAAGCGCTCGAAATGTCCGCTTCCAGGTAGTGCAGAAAGAGTGTTTCAAACCTGCTCTATGAAAGGAAGTGTTCAACTCTACTGAGTTGAATGCAAACATCACAGAGATGTTTCCGAGAATGCTTCTGTCTTGATTTTATATGAAGATATTCCGGTTTCCAACGAAATCTTCAAAGCTATCCACATATCCACCTGCAGATTCTACAAAAGGAGTGTTTCCAAAATGCTGTATCAAAACAAAGGTTCAACTCTGTTAGTTGAGGACACACATCACAAATAAGTTTCTGAGAATGCTTCTGTCTAGTTTTTATTTGAAGGTATTTCCTTTCTCTCCATAGGCCTGAAAGCGCTTGAAATGCCCACTTCCAGATACTAGAGAAAGAGTGTTTCAAACCTGCTCTATGAAAGGGAATGTTCAATTCTGTGACTTGAATGCAAACATCACAAAGAAGTTCCTGAGAATGCTTCTCTCTAGATATTATATGTCATCCCGTTTCCAACGAAATCCTCAAAGCTATCCAAATATCCACTTGCAGATTCTACAAAAAGAGTGTTTCAAAACTCCTCTGTCAAAAGGATGGTTCAACACTGTTACATGAGTACACACAACACAAAGAAGTTTCTGAGAATGCTTCTTTCTGGTTTCTATGAGAAGATATTTCCTTTTTCACCATAGGACTCAAAGCGCTCGAAATGTCCTCTTCCAGGTAGTGCAGAAAGAGTGTTTCAAACCTGCTCTATGAAAGGAAGTGTACAACTCCATGAGCTGAATGCAAACATCACTGAGAAGTTTCTGAGAATGCTTCTGTTTGATTTTATATGAAGAAATTCCCGTTTCCAATGAAATCTTCAGAGCTATCCACATATCCACCTGCAGATTCTACAAAAGGAGTGTTTCCAAAATGCTGTATCAAAACCAAGGTTCAACTCTGTTAGTTGAGGACACACATCACAAATAAGTTTCTGAGAATGCTTCTGTCTAGATTTTATATGAAGATATCCCCTTTCCAACGAATCCCTCTAAGCTATCCAAATATCCACCTGCAGATTCTACAAAAAGAGTGTTTCCAAAATGCTGTATCAAAACAAAGTTTCAACTCTGTTAGTTGAGGACACACATCACCAATTAGTTTCTGAGGATGCTTCTGTCTAGTTTTTATTCGAAGATATTTCCTTTCTCACCATAGGCCTGAAAGCGCTTGAAATGTCCACTTCCAGATACTACAGAATGAGTGTTTCAAACCTGCTCTATCAAAGTGAATGTTCAATTCTGTGACTTCAATGCAAACATCACAAAGAAGTTCCTGAGAATGCTTCTCTCTAGATTTTATATGTAATCCCGCTTCCAACGAAATCCTCAGAGCCATCCGAATATCCACTTTCTGATTCCACAAAAAGAGTGTTTTAAAACGGCTCTGTAAAAACAAAAGTTCAACTCTGTTAGTTGAATACACACATCACAAACAAGTTTCTGAGAATGCTTCCGTCTAGTTTTTACGGGAAGATATTTCCTTTTTCACCATAGGCCTCAAAGCGCTCGAAATCTCCACTTCCAGGGAGTGCAGAAAGAGTGTTTCAAACCTGCTCTATAAAAGAATATTTAACTCTGTGACTTGAATGCAAACATCACAGAGCAGTTTCTGACAATGCTTCCCTCTAGATTTTATATGGAGATATTCCCTTTTCCAACGAAATCTTCAAATCTATCTAAATATCAACTTGCAGATTCTACTCAAGGAATGTTTCCAAAATGCTGTATCCAGGCAATGGTTCAACTCTGTTAATTGAGGACATACAGCACAAAGAAGTTTCTGAGAATGCTTCTGTCTAGATTTTATATGAAGATATCCCGTTTCCAACGAAATCCTCAAAGCTATCCAAATATCCACTTGCAGATTCTACAAAAAGATTGTTTCAAAACTGCTGTGTCAAAAGGAAGGTTCAACTCTGTTACTTGAGTACACACATCAAAAAGAAGTTTCTGAGAATGCTTGTTTCTGGTTTTTATGAGAAGATATTTCCTTTTTCACCATAGGCCTCAAAGCGCTGCAAATGTCCACTTCCAAATATTACAAAAAGAGTGTTTCAAACCTGCTCTATGAAAGGAAGTTTTCAACTCTATGAGTGGAATGCAAACATCACAGAGAAGTTTCTGAGAATGCATCTGTCTTGAGTTTCTATGCAGAAATTCCCGTTTCCAACGAAATCTTAAAATCTATCCAAATATCCACCTGCAGATCCTACAAAAGGAGTGTTTCCAAAATGCTGTATCAAAACAAAGGTTCAACTGTGTTCGTTTAGGACACACATCACAAATAAGTTTCTGAGAATCCTTCTGTCTAGTTTTTATTTGAAGATATTTCCTTTCTCCCCACAGGCCTGAAAGCGCTTGAAATGTCCACTTCCAGATACTACAGAAAGAGTGTTTCAAACCTGCACTATGAAAAGGAATGTTCAATTCTGTGACTTGAATGCAAACATCAGAAAGAAGTTCCTGAGAATGCTTCTCTCCAGATTTTATATGTCATCCCGCTTCCAACGAAATCCTCAAAGCTATCCAAACTTCCACTTTCAGATTCCACAAAAAGAGTGTTTTAAAACTGCTCTGTAAAAAGAAATGTTCAACTCTCCTAGTTGAATACACACATCTCAAACAACTTTCTGAGAAGGCTTCCGTCTAGTTTTTATAGGAAGATATTTCCTTTTTCACCATAGGCCTCAAAGCGCTCGAAACGTCCACTTCCAGGAAGTCCGGAAAGAGTGTTTCAAACCTGCTCTATAAAAGCGAATATTCAACACTGTGACTTGAATGCAAACATCACAAAGCAGTTTCTGAGAATGCTTCCGTCTAGATTTTCTATGAAGATATTCCCGTTTCCAACGAAATCTTCAAAGCTATCTAAATATCAACTTGCAGATTCTACTAAAGGAATGTCTCCAAAATGCTGTATCCAAACAAAGGTTCAGCTCTGTGAATTGAGGACATACAGCACAAAGAAGTTTCTGAGAATGCTCCTGTCTGGATTTTATAGGAAGATAACCCGTTTCCAACGAAATCCTCAAAGCTATCCAAATATCCACTTGCAGATTCTACCAAAAGAGTGTTTCAAAACTACTCTGTCAAAAGGAAGGTTCAACACTGTTACTTGAGTACACACAACACAAAGAAGTTTCTGAGAATGCTTCTTTCTGGTTTTTATGAGAAGATATTTCCTTTTTCACCATAGGCCTCAAAGAGCTCGAAATGTCCGCTTCCAGGTAGGGCAGAAAGAGTGTTTCAAACCTGCTCTATGAAAGGAAGTGTTCAACTCTACTGAGTTGAATGCAAACATCACAGAGATGTTTCCGAGAATGCTTCTGTCTTGATTTTATAGGAAGATATTCCGGTTTCCAACAAAATCTTCAAAGCTATCCAAATATCCACCTGCAGATTCTACAAAAGGAGTGTTTCCAAAATGCTGTATCAAAACAAAGGTTCAACTCTGTTAGTTGAGGACACACATCACAAATAAGTTTCTGAGAATGCTTCTGTCTAGTTTTTATTTGAAGGTATTTCCTTTCTCTCCATAGGCCTGAAAGCGCTTGAAATGCCCACTTCCAGATACTAGAGAAAGAGTGTTTCAAACCTGCTCTATGAAAGGGAATGTTCAATTCTGTGACTTGAATGCAAACATCACAAAGAAGTTCCTGAGAATGCTTCTCTCTAGATATTATATGTCATCCCGTTTCCAACGAAATCCTCAAAGCTATCCAAATATCCACTTGCAGATTCTACAAAAAGAGTGTTTCAAAACTGCTCTGTCAAAAGGATGGTTCAACACTGTTACATGAGTACACACAACACAAAGAAGTTTCTGAGAATGCTTCTTTCTGGTTTCTATGAGAAGATATTTCCTTTTTCACCATAGGACTCAAAGCGCTCGAAATGTCCTCTTCCAGGTAGTGCAGAAAGAGTGTTTCAAACCTGCTCTATGAAAGGAAGTGTACAACTCCATGAGCTGAATGCAAACATCACTGAGAAGTTTCTGAGAATGCTTCTGTTTGATTTTATATGAAGAAATTCCCGTTTCCAACGAAATCTTCAGAGCTATCCACATATCCACCTGCAGATTCTACAAAAGGAGTGTTTCCAAAATGCTGTATCAAAACCAAGGTTCAACTCTGTTAGTTGAGGACACACATCACAAATAAGTTTCTGAGAATGCTTCTGTCTAGATTTTATATGAAGATATCCCCTTTCCAACGAATCCCTCTAAGCTATCCAAATATCCACCTGCAGATTCTACAAAAAGAGTGTTTCCAAAATGCTGTATCAAAACAAAGTTTCAACTCTGTTAGTTGAGGACACACATCACAAATAAGTTTCTGAGGATGCTTCTGTCTAGTTTTAATTTGAAGATATTTCCTTTCTCCCCATAGGCCTGAAAGCGCTTGAAATGTCCACTTCCAGATACTACAGAATGAGTGTTTCAAACCTGCTCTATCAAAGTGAATGTTCAATTCTGTGACTTCAATGCAAACATCACAAAGTAGTTCCTGAGAATGCTTCTCTCTACATTTTATATGTAATCCCGCTTCCAACGAAATCCTCAAAGCCATCCGAATATCCACTTTCTGATTCCACAAAAAGATTGTTTTAAAACTGCTCTGTAAAAACAAAAGTTCAAGTCTGTTAGTTGAATACACACATCACAAACAAGTTTCTGAGAATGCTTCCGTCTAGTTTTTATGGGAAGATATTTCCTTTTTCACCATAGGCCTCAAAGCGCTCGAAATCTCCACTTCCAGGGAGTTTAGAAAGAGTGTTTCAAACCTGCTCTATAAAAGAATATTTAACTCTGTGACTTGAATGCAAACATCACAGAGCAGTTTCTGACAATGCTTCCCTCTAGATTTTATATGGAGATATTCCCTTTTCCAACGAAATCTTCAAATCTATCTAAATATCAACTTGCAGATTCTACTCAAGGAATGTTTCCAAAATGCTGTATCCAGGCAATGGTTCAACTCTGTTAATTGAGGACATACAGCACAAAGAAGTTTCTGAGAATGCTTCTGTCTAGATTTTATATGAAGATATCCCGTTTCCAACGAAATCCTCAAAGCTATCCAAATATCCACTTGCAGATTCTACAAAAAGATTGTTTCAAAACTGCTGTGTCAAAAGGAAGGTTCAACTCTGTTACTTGAGTACACACATCAAAAAGAAGTTTCTGAGAATGCTTGTTTCTGGTTTTTATGAGAAGATATTTCCTTTTTCACCATAGGCCTCAAAGCGCTGCAAATGTCCACTTCCAAATATTACAAAAAGAGTGTTTCAAACCTGCTCTATGAAAGGAAGTTTTCAACTCTATGAGTGGAATGCAAACATCACAGAGAAGTTTCTGAGAATGCATCTGTCTTGAGTTTATATGCAGAAATTCCCGTTTCCAACGAAATCTTAAAATCTATCCAAATATCCACCTGCAGATCCTACAAAAGGAGTGTTTCCAAAATGCTGTATCAAAACAAAGGTTCAACTGTGTTCGTTTAGGACACACATCACAAATAAGTTTCTGAGAATCCTTCTGTCTAGTTTTTATTTGAAGATATTTCCTTTCTCCCCGTAGGCCTGAAAGCGCTTGAAATGTCCACTTCCAGATACTACAGAAAGAGTGTGTTTCAAACCTGCACTCTGAAAAGGAATGTTCAATTCTGTGACTTGAATGCAAACATCAGAAAGAAGTTCCTGAGAATGCTTCTCTCTAGATTTTATACGTCATCCCGTTTCCAACGAAATCCACAAAGCTATCCAATTATCCACTTTCAGATTCCACAGAAAGAGTGTTTTAAAATTGCTCTGTAACAGAAATGTTCAACTCTGGTAGTTGAATACACACATCACAAACAAGTTTCTGAGACGGCTTCTGTCTAGTTTTTATGGGAAGATATTTCCTTTTAACCATAGGCCTCAAAGAGCTCGAAATATCCACTTCCAGGTAGTGCCGAAAGAGTGTTTCAAACCTACTCTATAAAAGGGAATATTCAACTCTGTGACTTGAATGCAAACATCACAAAGCAGTTTCTGAGAATGCTTCCGTCTAGATTTTCTATGAAGATATTCCCGTTTCCAACGAAATCTTCAAAGCTATCTAAATATCAACTTGCAGATTCTACTAAAGGAATGTCTCCAAAATGCTGTATCCAAACAAAGGTTCAGCTCTGTGAATTGAGGACATACAGCACAAAGAAGTTTCTGAGAATGCTCCTGTCTGGATTTTATATGAAGATAACCCGTTTCCAACGAAATCCTCAAAGCTCTCCAAATATCCACTTGCAGATTCTACCAAAAGAGTGTTTCAAAACTGCTCTGTCAAAAGGAAGGTTCAACACTGTTACTTGAGTACACACAACACAAAGAAGTTTCTGAGAATGCTTCTTTCTGGTTTTTATGAGAAGATATTTCCTTTTTCACCATAGGCCTCAAAGCGCTCGAAATGTCCGCTTCCAGGTAGTGCAGAAAGAGTGTTTCAAACCTGCTCTATGAAAGGAAGTGTTCAACTCTACTGAGTTGAATGCAAACATCACAGAGATGTTTCCGAGAATGCTTCTGTCTTGATTTTATATGAAGATATTCCGGTTTCCAACGAAATCTTCAAAGCTATCCGAATATCCACCTGCAGATTCTACAAAAGGAGTGTTTCCAAAATGCTGTATCAAAACAAAGGTTCAACTCTGTTAGTTGAGGACACACATCACAAATAAGTTTCTGAGAATGCTTCTGTCTAGTTTTTATTTGAAGGTATTTCCTTTCTCTCCATAGGCCTGAAAGCGCTTGAAATGCCCACTTCCAGATACTAGAGAAAGAGTGTTTCAAACCTGCTCTATGAAAGGGAATGTTCAATTCTGTGACTTGAATGCAAACATCACAAAGAAGTTCCTGAGAATGCTTCTCTCTAGATATTATATGTCATCCTGTTTCCAACGAAATCCTCAAAGCTATCCAAATATCCACTTGCAGATTCTACAAAAAGAGTGTTTCAAAACTGCTCTGTCAAAAGGATGGTTCAACACTGTTACATGAGTACACACAACACAAAGAAGTTTCTGAGAATGCTTCTTTCTGGTTTCTATGAGAAGATATTTCCTTTTTCACCATAGGACTCAAAGCGCTCGAAATGTCCTCTTCCAGGTAGTGCAGAAAGAGTGTTTCAAACCGGCTCTATGAAAGGAAGTGTTCAACTCCATGAACTGAATGCAAACATCACTGGAGAAGTTTCTGAGAATGCTTCTGTTTGATTTTATATGAAGAAATTCCCGTTTCCAACGAAATCTTCAGAGCTATCCACATATCCACCTGCAGATTCTACAAAAGGAGTGTTTCCAAAATGCTGTATCAAAACCAAAGTTCAACTCTGTTAGTTGAGGACACACATCACAAATAAGTTTCTGAGAATGCTTCTGTCTAGATTCTATATGAAGATATCCCCTTTCCAACGAATCCCTCTAAGCTATCCAAATATCCACCTGCAGATTCTACAAAAAGAGTGTTTCCAAAATGCTGTATCAAAACAAAGTTTCAACTCTGTTAGTTGAGGACACACATCACAAATAAGTTTGAGGATGCTTCTGTCTAGTTTTTATTCGAAGATATTTCCTTTCTCACCATAGGCCTGAAAGCGCTTGAAATGTCCACTTCCAGATACTACCGAATGAGTGTTTCAAACCTGCTCTATCAAAGTGAATGTTCAATTCTGTGACTTCAATGCAAACATCACAAAGAAGTTCCTGAGAATGCTTCTCTCTAGATTTTATATGTAATCCCGCTTCCAACGAAATCCTCAGAGCCATCCGAATATCCACTTTCTGATTCCACAAAAAGAGTGTTTTAAAACGGCTCTGTAAAAACAAAAGTTCAACTCTGTTAGTTGAATACACACATCACAAACAAGTTTCCTGAGAATGCTTCCATCTAGTTTTTATGGGAAGATATTTCCTTTTTCACCATAGGCCTCAAAGCGCTCGAAATCTCCACTTCCAGGGAGTGCAGAAAGAGTGTTTCGAACCTGCTCTGTAAAAGATTATTTAACTCTGTGACTTGAATGCAAACATCACAAAGCAGTTTCTGACAATGCTTCCGTCTAGATTTTTTATGAAGATATTCCCGTTTCCAACGAAATCTTCAAAGCTATCTAAATATCAACTTGCAGATTCTACTAAAGGAATGTTTCCAAAATGCTGTATCCAAACAAAGGTTCAACTCTGTGAATTGAGGACATACAGCACAAAGAAGTTTCTGAGAATGCTCCTGTCTGGATTTTATATGAAGATAACCCGTTTCCAACGAATTCCTCAAAGCTCTCCAAATATCCACTTGCAGATTCTACCAAAAGAGTGTTTCAAAACTGCTCTGTCAAAAGGAAGGTTCAACACTGTTACTTGAGTACACACAACACAAAGAAGTTTCTGAGAATGCTTGTTTCTGGTTTTTATGAGAAGATATTTCCTTTTTCACCATAGGCCTCAAAGAGCTCGAAATGTCCGCTTCCAGGTAGTGCAGAAAGAGTGTTTCAAACCTGCTCTATGAAAGGAAGTGTTCAACTCTACTGAGTTGAATGCAAACATCACAGAGATGTTTCCGAGAATGCTTCTGTCTTGATTTTATATGAAGATATTCCGGTTTCCAACGAAATCTTCAAAGCTATCCAAATATCCACCTGCAGATTCTACAAAAGGAGTGTTTCCAAAATGCTGTATCAAAACAAAGGTTCAACTCTGTTAGTTGAGGACACACATCACAAATAAGTTTCTGAGAATGCTTCTGTCTAGTTTTTATTTGAAGGTATTTCCTTTCTCTCCATAGGCCTGAAAGCGCTTGAAATGCCCACTTCCAGATACTAGAGAAAGAGTGTTTCAAACCTGCTCTATGAAAGGGAATGTTCAATTCTGTGACTTGAATGCAAACATCACAAAGAAGTTCCTGAGAATGCTTCTCTCTAGATATTATATGTCATCCCGTTTCCAACGAAATCCTCAAAGCTATCCAAATATCCACTTGCAGATTCTACAAAAAGAGTGTTTCAAAACTCCTCTGTCAAAAGGATGGTTCAACACTGTTACATGAGTACACACAACACAAAGAAGTTTCTGAGAATGCTTCTTTCTGGTTTCTATGAGAAGATATTTCCTTTTTCACCATAGGACTCAAAGCGCTCGAAATGTCCTCTTCCAGGTAGTGCAGAAAGAGTGTTTCAAACCGGCTCTATGAAAGGAATGTTCAACTCCATGAACTGAAGGCAAACATCACTGAGAAGTTTCTGAGAATGCTTCTGTTTGATTTTATATGAAGAAATTCCCGTTTCCAACGAAATCTTCAAAGCTATCCACATATCCACCTGCAGATTCTTCAAAAGGAGTGTTTCCAAAATGCTGTATCAAAACCAAGGTTCAACTCTGTTAGTTGAGGACACACATCACAAATAAGTTTCTGAGAATGCTTCTGTCTAGATTCTATATGAAGATATCCCCTTTCCAACGAATCCCTCTAAGCTATCCAAATATCCACCTGCAGATTCTACAAAAAGAGTGTTTCCAAAATGCTGTATCAAAACAAAGTTTCAACTCTGTTAGTTGAGGACACACATCACAAATAAGTTTGAGGATGCTACTGTCTAGTTTTTATTCGAAGATATTTCCTTTCTCACCATAGGCCTGAAAGCGCTTGAAATGTCCACTTCCAGATACTACAGAATGAGTGTTTCAAACCTGCTCTATCAAAGTGAATGTTCAATTCTGTGACTTCAATGCAAACATCACAAAGAAGTTCCTGAGAATGCTTCTCTCTAGATTTTATATGTAATCCCGCTTCCAACGAAATCCTCAGAGCCATCCGAATATCCACTTTCTGATTCCACAAAAAGAGTGTTTTAAAACGGCTCTGTAAAAACAAAAGTTCAACTCTGTTAGTTGAATACACACATCACAAACAAGTTTCTGAGAATGCTTCCGTCTAGTTTTTATGGGAAGATATTTCCTTTTTCACCACAGGCCTCAAAGCGCTCGAAATCTCCACTTCCAGGGAGTGCAGAAAGAGTGTTTCAAACCTGCTCTGTAAAAGAATATTTAACTCTGTGACTTGAATGCAAACATCACAAAGCAGTTTCTGACAATGCTTCCGTCTAGATTTTTTATGAAGATATTCCCGTTTCCAACGAAATCTTCAAAGCTATCTAAATATCAACTTGCAGATTCTACTAAAGGAATGTTTCCAAAATGCTGTATCCAAACAAAGGTTCAACTCTGTGAATTGAGGACATACAGCACAAAGAAGTTTCTGAGAATGCTTCTGTCTGGATTTAATATGAAGATAACCCGTTTCCAACGAAATCCTCAAAGCTATCCAAATATCCACTTGCAGATTCTACAAAAAGAGTGTTTCAAAACTGCTCTGTCAAAAGGATGGTTCAACACTGTTACATGAGTACACACAACACAAAGAAGTTTCTGAGAACGCTTCTTTCTGGTTTTTATGAGAGGATATTTCCTTTTTCACCGTAGGCCTCAAAGCGGCTCGAAATGTCCACTTCCAGGTAGTGCAGAAAGAGTGTTTCAAACCTGCTCTATGAAAGGAAGTGTTCAACTCCATGAGCTGAATGCAAACATCACAGAGAAGTTCCTGAGAATGCTTCTGTTTGATTTTATATGAAGAAATTCCCGTTTCCAACGAAATCTTCAGAGCTATCCACATATCCACCTGCAGATTCTACAAAAGGAGTGTTTCCAAAATGCTGTATCAAAACCAAGGTTCAACTCTGTTAGTTGAGGACACACATCACAAATAAGTTTCTGAGAATGCTTCTGTCTAGATTTTATATGAAGATATCCCCTTTCCAACGAATCCCTCTAAGCTATCCAAATATCCACCTGCAGATTCTACAAAGAGTGTTTCCAAAATGCTGTATCAAAACAAAGTTTCAACTCTGTTAGTTGAGGACACACATCACAAATAAGTTTCTGAGGATGCTTCTGTCTAGTTTTTATTCGAAGATATTTCCTTTCTCACCATAGGCCTGAAAGCGCTTGAAATGTCCACTTCCAGATACTACAGAATGAGTGTTTCAAACCTGCTCTATAAAAGTGAATGTTCAATTCCGTGACTTCAATGCAAACATCAGAAAGAAGTTCCTGAGAATGCTTCTCTCTAGATTTTATACGTAATCCCGCTTCCAACGAAATCCTCAGAGCCATCCGAATATCCACTTTCTGATTCCACAAAAAGAGTGTTTTAAAACGGCTCTGTAAAAACAAAAGTTCAACTCTGTTAGTTGAATACACACATCACAAACAAGTTTCTGAGAATGCTTCTGTCTAGTTTTTATGGGAAGATATTTCCTTTTTCACCATAGGCCTCAAAGCGCTCGAAATGTCCACTTCCAGATAGTGCAGAAAGAGTGTTTCAAACGTGCTCTATAAAAGGGAATATTCAACTCTGTGACTTGAATGGAAACATCACAAAGCAGTTTCTGAGAATGCTTCCCTCTTGATTTTATATGGAGATATTCCCTTTTCCAACGAAATCTTCAAATCTATCTAAATATCAACTTGCAGATTCTACTCAAGGAATGTTTCCAAAATGCTGTATCCAAGCAATGGTTCAACTCTGTTAATTGAGGACATACAGCACAAAGAAGTTCCTGAGAATGCTTCTGTCTAGATTTTATATGAAGATATCCCGTTTCCAACGAAATCCTCAAAGCTATCCAAATATCCACTTGCAGATTCTACAAAAAGATTGTTTCAAAACTGCTGTGTCAAAAGGAAGGTTCAACTCTGTTACTTGAGTACACACATCAAAAAGCAGTTTCTGAGAATGCTTGTTTCCGGTTTTTATGAGAAGATATTTCCTTTTTCACCATAGGCCTCAAAGCGCTGCAAATGTCCACTTCCAAATATTACAAAAAGAGTGTTTCAAACCTGCTCTATGAAAGGAAGTTTTCAACTCTATGAGTGGAATGCAAACATCACAGAGAAGTTTCTGAGAATGCATCTGTCTTGAGTTTCTATGCAGAAATTCCCGTTTCCAACGAAATCTTAAAATCTATCCAAATATCCACCTGCAGATCCTACAAAAGGAGTGTTTCCAAAATGCTGTATCAAAACAAAGGTTCAACTGTGTTCGTTTAGGACACACATCACAAATAAGTTTCTGAGAATCCTTCTGTCTAGTTTTTATTTGAAGATATTTCCTTCCTCCCCCAGAGGCCTGAAAGCGCTTCAAATGTCCCCTTCCAGATACTACAGAAAGAGTGTTTCAAACCTGCACTATGAAAAGGAATGTTCAATTCTGTGACTTGAATGCAAACATCAGAAAGAAGTTCCTGAGAATGCTTCTCTCTAGATTTTATTCGTAATCCCGTTTCCAACGAAATCCACAAAGCTATCCAGTTATCCACTTTCAGATTCCACAAAAAGAGTGTTTTAAAACTGCTCTGTACAAAGAAATGTTCAACGCTCTTAGTTGAATACACACATCTCAAACAAGTTTCTGAGAAGGCTTCCGTCTAGTTTTTATGGGAAGATATTTCCTTTTTCACCATAGGCCTCAAAGCGCTCGAAATCTCCACTTCCAGGTAGTGTAGAAAGAGTGTTTCAAACCTGCTCTATAAAAGACTATTTAACTCAGTGACTTGAATGCAAACATCACAAAGCAGTTTCTGACAATGCTTCCGTCTAGATTTTTTATGAAGATATTCCCGTTTCCAACGAAATCTTCAAAGCTATCTAAATATCCACTTGCAGATCCTACTAAAGGAATGTTTCCAAAATGCTGTATCCAAACAAAGGTTCAACTCTGTGAATTGAGGACATACAGCACAAAGAAGTTTCTCAGAATGCTCCTGTCTGGATTTTATAGGAAGATAACCCGTTTCCAACGAAATCCTCAAAGCTCTCCAAATATCCACTTGCAGATTCTACCAAAAGAGTGTTTCAAAACTGCTCTGTCAAAAGGAAGGTTCAACACTGTTACTTGAGTACACACAACACAAAGAAGTTTCTGAGAATGCTTCTTTCTGGTTTTTATGAGAAGATATTTCCTTTTTCACCATAGGCCTCAAAGCGCTCGAAATGTCCGCTTCCAGGTAGTGCAGACAGAGTGTTTCAAACCTGCTCTATGAAAGGAAGTGTTCAACTCTACTGAGTTGAATGCAAACATCACAGAGATGTTTCCGAGAATGCTTCTGTCTTGATTTTATATGAAGATATTCCGGTTTCCAACGAAATCTTCAAAGCTATCCAAATATCCACCTGCAGATTCTACAAAAGGAGTGTTTCCAAAATGCTGTATCAAAACAAAGGTTCAACTCTGTTAGTTGAGGACACACATCACAAATAAGTTTCTGAGAATGCTTCTGTCTAGTTTTTATTTGAAGGTATTTCCTTTCTCTCCATAGGCCTGAAAGCGCTTGAAATGCCCACTTCCAGATACTAGAGAAAGAGTGTTTCAAACCTGCTCTATGAAAGGGAATGTTCAATTCTGTGACTTGAATGCAAACATCACAAAGAAGTTCCTGAGAATGCTTCTCTCTAGATATTATATGTCATCCCGTTTCCAACGAAATCCTCAAAGCTATCCAAATATCCACTTGCAGATTCTACAAAAAGAGTGTTTCAAAACTGATCTGTCAAAAGGATGGTTCAACACTGTTACATGAGTACACACAACACAAAGAAGTTTCTGAGAATGCTTCTTTCTGGTTTCTATGAGAAGATATTTCCTTTTTCACCATAGGACTCAAAGCGCTCGAAATGTCCTCTTCCAGGTAGTGCAGAAAGAGTGTTTCAAACCTGCTCTATGAAAGGAAGTGTTCAACTCCATGAGCTGAATGCAAACATCACTGAGAAGTTTCTAAGAATGCTTCTGTTTGATTTTATATGAAGAAATTCCCGTTTCCAACGAAATCTTCAGAGCTATCCACATATCCACCTGCAGATTCTACAAAAGGAGTGTTTCCAAAATGCTGTATCAAAACCAAGGTTCAACTCTGTTAGTTGAGGACACACATCACAAATAAGTTTCTGAGAATGCTTCTGTCTAGATTTTATATGAAGATATCCCCTTTCCAACGAATCCCTCTAAGCTATCCAAATATCCACCTGCAGATTCTACAAAAAGAGTGTTTCCAAAATGCTGTATCAAAACAAAGTTTCAACTCTGTTAGTTGAGGACACACATCACAAATAAGTTTGAGGATGCTTCTGTCTAGTTTTTATTCGAAGATATTTCCTTTCTCACCATAGGCCTGAAAGCGCTTGAAATGTCCACTTCCAGATACTACAGAATGAGTGTTTCAAACCTGCTCTATAAAAGTGAATGTTCAATTCTGTGACTTCAATGCAAATATCAGAAAGAAGTTCCTGAGAATGCTTCTCTCTAGATTTTATATGTAATCCCGCTTCCAACGAAATCCTCAGAGCCATCCGAATATCCACTTTCTGATTCCACAAAAAGAGTGTTTTAAAACGGCTCTGTAAAAACAAAAGTTCAACTCTGTTAGTTGAATACACACATCACAAACAAGTTTCTGAGAATGCTTCTGTCTAGTTTATATGGGAAGATATTTCCTTTTTCACCATAGGCCTCAAAGCGCTCGAAATGTCCACTTCCAGATAGTGCAGAAAGAGTGTTTCAAACGTGCTCTATAAAAGAGAATATTCAACTCTGTGACTTGAATGGAAACATCACAAAGCCGTTTCTGAGAATGCCTCCCTCTAGATTTTATATGGAGATATTCCCTTTTCCAACGAAATCTTCAAATCTATCTAAATATCAACTTGCAGATTCTACTCAAGGAATGTTTCCAAAATGCTGTATCCAAGCAATGGTTCAACTCTGTTAATTGAGGACATACAGCACAAAGAAGTTTCTGAGAATGCTTCTGTCTAGATTTTATATGAAGATATCCCGTTTCCAACGAAATCCTCAAAGCTATCCAAATATCCACTTGCAGATTCTACAAAAAGATTGTTTCAAAACTGCTGTGTCAAAAGGAAGGTTCAACTCTGTTACTTGAGTACACACATCAAAAAGAAGTTTCTGAGAATGCTTGTTTCTGGTTTTTATGAGAAGATATTTCCTTTTTCACCATAGGCCTCAAAGCGCTGCAAATGTCCACTTCCAAATATTACAAAAAGAGTGTTTCAAACCTGCTCTATGAAAGGAAGTTTTCAACTCTATGAGTGGAATGCAAACATCACAGAGAAGTTTCTGAGAATGCATCTGTCTTGAGTTTCTATGCAGAAATTCCCGTTTCCAATGAAATCTTAAAATCTATCCAAATATCCACCTGCAGATTCTACAAAAGGAGTGTTTCCAAAATGCTGTATCAAAACAAAGGTTCAACTGTGTTCGCTTAGGACACACATCACAAATAAGTTTCTGAGAATCCTTCTGTCTAGTTTTTATTTGAAGATATTTCCTTCCTCCCCAGAGGCCTGAAAACACTTGAAATGTCCCCTTCCAGATACTACAGAAAGAGTGTTTCAAACCTGCACTATGAAAAGGAATGTTCAATTCTGTGACTTGAATGCAAACATCAGAAAGAAGTTCCTGAGAATGCTTCTCTCTAGATTTTATACGTCATCCCGTTTCCAACGAAATCCACAAAGCTATCCAATTATCCACTTTCAGATTCCACAAAAAGAGTGTTTTAAAACTGCTCTGTAAAAAGAAATGTTCAACGCTCTTAGTTGAATACACACATCTCAAACAAGTTTCTGAGAAGGCTTCCGTCTAGTTTTTATGGGAAGATATTTCCTTTTTCACCATAGGCCTCAAAGCGCTCGAAATCTCCACTTCCAGGGAGTGGAGAAAGAGTGTTTCAAACCTGCTCTGTAAAAGAATATTTAACTCTGTGACTTGAATTTAAACATCACAAAGCAGTTTCTGGCAATGCTTCCGTCTAGATTTTTTATGAAGATATTCCCGTTTCCAACGAAATCTTCAAAGCTGTCTAAATATCAACTTGCAGATTCTACTAAAGGAATGTTTCCAAAATGCTGTATCCAAACAAAGGTTCAACTCTGTGAATTGAGGACATACAGCACAAAGAAGTTTCTGAGAATGCTTCCTGTCTGGTATTTTATATGAAGATAACCCGTTTCCAACGAAATCCTCAAAGCTATCCAAATATCCACTTGCAGATTCTACCAAAAGAGTGTTTCAAAACTGCTCTGTCAAAAGGAAGGTTCAACACTGTTACTTGAGTACACACAACACAAAGAAGTTTCTGAGAATGCTTCTTTCTGGTTTTTATGAGAAGATATTTCCTTTTTCACCATAGGCCTCAAAGAGCTCGAAATGTCCGCTTCCAGGTAGGGCAGAAAGAGTGTTTCAAACCTGCTCTATGAAAGGAAGTGTTCAACTCTACTGAGTTGAATGCAAACATCACAGAGATGTTTCCGAGAATGCTTCTGTCTTGATTTTATAGGAAGATATTCCGGTTTCCAACGAAATCTTCAAAGCTATCCAAATATCCACCTGCAGATTCTACAAAAGGAGTGTTTCCAAAATGCTGTATCAAAACAAAGGTTCAACTCTGTTAGTTGAGGACACACATCACAAATAAGTTTCTGAGAATGCTTCTGTCTAGTTTTTATTTGAAGGTACTTCCTTTCTCTCCATAGGCCTGAAAGCGCTTGAAATGCCCACTTCCAGATACTAGAGAAAGTGTTTCAAACCTGCTCTATGAAAGGGAATGTTCAATTCTGTGACTTGAATGCAAACATCACAAAGAAGTTCCTGAGAATGCTTCTGTCTAGATTTAATATGAAGATAACCCGTTTCCAACGAAATCCTCAAAGCTATCCAAATATCCACTTGCAGATTCTACAAAAAGAGTGTTTCAAAACTGCTCTGTCAAAAGGATGGTTCAACACTGTTACATGAGTACACACAACACAAAGAAGTTTCTGAGAACGCTTCTTTCTGGTTTTTATGAGAAGATATTTCCTTTTTCACCATAGGCCTCAAAGCGCTCGAAATGTCCACTTCCTGGTAGTGCAGAAAGAGTGTTTCAAAGCTGCTCTCTGAAAGGAAGTGTTCAACTCCATGAGCTGAATGGATACATCACAGAGAAGTTTCTGAGAATGCTTCTGTTTGATTTTATATGAAGAAATTCCCGTTTCCAACGAAATCTTCAGAGCTATCCACATATCCACCTGCAGATTCTACAAAAGGAGTGTTTCCAAAATGCTGTATCAAAACCAAGGTTCAACTCTGTTAGTTGAGGACACACATCACAAATAAGTTTCTGAGAATGCTTCTGTCTAGATTTTATATGAAGATATCCCCTTTCCAACGAATCCCTCTAAGCTATCCAAATATCCACCTGCAGATTCTACAAAAAGAGTGTTTCCAAAATGCTGTATCAAAACAAAGTTTCAACTCTGTTAGTTGAGGACACACATCACAAATAAGTTTCTGAGAATGCTTCTGTCTAGTTTTAATTTGAAGATATTTCCTTTCTCCCCATAGGCCTGAAAGCGCTTGAAATGTCCACTTCCAGATACTACAGCATGAGTGTTTCAAACCTGCTCTATCAAAGTGAATGTTCAATTCTGTGACTTCAATGCAAACATCACAAAGTAGTTCCTGAGAATGCTTCTCTCTAGATTTTATACGTAATCCCGCTTCCAACGAAATCCTCAGAGCCATCCGAATATCCACTTTCTGATTCCACAAAAAGAGTGTTTTAAAACGGCTCTGTAAAAACAAAAGTTCAACTCTGTTAGTTGAATACACACATCACAAACAAGTTTCTGAGAATGCTTCTGTCTAGTTTTTATGGGAAGATATTTCCTTTTTCACCATAGGCCTCAAAGCGCTCGAAATGTCCGCTTCCAGATAGTGCAGAAAGAGTGTTTCAAACGTGCTCTATAAAAGGGAATATTCAACTCTGTGACTTGAATGGAAACATCACAAAGCAGTTTCTGAGAATGCTTCCCTCTAGATTTTATATGGAGATATTCCCTTTTCCAACGAAATCTTCAAATCTATCTAAATATCAACTTGCAGATTCTACTCAAGGAATGTTTCCAAAATGCTGTATCCAGGCAATGGTTCAACTCTGTTAATTGAGGACATACAGCACAAAGAAGTTTCTGAGAATGCTTCTGTCTAGATTTTATATGAAGATATCCCGTTTCCAACGAAATCCTCAAAGCTATCCAAATATCCACTTGCAGATTCTACAAAAAGATTGTTTCAAAACTGCTGTGTCAAGAGGAAGGTTCAACTCTGTTACTTGAGTACACACATCAAAAAGAAGTTTCTGAGAATGCTTGTTTCTGTTTTTTATGAGAAGATATTTCCTTTTTCACCATAGGCCTCAAAGCGCTGCAAATGTCCACTTCCAAATATTACAAAAAGAGTGTTTCAAACCTGCTCTATGAAAGGAAGTTTTCAACTCTGTGAGTTGAATGCAAACATCACAGAGAAGTTTCTGAGAATGCATCTGTCTTGAGCTTCTATGAAGAAATTCCCGTTTCCAACGAAATCTTAAAATCTATCCAAATATCCACCTGCAGATCCTACAAAAGGAGTGTTTCCAAAATGCTGTATCAAAACAAAGGTTCAACTGTGTTCGTTTAGGACACACATCACAAATAAGTTTACTGAGAATCCTTCTGTCTAGTTTTTATTTGAAGATATTTCCTTTCTCCCCGTAGGCCTGAAAGCGCTTGAAATGTCCACTTCCAGATACTACAGAAAGAGTGTTTCAAACCTGCACTCTGAAAAGGAATGTTCAATTCTGTGACTTGAATGCAAACATCAGAAAGAAGTTCCTGAGAATACTTCTCTCTAGATTTTATACGTCATCCCGTTTCCAACGAAATCCACAAAGCTATCCAATTATCCACTTTCAGATTCCACAAAAAGAGTGTTTTAAAACTGCTCTGTAAAAAGAAATGTTCAACGCTCTTAGTTGAATACACACATCTCAAACAAGTTTCTGAGAAGGCTTCCGTCTAGTTTTTATGGGAAGATATTTCCTTTTTCACCATAGGCCTCAAAGCGCTCGAAATCTCCACTTCCAGGGAGTGCAGAAAGAGTGTTTCAAACCTGCTCTATAAAAGAATACTTAACTCTGTGACTTGAATGCAAACATCACAGAGCAGTTTCTGACAATGCTTCCGTCTAGATTTTTTATGAAGATATTCCCGTTTCCAACGAAATCTTCAAAGCTATCTAAATATCAACTTGCAGATTCTACTAAAGGAATGTTTCCAAAATGCTGTATCCAAACAAAGGTTCAACTCTGTGAATTGAGGACATACAGCACAAAGAAGTTTCTGAGAATGCTCCTGTCTGGATTTTATAGGAAGATAACCCGTTTCCAACGAAATCCTCAAAGCTCTCCAAATATCCACTTGCAGATTCTACCAAAAGAGTGTTTCAAAACTGCTCTGTCAAAAGGAAGGTTCAACACTGTTACTTGAGTACACACAACACAAAGAAGTTTCTGAGAATGCTTCTTTCTGGTTTTTATGAGAAGATATTTCCTTTTTCACCATAGGCCTCAAAGCGCTCGAAATGTCCGCTTCCAGGTAGTGCAGAAAGAGTGTTTCAAACCTGCTCTATGAAAGGAAGTGTTCAACTCTACTGAGTTGAATGCAAACATCACAGAGATGTTTCCGAGAATGCTTCTGTCTTGATTTTATATGAAGATATTCCGGTTTCCAACGAAATCTTCAAAGCTATCCAAATATCCACCTGCAGATTCTACAAAAGGAGTGTTTCCAAAATGCTGTATCAAAACAAAGGTTCAACTCTGTTAGTTGAGGACACACATCACAAATAAGTTTCTGAGAATGCTTCTGTCTAGTTTTTATTTGAAGGTATTTCCTTTCTCTCCATAGGCCTGAAAGCGCTTGAAATGCCCACTTCCAGATACTAGAGAAAGAGTGTTTCAAACCTGCTCTATGAAAGGGAATGTTCAATTCTGTGACTTGAATGCAAACATCACAAAGAAGTTCCTGAGAATGCTTCTCTCTAGATATTATATGTCATCCCGTTTCCAACGAAATCCTCAAAGCTATCCAAATATCCACTTGCAGATTCTACAAAAAGAGTGTTTCAAAACTGCTCTGTCAAAAGGATGGTTCAACACTGTTACATGAGTACACACAACACAAAGAAGTTTCTGAGAATGCTTCTTTCTGGTTTATATGAGAAGATATTTCCTTTTTCACCATAGGACTCAAAGCGCTCGAAATGTCCTCTTCCAGGTAGTGCAGAAAGAGTGTTTCAAACCGGCTCTATGAAGGGAAGTGTTCAACTCCATGAACTGAATGCAAACATCACTGAGAAGTTTCTGAGAATGCTTCTGTTTGATTTTATATGAAGAAATTCCTGTTTCCAACGAAATCTTCAGAGCTATCCACATATCCACCTGCAGATTCTACAAAAGGAGTGTTTCCAAAATGCTGTATCAAAACCAAGGTTCAACTCTGTTAGTTGAGGACACACATCACAAATAAGTTTCTGAGAATGCTTCTGTCTAGATTTTATATGAAGATATCCCCTTTCCAACGAATCCCTCTAAGCTATCCAAATATCCACCTGCAGATTCTACAAAAAGAGTGTTTCCAAAATGCTGTATCAAAACAAAGTTTCAACTCTGTTAGTTGAGGACACACATCACAAATAAGTTTCTGAGAATGCTTCTGTCTAGTTTTTATTTGAAGATATTTCCTTTCTCCCCATAGGCCTGAAAGCGCTTGAATTGTCCACTTCCAGATACTACAGAATGAGTGTTTCAAACCTGCTCTATCAAAGTGAATGTTCAATTCTGTGACTTCAATGCAAACATCACAAAGTAGTTCCTGAGAATGCTTCTCTCTAGATTGTATATGTAATCCCGCTTCCAACGAAATCCTCAAAGCCATCCGAATATCCACTTTCTGATTCCACAAAAGGATTGTCTTAAAACTGCCGTGTAAAAACAAAAGTTCAAGTCTGTTAGTTGAATACACACATCACAAACTAGTTTCTGAGAATGCTTCTGTCTAGTTTTTATGGGAAGATATTTCCTTTTTCAACATAGGCCTCAAAGCGCTCGAAATGTCCACTTCCAGATAGTGCAGAAAGAGTGTTTCAAACGTGCTCTATAAAAGAGAATATTCAACTCTCTGACTTGAATGGAAACATCACAAAGCAGTTTCTGAGAATGCCTCCCTATAGATTTTATATGGAGATATTCCGTTTTCGAACGAAATCTTCAAATCTATCTAAATATCAACTTGCAGATTCTACTCAAGGAATGTTTCCAAAATGCTGTATGCAAGCAATGGTTCAACTCTGTTAATTGAGGTCATACAGCACAAAGAAGTTTCTGAGAATGCTTCTGTCTAGATTTTATATGAAGATATCCCGTTTCCAACGAAATCCTCAAAGCTATCCAAATATCCACTTGCAGATTCTACAAAAAGATTGTTTCAAAACTGCTGTGTCAAAAGGAAGGTTCAACTCTGTTACTTGAGTACACACATCAAAAAGAAGTTTCTGAGAATGCTTGTTTCTGGTTTTTATGAGAAGATATTTCCTTTTTCACCATAGGCCTCAAAGCGCTGCAAATGTCCACTTCCAAATATTACAAAAAGAGTGTTTCAAACCTGCTCTATGAAAGGAAGTTTTCAACTCTATGAGTGGAATGCAAACATCACAGAGAAGTTTCTGAGAATGCATCTGTCTTGAGTTTATATGCAGAAATTCCCGTTTCCAACGAAATCTTAAAATCTATCCAAATATCCACCTGCAGATCCTACAAAAGGAGTGTTTCCAAAATGCTGTATCAAAACAAAGGTTCAACTGTGTTCGTTTAGGACACACATCACAAATAAGTTTCTGAGAATCCTTCTGTCTAGTTTTTATTTGAAGATATTTCCTTCCTCCCCAGAGGCCTGAAAGCGCTTGAAATGTCCCCTTCCAGATACTACAGAAAGAGTGTTTCAAACCTGCACTATGAAAAGGAATGTTCAATTCTGTGACTTGAATGCAAACATCAGAAAGAAGTTCCTGAGAATGCTTCTCTCTAGATTTTATTCGTAATCCCGTTTCCAACGAAATCCACAAAGCTATCCAGTTATCCACTTTCAGATTCCACAAAAAGAGTGTTTTAAAACTGCTCTGTAAAAAGAAATGTTCAACGCTCTTAGTTGAATACACACATCTCAAACAAGTTTCTGAGAAGGCTTCTGTCTAGTTTTTATGGGAAGATATTTCCTTTTAACCATAGGCCTCAAAGAGCTCGAAATATCCACTTCCAGGTAGTGCCGAAAGAGTGTTTCAAACCTACTCTATAAAAGGGAATATTCAACTCTGTGACTTGAATGCAAACATCACAAAGCAGTTTCTGAGAATGCTTCCGTCTAGATTTTCTATGAAGATATTCCCGTTTCCAACGAAATCTTCAAAGCTATCTAAATATCAACTTGCAGATTCTACTAAAGGAATGTCTCCAAAATGCTGTATCCAAACAAAGGTTCAGCTCTGTGAATTGAGGACATACAGCACAAAGAAGTTTCTGAGAATGCTCCTGTCTGGATTTTATAGGAAGATAACCCGTTTCCAACGAAATCCTCAAAGCTATCCAAATATCCACTTGCAGATTCTACCAAAAGAGTGTTTCAAAACTGCTCTGTCAAAAGGAAGGTTCAACACTGTTACTTGAGTACACACAACACAAAGAAGTTTCTGAGAATGCTTCTTTCTGGTTTTTATGAGAAGATATTTCCTTTTTCACCATAGGCCTCAAAGCGCTCGAAATGTCCGCTTCCAGGTAGTGCAGAAAGAGTGTTTCAAACCTGCTCTATGAAAGGAAGTGTTCAACTCTACTGAGTTGAATGCAAACATCACAGAGATGTTTCCGAGAATGCTTCTGTCTTGATTTTATATGAAGATATTCCGGTTTCCAACGAAATCTTCAAAGCTATCCAAATATCCACCTGCAGATTCTACAAAAGGAGTGTTTCCAAAATGCTGTATCAAAACAAAGGTTCAACTCTGTTAGTTGAGGACACACATCACAAATAAGTTTCTGAGAATGCTTCTGTCTAGTTTTTATTTGAAGGTATTTCCTTTCTCTCCATAGGCCTCAAAGCGCTTGAAATGCCCACTTCCAGATACTAGAGAAAGAGTGTTTCAAACCTGCTCTATGAAAGGGAATGTTCAATTCTGTGACTTGAATGCAAACATCACAAAGAAGTTCCTGAGAATGCTTCTCTCTAGATATTATATGTCATCCCGTTTCCAACGAAATCCTCAAAGCTATCCAAATATCCACTTGCAGATTCTACAAAAAGAGTGTTTCAAAACTCCTCTGTCAAAAGGATGGTTCAACACTGTTACATGAGTACACACAACACAAAGAAGTTTCTGAGAATGCTTCTTTCTGGTTTCTATGAGAAGATATTTCCTTTTTCACCATAGGACTCAAAGCGCTCGAAATGTCCTCTTCCAGGTAGTGCAGAAAGAGTGTTTCAAACCGGCTCTATGAAAGGAAGTGTTCAACTCCATGAACTGAATGCAAACATCACTGAGAAGTTTCTGAGAATGCTTCTGTTTGATTTTATATGAAGAAATTCCCGTTTCCAACGAAATCTTCAGAGCTATCCACATATCCACCTGCAGATTCTACAAAAGGAGTGTTTCCAAAATGCTGTATCAAAACCAAGGTTCAACTCTGTTAGTTGAGGACACACATCACAAATAAGTTTCTGAGAATGCTTCTGTCTAGATTTTATATGAAGATATCCCCTTTCCAACGAATCCCTCTAAGCTATCCAAATATCCACCTGCAGATTCTACAAAAAGAGTGTTTCCAAAATGCTGTATCAAAACAAAGTTTCAACTCTGTTAGTTGAGGACACACATCACAAATAAGTTTGAGGATGCTTCTGTCTAGTTTCTATTTGAAGATATTTCCTTTCTCCCCATAGGCCTGAAAGCGCTTGAATTGTCGGCTTCCAGATACTACAGAATGAGTGTTTCAAACCTGCTCTATCAAAGTGAATGTTCAATTCTGTGACTTCAATGCAAACATCACAAAGTAGTTCCTGAGAATGCTTCTCTCTAGATTTTATATGTAATCCCGCTTCCAACGAAATCCTCAAAGCCATCCGAATATCCACTTTGTGATTCCACAAAAAGATTGTGTTAAAACTGCTCTGTAAAAACAAAAGTTCAAGTCTGTTAGTTGAATACACACATCACAAACAAGTTTCTGAGAATGCTTCTGTCTAGTTTTTATGGGAAGATATTTCCTTTTTCACCATAGGCCTCACAGCGCTTGAAATGTCCACTTCCAGATAGTGCAGAAAGAGTGTTTCAAACGTGCTCTATAAAAGAGAATATTCAACTCTGTGACTTGAATGGAAACATCACAAAGCAGTTTCTGAGAATGCCTCCGTCTAGATTTTATATGAAGATATTCCCGTTTCCAACGAAATCTTCATATCTATCTAAATATCAACTTGCAGATTCTACTAAAGGAATGTTTCCAAAATGCTGTATCCAAGCAATGGTTCAACTCTGTTAATTGAGGACATACAGCACAAAGAAGTTTCTGAGAATGCTTCTGTCTAGATTTCATATGAAGATATCCCGTTTGCAACGAAATCCTCAAAGCTATCCAAATATCCACTTGCAGATTCTATAAAAAGATTGTTTCAAAACTGCTGTGTCAAAAGGAAGGTTCAACTCTGTTACTTGAGTACACACATCAAAAAGAAGTTTCTGAGAATGCTTGTTTCTGGTTTTTATGAGAAGATATTTCCTTTTTCACCATAGGCCTCAAAGCGCTGCAAATGTCCACTTCCAAATATTACAAAAAGAGTGTTTCAAACCTGCTCTATGAAAGGAAGTTTTCAACTCTATGAGTGGAATGCAAACATCACAGAGAAGTTTCTGAGAATGCATCTGTCTTGAGTTTCTATGAAGAAATTCCCGTTTCCAACGAAATCTTAAAATCTATCCAAATATCCACCTGCAGATTCTACAAAAGGAGTTTTTCCAAAATGCTGTATCAAAACAAAGGTTCAACTGTGTTCGTTTAGGACACACATCACAAATAAGTTTCTGAGAATCCTTCTGTCTAGTTTTTATTTGAAGATATTTCCTTCCTCCCCAGAGGCCTGAAAGCGCTTGAAATGTTCCCTTCCAGATACTACAGAAAGAGTGTTTCAAACCTGCACTATGAAAAGGAATGTTCAATTCTGTGACTTGAATGCAAACATCAGAAAGAAGTTCCTGAGAATGCTTCTCTCTAGATTTTATACGTCATCCCGTTTCCAACGAAATCCACAAAGCTATCCAATTATCCACTTTCAGATTCCACCAAAAGAGTGTTTTAAAACTGCTCTGTAAAAAGAAATGTTCAACGCTCTTAGTTGAATACACACATCTCAAACAAGTTTCTGAGAAGGCTTCCGTCTAGTTTTTATGGGAAGATATTTCCTTTTTCACCATAGGCCTCAAAGCGCTCGAAATCTCCACTTCCAGGGAGTGCAGAAAGAGTGTTTCAAACCTGCTCTGTAAAAGAATATTTAACTCTGTGACTTGAATGCAAACATCACAAAGCAGTTTCTGACAATGCTTCCGTCTAGATTTTTTATGAAGATATTCCCGTTTCCAACGAAATCTTCAAAGCTATCTAAATATCAACTTGCAGATTCTACTAAAGGAATGTTTCCAAAATGCTGTATCCAAACAAAGGTTCAACTCTGTGAATTGAGGACATACAGCACAAAGAAGTTTCTGAGAATGCTTCTGTCTAGATTTAATATGAAGATAACCCGTTTCCAACGAAATCCTCAAAGCTATCCAAATATCCACTTGCAGATTCTACAAAAAGAGTGTTTCAAAACTGCTCTGTCAAAAGGATGGTTCAACACTGTTACATGAGTACACACAACACAAAGAAGTTTCTGAGAACGCTTCTTTCTGGTTTTTATGAGAAGATATTTCCTTTTTCACCATAGGCCTCAAAGCGCTTGAAATGTCCACTTCCTGGTAGTGCAGAAAGAGTGTTTCAAAGCTGCTCTCTGAAAGGAAGTGTTCAACTGCATGAGCTGAATGCAAACATCACAGAGAAGTTTCTGAGAATGCTTCTGTTTGATTTTATATGAAGAAATTCCCGTTTCCAACGAAATCTTCAGAGCTATCCACATATCCACATGCAGATTCTACAAAAGGAGTGTTTCCAAAATGCTGTATCAAAACCAAGGTTCAACTCTGTTAGTTGAGGACACACATCACAAATAAGTTTCTGAGAATGCTTCTGTCTAGATTTTATATGAAGATATCCCCTTTCCAACGAATCCCTCTAAGCTATCCAAATATCCACCTGCAGATTCTACAAAAAGAGTGTTTCCAAAATGCTGTATCAAAACAAAGTTTCAACTCTGTTAGTTGAGGACACACATCACAAATAAGTTTCTGAGGATGCTTCTGTCTAGTTTTAATTTGAAGATATTTCCTTTCTCACCATAGGCCTGAAAGCGCTTGAAATGTCCACTTCCAGATACTACAGCATGAGTGTTTCAAACCTGCTCTATCATAGTGAATGTTCAATTCTGTGACTTCAATGCAAACATCACAAAGTAGTTCCTGAGAATGCTTCTCTCTAGATTTTATATGTAATCCCGCTTCCAACGAAATCCTCAAAGCCATCCGAATATCCACTTTCTGATTCCACAAAAAGATTGTTTTAAAACTGCTCTGTAAAAACAAAAGTTCAAGTCTGTTAGTTGAATACACACATCACAAACAAGTTTCTGAGAATGCTTTCTGTCTAGTTTTTATGGGAAGATATTTCCTTTTTCACCATAGGCCTCAAAGCGCTCGAAATGTCCACTTCCAGATAGCGCAGAAAGAGTGTTTCAAACGTGCTCTATAAAAGGGAATATTCAACTCTGTGACTTGAAAGGAAACATCACAAAGCAGTTTCTGAGAATGCTTCCCTCTAGATTTTATATGGAGATATTCCGTTTTCGAACGAAATCTTCAAATCTATCTAAATATCAACTTGCAGATTCTACTCAAGGAATGTTTCCAAAATGCTGTATGCAAGCAATGGTTCAACTCTGTTAATTGAGGTCATACAGCACAAAGAAGTTTCTGAGAATGCTTCTGTCTAGATTTTATATGAAGATATCCCGTTTCCAACGAAATCCTCAAAGCTATCCAAATATCCACTTGCAGATTCTACAAAAAGATTGTTTCAAAACTGCTGTGTCAAAAGGAAGGTTCAACTCTGTTACTTGAGTACACACATCAAAAAGAAGTTTCTGAGAATGCTTGTTTCTGGTTTTTATGAGAAGATATTTCCTTTTTCACCATAGGCCTCAAAGCGCTGCAAATGTCCACTTCCAAATATTACAAAAAGAGTGTTTCAAACCTGCTCTATGAAAGGAAGTTTTCAACTCTATGAGTGGAATGCAAACATCACAGAGAAGTTTCTGAGAATGCATCTGTCTTGAGTTTATATGAAGAAATTCCCGTTTCCAACGAAATCTTAAAATCTATCCAAATATCCACCTGCAGATTCTACAAAGGGAGTGTTTCCAAAATGCTGTATCAAAACAAAGGTTCAACTGTGTTCGTTTAGGACACACATCACCAATAAGTTTCTGAGAATCCTTCTGTCTAGTTTTTATTTGAAGATATTTCCTTTCTCCCCATAGGCCTGAAAGCGCTTGAAATGTCCACTTCCAGATAGTACAGAAAGAGTGTTTCAAACCTGCACTATGAAAAGGAATGTTCAATTCTGTGACTTGAATGCAAACATCAGAAAGAAGTTCCTGAAAATGCTTCTCTCTAGATTTTATACGTCATCCCGTTTCCAACGAAATCCACAAAGCTATCCAATTATCCACTTTCAGATTCCACAAAAGAGTGTTTTAAAACTGCTCTGTAAAAAGAAATGTTCAACGCTCTTAGTTGAATACACACATCTCAAACAAGTTTCTGAGAAGGCTTCCGTCTAGTTTTTATGGGAAGATATTTCCTTTTTCACCATAGGCCTCAAAGCGCTCGAAATCTCCACTTCCAGGGAGTGCAGAAAGAGTGTTTCAAACCTGCTCTGTAAAAGAATATTTAACTCTGTGACTTGAATGCAAACATCACAAAGCAGTTTCTGACAATGCTTCCGTCTAGATTTTTTATGAAGATATTCCCGTTTCCAACGAAATCTTCAAAGCTATCTAAATATCAACTTGCAGATTCTACTAAAGGAATGTTTCCAAAATGCTGTATCCAAACAAAGGTTCCACTCTGTGAATTGAGGACATACAGCACAAAGAAGTTTCTGAGAATGCTTCTGTCTAGATTTAATATGAAGATAACCCGTTTCCAACGAAATCCTCAAAGCTATCCAAATATCCACTTGCAGATTCTACAAAAAGACTGTTTCAAAACTGCTCTGTCAAAAGGATGGTTCAACACTGTTACATGAGTACACACAACACAAAGAAGTTTCTGAGAAAGCTTCTTTCTGGTTTTTATGAGAAGATATTTCCTTTTTCACCATAGGCCTCAAAGCGCTCGAAATGTAAACTTCCAGGTAGTGCAGAAAGAGTGTTTCAAACCTGCTCTATGAAAGGAAGTGTTCAACTCCATGAGCTGAATGCAAACATCACAGAGAAGTTTCTGAGAATGCTTCTGTCTTGATTTTATATGAAGATATTCCGGTTTCCAACGAAATCTTCAAAGCTATCCAAATATCCACCTGCAGATTCTACAAAAGGAGTGTTTCCAAAATGCTGTATCAAAACAAAGGTTCAACTCTGTTAGTTGAGGACACACATCACAAATAAGTTTCTGAGAATGCTTCTGTCTAGTTTTTATTTGAAGGTATTTCCTTTCTCTCCATAGGCCTGAAAGCGCTTGAAATGCCCACTTCCAGATACTAGAGAAAGAGTGTTTCAAACCTGCTCTATGAAAGGGAATGTTCAATTCTGTGACTTGAATGCAAACATCACAAAGAAGTTCCTGAGAATGCTTCTCTCTAGATATTATATGTCATCCCGTTTCCAACGAAATCCTCAAAGCTATCCAAATATCCACTTGCAGATTCTACAAAAAGAGTGTTTCAAAACTCCTCTGTCAAAAGGATGGTTCAACACTGTTACATGAGTACACACAACACAAAGAAGTTTCTGAGAATGCTTCTTTCTGGTTTTTATGAGAGGATATTTCCTTTTTCACCATAGGCCTCAAAGCGCTCGAAATGTCCACTTCCAGGTAGTGCAGAAAGAGTGTTTCAAACCTGCTCTATGAAAGGAAGTGTTCAACTCCATGAGCTGAATGCAAACATCACAGAGAAGTTCCTGAGAATGCTTCTGTTTGATTTTATATGAAGAAATTCCCGTTTCCAACGAAATCTTCAAAGCTATCCACATATCCACCTGCAGATTCTACAAAAGAAGTGTTTCCAAAATGCTGTATCAAAACCAAGGTTCAACTCTGTTAGTTGAGGACACACATCACAAATAAGTTTCTGAGAATGCTTCTGTCTAGATTTTATATGAAGATATCCCCTTTCCAACGAATCCCTCTAAGCTATCCAAATATCCACCTGCAGATTCTACAAAAAGAGTGTTTCCAAAATGTTGTATCAAAACAAAGTTTCAACTCTGTTAGTTGAGGACACACATCACAAATAAGTTTCTGAGGATGCTTCTGTCTAGTTTTTATTCGAAGATATTTCCTTTCTCACCATAGGCCTGAAAGCGCTTGAAATGTCCACTTCCAGATACTACAGAATGAGTGTTTCAAACCTGCTCTATCAAAGTGAATGTTCAATTCTGTGACTTCAATGCAAACATCACAAAGAAGTTCCTGAGAATGCTTCTCTCTAGATTTTATACGTAATCCCGCTTCCAACGAAATCCTCAGAGCCATCCGAATATCCACTTTCTGATTCCACAAAAAGAGTGTTTTAAAACGGCTCTGTAAAAACAAAAGTTCAACTCTGTTAGTTGAATACACACATCACAAACAAGTTTCTGAGAATGCTTCTGTCTAGTTTTTATGGGAAGATATTTCCTTTTTCACCATAGGCCTCAAAGCGCTCGAAATGTCCACTTCCAGATAGTGCAGAAAGAGTGTTTCAAACGTGCTCTATAAAAGAGAATATTCAACTCTGTGACTTGAATGGAAACATCACAAAGCAGTTTCTGAGAATGCCTCCCTCTAGATTTTATATGGAGATATTCCCTTTTCCAACGAAATCTTCAAATCTATCTAAATATCAACTTGCAGATTCTACTCAAGGAATGTTTCCAAAATGCTGTATGCAGGCAATGGTTCAACTCTGTTAATTGAGGTCATACAGCACAAAGAAGTTTCTGAGAATGCTTCTGTCTAGATTTTATATGAAGATATCCCGTTTCCAATGAAATCCTCAAAGCTATCCAAATATCCACTTGCAGATTCTACAAAAAGATTGTTTCAAAACTGCTGTGTCAATAGGAAGGTTCAACTCTGTTACTTGAGTACACACATCAAAAAGAACTTTCTGAGAATGCTTGTTTCTGGTTTTTATGAGAAGATATTTCCTTTTTCACCATAGGCCTCAAAGCGCTGCAAATGTCCACTTCCAAATATTACAGAAAGAGTGTTTCAAACCTGCTCTATGAAAGGAAGTTTTCAACTCTATGAGTGGAATGCAAACATCACAGAGAAGTTTCTGAGAATGCATCTGTCTTGAGTTTATATGAAGAAATTCCCGTTTCCAATGAAATCTTAAAATCTATCCAAATATCCACCTGCAGATTCTACAAAAGGAGTGCTTCCAAAATGCTATATCAAAACAAAGGTTCAACTGTGTTCGTTGAGAACACACATCACAAATAAGTTTCTGAGAATCCTTCTGTCTAGTTTTTATTTCAAGATATTTCCTTTCTCCCCATAGGCCTGAAAGCGCTTGAAATGTCGACTTCCAGATACTACAGAGTGTTTCAAACCTGCACTATGAAAACGAATGTTCAATTCTGTGACTTGAATGCAAACATCAGAAAGAAGTTCCTGAGAATGCTTCTCTCTAGATTTTATACGTCATCCCGTTTCCAACGAAATCCACAAAGCTATCCAATTATCCACTTTCAGATTCCACAAAAAGAGTGTTTTAAAACTGCTCTGTAAAAAGAAATGTTCAACGCTCTTAGTTGAATACACACATCTCAAACAAGTTTCTGAGAAGGCTTCTGTCTAGTTTTTATGGGAAGATATTTCCTTTTAACCATAGGCCTCAAAGAGCTCGAAATATCCACTTCCAGGTAGTGCCGAAAGAGTGTTTCAAACCTACTCTATAAAAGGGAATATTCAACTCTGTGACTTGAATGCAAACATCACAAAGCAGTTTCTGAGAATGCTTCCGTCTAGATTTTCTATGAAGATATTCCCGTTTCCAACGAAATCTTCAAAGCTATCTAAATATCAACTTGCAGATTCTACTAAAGGAATGTCTCCAAAATGCTGTATCCAAACAAAGGTTCAGCTCTGTGAATTGAGGACATACAGCACAAAGAAGTTTCTGAGAATGCTTCTGTCTAGATTTAATATGAAGATAACCCGTTTCCAACGAAATCCTCAAAGCTATCCAAATATCCACTTGCAGATTCTACAAAAAGAGTGTTTCAAAACTGCTCTGTCAAAAGGATGGTTCAACACTGTTACATGAGTACACACAACACAAAGAAGTTTCTGAGAACGCTTCTTTCTGGTTTTTATGAGAAGATATTTCCTTTTTCACCATAGGCCTCAAAGCGCTCGAAATGTCCGCTTCCAGGTAGTGCAGAAAGAGTGTTTCAAACCTGCTCTATGAAAGGAAGTGTTCAACTCTACTGAGTTGAATGCAAACATCACAGAGATGTTTCCGAGAATGCTTCTGTCTTGATTTTATATGAAGATATTCCGGTTTCCAACGAAATCTTCAAAGCTATCCAAATATCCACCTGCAGATTCTACAAAAGGAGTGTTTCCAAAATGCTGTATCAAAACAAAGGTTCAACTCTGTTAGTTGAGGACACACATCACAAATAAGTTTCTGAGAATGCTTCTGTCTAGTTTTTATTTGAAGGTATTTCCTTTCTCTCCATAGGCCTGAAAGCGCTTGAAATGCCCACTTCCAGATACTAGAGAAAGAGTGTTTCAAACCTGCTCTATGAAAGGGAATGTTCAATTCTGTGACTTGAATGCAAACATCACAAAGAAGTTACCTGAGAATGCTTCTGTCTAGATTTAATATGAAGATAACCCGTTTCCAACGAAATCCTCAAAGCTATCCAAATATCCACTTGCAGATTCTACAAAAAGAGTGTTTCAAAACTGCTCTGTCAAAAGGATGGTTCAACACTGTTACATGAGTACACACAACACAAAGAAGTTTCTGAGAACGCTTCTTTCTGGTTTTTATGAGAAGATATTTCCTTTTTCACCATAGGCCTCAAAGCGCTTGAAATGTCCACTTCCTGGTAGTGCAGAAAGAGTGTTTCAAAGCTGCTCTATGAAAGGAAGTGTTCAACTCCATGAGCTGAATGCAAACATCACAGAGAAGTTTCTGAGAATGCTTCTGTTTGATTTTATATGAAGAAATTCCCGTTTCCAACGAAATCTTCAAAGCTATCCACATATCCACCTGCAGATTCTACAAAAGGAGTGTTTCCAAAATGCTGTATCAAAACCAAGGTTCAACTCTGTTAGTTGAGGACACACATCACAAATAAGTTTCTGAGAATGCTTCTGTCTACATTTTATATGAAGATATCCCCTTTCAAACGAATCCCTCTTAGCTATCCAAACATCCACCTGCAGATTCTACAAAAAGAGTGTTTCCAAAATGCTGTATCAAAACAAAGTTTCAACTCTGTTAGTTGAGGACACACATCACAAATAAGTTTCTGAGGATGCTTCTCTCTAGTTTTTATTTGAAGATAGTTCCTTTCTCCCCATAGGCCTGAAAGCGCTTGAATTGTCCGCTTCCAGATACTACAGAATGAGTGTTTCAAACGTGCTCTATCAAAGTGAATGTTCAATTCTGTGACTTCAATGCAAACGTCACAAAGTAGTTCCTGAGAATGCTTCTCTCTAGATTTTATATGTAATCCCGCTTCCAACGAAATCCTCAGAGCCATCCGAATATCCACTTTCTGATTCCACAAAAAGAGTGTTTTAAAACGGCTCTGTAAAAACAAAAGTTCAACTCTGTTAGTTGAATACACACATCACAAACAAGTTTCTGAGAATGCTTCTGTCTAGTTTTTATGGGAAGATATTTCCTTTTTCACCATAGGCCTCAAAGCGCTCGAAATGTCCACTTCCAGATAGCGCAGAAAGAGTGTTTCAAACGTGCTCTATAAAAGGGAATATTCAACTCTGTGACTTGAATGGAAACATCACAAAGCAGTTTCTGAGAATGCTTCCCTCTAGATTTTATATGGAGATATTCCCTTTTCCAACGAAATCTTCAAATCTATCTAAATATCAACTTGCAGATTCTACTCAAGGAATGTTTCCAAAATGCTGTATCCAAGCAATGGTTCAACTCTGTTAATTGAGGACATACAGCACAAAGAAGTTTCTGAGAATGCTTCTGTCTAGATTTTATATGAAGATATCCCGTTTCCAATGAAATCCTCAAAGCTATCCAAATATCCACTTGCAGATTCTACAAAAAGATTGTTTCAAACTGCTGTGTCAAAAGGAAGGTTCAACTCTGTTACTTGAGTACACACATCAAAAAGCAGTTTCTGAGAATGCTTGCTTTACTGGTTTTTATGAGAAGATATTTCCTTTTTCACCATAGGCCTCAAAGCGCTGCAAATGTCCACTTCCAAATATTACAAAAAGAGTGTTTCAAACCTGCTCTATGAAAGGAAGTTTTCAACTCTATGAGTGGAATGCAAACATAACAGAGAAGTTTCGGAGAATGCATCTGTCTTGAGTTTATATGAAGAAATTCCCGTTTCCAACGAAATCTTAAAATCTATCCAAATATCCACCTGCAGATTCTACAAAGGGAGTGTTTCCAAAATGCTGTATCAAAACAAAGGTTCAACTGTGTTCGTTTAGGACACACATCACCAATAAGTTTCTGAGAATCCTTCTGTCTAGTTTTTATTTGAAGATATTTCCTTTCTCCCCATAGGCCTGAAAGCGCGTGAAATGTCCACTTCCAGATACTACAGAGAGAGTGTTTCAAACCTGCACTATGAAAAGTAATGTTCAATTCTGTGACTTGAATGCAAACATCAGAAAGAAGTTCCTGAGAATGCTTCTCTCTAGATTTTATACGTCATCCCGTTTCCAACGAAATCCACAAAGCTATCCAATTATCCACTTTCATATTCCACAAAAAGAGTGTTTTAAAACTGCTCTGTAAAAAGAAATGTTCAACGCTCTTACTTGAATACACACATCTCAAACAAGTTTCTGAGAAGGCTTCCGTCTAGTTTTTATGGGAAGATATTTCCTTTTTCACCATAGGCCTCAAAGCGCTCGAAATCTCCACTTCCAGGGAGTGCAGAAAGAGTGTTTCAAACCTGCTCTGTAAAAGAATATTTAACTCTGTGACTTGAATGCAAACATCACAAAGCAGTTTCTGACAATGCTTCCGTCTAGATTTTTTATGAAGATATTCCCGTTTCCAACGAAATCTTCAAAGCTATCTAAATATCAACTTGCAGATTCTACTAAAGGAATGTTTCCAAAATGCTGTATCCAAACAAAGGTTCAACTCTGTGAATTGAGGACATACAGCACAAAGAAGTTTCTGAGAATGCTTCTGTCTAGATTTAATATGAAGATAACCCGTTTCCAACGAAATCCTCAAAGCTATCCAAATATCCACTTGCAGATTCTACAAAAAGAGTGTTTCAAAACTGCTCTGTCAAAAGGATGGTTCAACACTGTTACATGAGTACACACAACACAAAGAAGTTTACTGAGAACGCTTCTTTCTGGTTTCTATGAGAAGATATTTCCTTTTTCACCATAGGACTCAAAGCGCTCGAAATGTCCTCTTCCAGGTAGTGCAGAAAGAGTGTTTCAAACCGGCTCTATGAAAGGAAGTGTTCAACTCCATGAACTGAATGCAAACATCACTGAGAAGTTTCTGAGAATGCTTCTGTTTGATTTCATATGAAGAAATTCCCGTTTCCAACGAAATCTTCAGAGCTATCCACATATCCACCTGCAGATTCTACAAAAGGAGTGTTTCCAAAATGCTGTATCAAAACCAAGGTTCAACTCTGTTAGTTGAGGACACACATCACAAATAAGTTTCTGAGAATGCTTCTGTCTAGATTTTATATGAAGATATCCCCTTTCCAACGAATCCCTCTAAGCTATCCAAATATCCACCTGCAGATTCTACAAAAAGAGTGTTTCCAAAATGCTGTATCAAAACAAAGTTTCAACTCTGTTAGTTGAGGACACACATCACAAATAAGTTTCTGAGAATGCTTCTGTCTAGTTTTTATTCGAAGATATTTCCTTTCTCACCATAGGCCTGAAAGCGCTTGAAATGTCCACTTCCAGATCCTACAGAATGAGTGTTTCAAACCTGCTCTATCAAAGTGAATGTTCAATTCTGTGACTTCAATGCAAACATCACAAAGAAGTTCCTGAGAATGCTTCTCTCTAGATTTTATATGTAATCCCGCTTCCAACGAAATCCTCAGAGCCATCCGAATATCCACTTTCTGATTCCACAAAAAGAGTGTTTTAAAACTGCTCTGTAGAAACAAAAGTTCAACTCAGTTGAATACACACATCACAAACAAGTTTCTGAGAATGCTTCCATCTAGTTTTTATGGGAAGATATTTCCTTTTTCACCATAGGCCTCAAAGCGCTCGAAATCTCCACTTCCAGGGAGTGCAGAAAGAGTGTTTCGAACCTGCTCTGTAAAAGATTATTTAACTCTGTGACTTGAATGCAAACATCACAAAGCAGTTTCTGACAATGCTTCCGTCTAGATTTTTTATGAAGATATTCCCGTTTCCAACGAAATCTTCAAAGCTATCTAAATATCAACTTGCAGATTC
The DNA here is from genome assembly GCF_000001405.40 of Homo sapiens. Taxonomy (NCBI): domain Eukaryota; kingdom Metazoa; phylum Chordata; class Mammalia; order Primates; family Hominidae; genus Homo; species Homo sapiens. The sequence goes on along the minus strand of NC_000004.12, from coordinate 51,474,446 downwards.
TACTAAAGGAATGTTTCCAAAATGCTGTATCCAAACAAAGGTTCAACTCTGTGAATTGAGGACATACAGCACAAAGAAGTTTCTGAGAATGCTCCTGTCTGGATTTTATATGAAGATAACCCGTTTCCAACGAAATCCTCAAAGCTCTCCAAATATCCACTTGCAGATTCTACCAAAAGAGTGTTTCAAAACTGCTCTGTCAAAAGGAAGGTTCAACACTGTTACTTGAGTACACACAACACAAAGAAGTTTCTGAGAATGCTTCTTTCTGGTTTTTATGAGAAGATATTTCCTTTTTCACCATAGGCCTCAAAGCGCTCGAAATGTCCGCTTCCAGGTAGTGCAGAAAGAGTGTTTCAAACCTGCTCTATGAAAGGAAGTGTTCAACTCTACTGAGTTGAATGCAAACATCACAGAGATGTTTCCGAGAATGCTTCTGTCTTGATTTTATATGAAGATATTCCGGTTTCCAACGAAATCTTCAAAGCTATCCAAATATCCACCTGCAGATTCTACAAAAGGAGTGTTTCCAAAATGCTGTATCAAAACAAAGGTTCAACTCTGTTAGTTGAGGACACACATCACAAATAAGTTTCTGAGAATGCTTCTGTCTAGTTTTTATTTGAAGGTATTTCCTTTCTCTCCATAGGCCTGAAAGCGCTTGAAATGCCCACTTCCAGATACTAGAGAAAGAGTGTTTCAAACCTGCTCTATGAAAGGGAATGTTCAATTCTGTGACTTGAATGCAAACATCACAAAGAAGTTCCTGAGAATGCTTCTGTCTAGATTTAATATGAAGATAACCCGTTTCCAACGAAATCCTCAAAGCTATCCAAATATCCACTGGCAGATTCTACAAAAAGAGTGTTTCAAAACTGCTCTGTCAAAAGGATGGTTCAACACTGTTACATGAGTACACACAACACAAAGAAGTTTCTGAGAACGCTTCTTTCTGGTTTTTATGAGAGGATATTTCCTTTTTCACCATAGGCCTCAAAGCGCTCGAAATGTCCACTTCCAGGTAGTGCAGAAAGAGTGTTTCAAACCTGCTCTATGAAAGGAAGTGTTCAACTCCATGAGCTGAATGCAAACATCACAGAGAAGTTCCTGAGAATGCTTCTGTTTGATTTTATATGAAGAAATTCCCGTTTCCAACAAAATCTTCAAAGCTATCCACATATCCACCTGCAGATTCTTCAAAAGGAGTGTTTCCAAAATGCTGTATCAAAACCAAGGTTCAACTCTGTTAGTTGAGGACACACATCACAAATAAGTTTCTGAGAATGCTTCTGTCTAGATTTTATATGAAGATATCCCCTTTCCAACGAATCCCTCTAAGCTATCCAAATATCCACCTGCAGATTCTACAAAAAGAGTGTTTCCAAAATGCTGTATCAAAACAAAGGTTCAACTGTGTTCGTTTAGGACACACATCACAAATAAGTTTCTGAGAATCCTTCTGTCTAGTTTTAATTTGAAGATATTTCCTTTCTCCCCATAGGCCTGAAAGCGCTTGAAATGTCCACTTCCAGATACTACAGAATGAGTGTTTCAAACCTGCTCTATCAAAGTGAATGTTCAATTCTGTGACTTCAATGCAAACATCACAAAGTAGTTCCTGAGAATGCTTCTCTCTAGATTTTATACGTAATCCCGCTTCCAACGAAATCCTCAGAGCCATCCGAATATCCACTTTCTGATTCCACAAAAAGAGTGTTTTAAAACGGCTCTGTAAAAACAAAAGTTCAACTCTGTTAGTTGAATACACACATCACAAACAAGTTTCTGAGAATGCTTCTGTCTAGTTTTTATGGGAAGATATTTCCTTTTTCACCATAGGCCTCAAAGCGCTCGAAATGTCCGCTTCCAGATAGTGCAGAAAGAGTGTTTCAAACGTGCTCTATAAAAGGGAATATTCAACTCTGTGACTTGAATGGAAACATCACAAAGCAGTTTCTGAGAATGCTTCCCTCTAGATTTTATATGGAGATATTCCCTTTTCCAACGAAATCTTCAAATCTATCTAAATATCAACTTGCAGATTCTACTCAAGGAATGTTTCCAAAATGCTGTATCCAGGCAATGGTTCAACTCTGTTAATTGAGGACATACAGCACAAAGAAGTTTCTGAGAATGCTTCTGTCTAGATTTTATATGAAGATATCCCGTTTCCAACGAAATCCTCAAAGCTATCCAAATATCCACTTGCAGATTCTACAAAAAGATTGTTTCAAAACTGCTGTGTCAAGAGGAAGGTTCAACTCTGTTACTTGAGTACACACATCAAAAAGAAGTTTTCTGAGAATGCTTGTTTCTGGTTTTTATGAGAAGATATTTCCTTTTTCACCATAGGCCTCAAAGCGCTGCAAATGTCCACTTCCAAATATTACAAAAAGAGTGTTTCAAACCTGCTCTATGAAAGGAAGTTTTCAACTCTATGAGTGGAATGCAAACATCACAGAGAAGTTTCTGAGAATGCATCTGTCTTGAGCTTCTATGAAGAAATTCCCGTTTCCAACGAAATCTTAAAATCTATCCAAATATCCACCTGCAGATCCTACAAAAGGAGTGTTTCCAAAATGCTGTATCAAAACAAAGGTTCAACTGTGTTCGTTTAGGACACACATCACAAATAAGTTTCTGAGAATCCTTCTCTCTAGTTTTTATTTGAAGATATTTCCTTTCTCCCCGTAGGCCTGAAAGCGCTTGAAATGTCCACTTCCAGATACTACAGAAAGAGTGTTTCAAACCTGCACTCTGAAAAGGAATGTTCAATTCTGTGACTTGAATGCAAACATCAGAAAGAAGTTCCTGAGAATGCTTCTCTCTAGATTTTATACGTCATCCCGTTTCCAACGAAATCCACAAAGCTATCCAATTATCCACTTTCAGATTCCACAAAAAGAGTGTTTTAAAATTGCTCTGTAACAGAAATGTTCAACTCTGTTAGTTGAATACACACATCACAAACAAGTTTCTGAGACGGCTTCTGTCTAGTTTTTATGGGAAGATATTTCCTTTTAACCATAGGCCTCAAAGAGCTCGAAATATCCACTTCCAGGTAGTGCCGAAAGAGTGTTTCAAACCTACTCTATAAAAGGGAATATTCAACTCTGTGACTTGAATGCAAACATCACAAAGCAGTTTCTGAGAATGCTTCCGTCTAGATTTTCTATGAAGATATTCCCGTTTCCAACGAAATCTTCAAAGCTATCTAAATATCAACTTGCAGATTCTACTAAAGGAATGTCTCCAAAATGCTGTATCCAAACAAAGGTTCAGCTCTGTGAATTGAGGACATACAGCACAAAGAAGTTTCTGAGAATGCTCCTGTCTGGATTTTATATGAAGATAACCCGTTTCCAACGAAATCCTCAAAGCTATCCAAATATCCACTTGCAGATTCTACCAAAAGAGTGTTTCAAAACTGCTCTGTCAAAAGGAAGGTTCAACACTGTTACTTGAGTACACACAACACAAAGAAGTTTCTGAGAATGCTTCTTTCTGGTTTTTATGAGAAGATATTTCCTTTTTCACCATAGGCCTCAAAGAGCTCGAAATGTCCGCTTCCAGGTAGGGCAGAAAGAGTGTTTCAAACCTGCTCTAGGAAAGGAAGTGTTCAACTCTACTGAGTTGAATGCAAACATCACAGAGATGTTTCCGAGAATGCTTCTGTCTTGATTTTATAGGAAGATATTCCGGTTTCCAACGAAATCTTCAAAGCTATCCAAATATCCACCTGCAGATTCTACAAAAGGAGTGTTTCCAAAATGCTGTATCAAAACAAAGGTTCAACTCTGTTAGTTGAGGACACACATCACAAATAAGTTTCTGAGAATGCTTCTGTCTAGTTTTTATTTGAAGGTATTTCCTTTCTCTCCATAGGCCTGAAAGCGCTTGAAATGCCCACTTCCAGATACTAGAGAAAGAGTGTTTCAAACCTGCTCTATGAAAGGGAATGTTCAATTCTGTGACTTGAATGCAAACATCACAAAGAAGTTCCTGAGAATGCTTCTCTCTAGATATTATATGTCATCCCGTTTCCAACGAAATCCTCAAAGCTATCCAAATATCCACTTGCAGATTCTACAAAAAGAGTGTTTCAAAACTCCTCTGTCAAAAGGATGGTTCAACACTGTTACATGAGTACACACAACACAAAGAAGTTTCTGAGAATGCTTCTTTCTGGTTTTTATGAGAAGATATTTCCTTTTTCACCATAGGCCTCAAAGCGCTCCAAATGTCCACTTCCTGGTAGTGCAGAAAGAGTGTTTCAAACCTGCTCTATGAAAGGAAGTGTTCAACTCCATGAGCTGAATGCAAACATCACAGAGAAGTTTCTGAGAATGCTTCTGTTTGATTTTATATGAAGAAATTCCCGTTTTCAACGAAATCTTCAAAGCTATCCACATATCCACCTGCAGATTCTACAAAAGGAGTGTTTCCAAAATGCTGTATCAAAACCAAGGTTCAACTCTGTTAGTTGAGGACACACATCACAAATAAGTTTCTGAGAATGCTTCTGTCTAGATTTTATATGAAGATATCCCCTTTCCAACGAATCCCTCTAAGCTATCCAAATATCCACCTGCAGATTCTACAAAAAGAGTGTTTCCAAAATGTTGTATCAAAACAAAGTTTCAACTCTGTTAGTTGAGGACACACATCACAAATAAGTTTCTGAGGATGCTTCTGTCTAGTTTTTATTTGAAGATATTTCCTTTCTCCCCATAGGCCTGAAAGTGCTTGAATTGTCCACTTCCAGATACTACAGAATGAGTGTTTCAAACCTGCTCTATCAAAGTGAATGTTCAAATCTGTGACTTCAATGCAAACATCACAAAGTAGTTCCTGAGAATGCTTCTCTCTAGATTTTATATGTAATCCCGCTTCCAACGAAATCCTCAAAGCCATCCGAATATCCACTTTCTGATTCCACAAAAAGATTGTCTTAAAACTGCTCTGTAAAAACAAAAGTTCAAGTCTGTTAGTTGAATACACACATCACAAACAAGTTTCTGAGAATGCTTCTGTCTAGTTTTTATGGGAAGATATTTCCTTTTTCACCATAGGCCTCAAAGCGCTCGAAATGTCCACTTCCAGATAGTGCAGAAAGAGTGTTTCAAACGTGCTCTATAAAAGGGAATATTCAACTCTGTGACTTGAATGGAAACATCACAAAGCAGTTTCTGAGAATGCTTCCGTCTAGATTTTATATGAAGATATTCCCGTTTCCAACGAAATCTTCAAATCTATCTAAATATCAACTTGCAGATTCTACTAAAGGAATGTTTCCAAAATGCTGTATCCAAGCAATGGTTCAACTCTGTTAATTGAGGACATACAGCACAAAGAAGTTTCTGAGAATGCTTCTGTCTAGATTTTATATGAAGATATCCCGTTTCCAACGAAATCCTCAAATCTATCCAAATATCCACTTGCAGATTCTACAAAAAGATTGTTTCAAAACTGCTCTGTCAAAAGGAAGGTTCAACTCTGTTACTTGAGTACACACATCAAAAAGAAGTTTCTGAGAATGCTTGTTTCTGGTTTTTATGAGAAGATATTTCCTTTTTCACCATAGGCCTCAAAGCGCTGCAAATGTCCACTTCCAAATATTACAAAAAGAGTGTTTCAAACCTGCTCTATGAAAGGAAGTTTTCAACTCTGTGAGTGGAATGCAAACATCACAGAGAAGTTTCTGAGAATGCATCTGTCTTGAGCTTCTATGAAGAAATTCCCGTTTCCAACGAAATCTTAAAATCTATCCAAATATCCACCTGCAGATCCTACAAAAGGAGTGTTTCCAAAATGCTGTATCAAAACAAAGGTTCAACTGTGTTCGTTTAGGACACACATCACAAATAAGTTTCTGAGAATCCTTCTGTCTAGTTTTTATTTGAAGATATTTCCTTTCTCCCCGTAGGCCTGAAAGCGCTTGAAATGTCCACTTCCAGATACTAAAGAAAGAGTGTTTCAAACCTGCACTCTGAAAAGGAATGTTCAATTCTGTGACTTGAATGCAAACATCAGAAAGAAGTTCCTGAGAATGCTTCTCTCTAGATTTTATACGTCATCCCGTTTCCAACGAAATCCACAAAGCTATCCAATTATCCACTTTCAGATTCCACAAAAGAGTGTTTTAAAACTGCTCTGTAAAAAGAAATGTTCAACGCTCTTAGTTGAATACACACATCTCAAACAAGTTTCTGAGAAGGCTTCCATCTAGTTTTTATGGGAAGATATTTCCTTTTTCACCATAGGCCTCAAAGCGCTCGAAATCTCCACTTCCAGGGAGTGCAGAAAGAGTGTTTCAAACCTGCTCTGTAAAAGAATATTTAACTCTGTGACTTGAATGCAAACATCACAAAGCAGTTTCTGACAATGCTTCCGTCTAGATTTTTTATGAAGATATTCCCGTTTCCAACGAAATCTTCAAAGCTATCTAAATATCAACTTGCAGATTCTACTAAAGGAATGTTTCCAAAATGCTGTATCCAAACAAAGGTTCAACTCTGTGAATTGAGGACATACAGCACAAAGAAGTTTCTGAGAATGCTTCCTGTCTGGTATTTTATATGAAGATAACCCGTTTCCAACGAAATCCTCAAAGCTATCCAAATATCCACTTGCAGATTCTACCAAAAGAGTGTTTCAAAACTGCTCTGTCAAAAGGAAGGTTCAACACTGTTACTTGAGTACACACAACACAAAGAAGTTTCTGAGAATGCTTCTTTCTGGTTTTTATGAGAAGATATTTCCTTTTTCACCATAGGCCTCAAAGCGCTCGAAATGTCCGCTTCCAGGTAGTGCAGAAAGAGTGTTTCAAACCTGCTCTATGAAAGGAAGTGTTCAACTCTACTGAGTTGAATGCAAACATCACAGAGATGTTTCCGAGAATGCTTCTGTCTTGATTTTATATGAAGATATTCCGGTTTCCAACGAAATCTTCAAAGCTATCCGAATATCCACCTGCAGATTCTACAAAAGGAGTGTTTCCAAAATGCTGTATCAAAACAAAGGTTCAACTCCTGTTAGTTGAGGACACACATCACAAATAAGTTTCTGAGAATGCTTTCTGTCTAGTTTTTATTTGAAGGTATTTCCTTTCTCTCCATAGGCCTGAAAGCGCTTGAAATGCCCACTTCCAGATACTAGAGAAAGAGTGTTTCAAACCTGCTCTATGAAAGGGAATGTTCAATTCTGTGACTTGAATGCAAACATCACAAAGAAGTTCCTGAGAATGCTTCTCTCTAGATATTATATGTCATCCCGTTTCCAACGAAATCCTCAAAGCTATCCAAATATCCACTTGCAGATTCTACAAAAAGAGTGTTTCAAAACTGCTCTGTCAAAAGGATGGTTCAACACTGTTACATGAGTACACACAACACAAAGAAGTTTCTGAGAATGCTTCTTTCTGGTTTCTATGAGAAGATATTTCCTTTTTCACCATAGGACTCAAAGCGCTCGAAATGTCCTCTTCCAGGTAGTGCAGAAAGAGTGTTTCAAACCGGCTCTATGAAAGGAAGTGTTCAACTCCATGAACTGAATGCAAACATCACTGAGAAGTTTCTGAGAATGCTTCTGTTTGATTTTATATGAAGAAATTCCCGTTTCCAACGAAATCTTCAGAGCTATCCACATATCCACCTGCAGATTCTACAAAAGGAGTGTTTCCAGAATGCTGTATCAAAACCAAGGTTCAACTCTGTTAGTTGAGGACACACATCACAAATAAGTTTCTGAGAATGCTTCTGTCTAGATTTTATATGAAGATATCCCCTTTCCAACGAATCCCTCTAAGCTATCCAAATATCCACCTGCAGATTCTACAAAAAGAGTGTTTCCAAAATGCTGTATCAAAACAAAGTTTCAACTCTGTTAGTTGAGGACACACATCACAAATAAGTTTCTGAGGATGCTTCTGTCTAGTTTTTATTTGAAGATATTTCCTTTCTCACCATAGGCCTGAAAGCGCTTGAAATGTCCACTTCCAGATCCTACAGAATGAGTGTTTCAAACCTGCTCTATCAAAGTGAATGTTCAATTCTGTGACTTCAATGCAAACATCACAAAGAAGTTCCTGAGAATGCTTCTCTCTAGATTTTATATGTAATCCCGCTTCCAACGAAATCCTCAGAGCCATCCGAATATCCACTTTCTGATTCCACAAAAAGAGTGTTTTAAAACGGCTCTGTAAAAACAAAAGTTCAACTCTGTTAGTTGAATACACACATCACAAACAAGTTTCTGAGAATGCTTCTGTCTAGTTTTTATGGGAAGATATTTCCTTTTTCACCATAGGCCTCAAAGCGCTCGAAATGTCCACTTCCACATAGTGCAGAAAGATTGTTTCAAACGTGCTCTACAAAAGGCAATATTCAACTCTGTGACTTGAAGGGAAACATCATAAAGCAGTTTCTGAGAATGCTTCCGTCTAGATTTTATATGAAGATATTCCCGTTTCCAACGAAATCTTCAAATCTATCTAAATATCAACTTGCAGATTCTACTAAAGGAATGTTTCCAAAATGCTGTATCCAAGCAATGGTTCAACTCTGTTAATTGAGGACATACAGCACAAAGAAGTTTCTGAGAATGCTTCTGTCTAGATTTTATATGAAGATATCCCGTTTGCAACGAAATCCTCAAAGCTATCCAAATATCCACTTGCAGATTCTACAAAAAGATTGTTTCAAAACTGCTGTGTCACAAGGAAGGTTCAACTCTGTTACTTGAGTACACACATCAAAAAGCAGTTTCTGAGAATGCTTGTTTCTGGTTTTTATGAGAAGATATTTCCTTTTTCACCATAGGCCTCAAAGCGCTGCAAATGTCCACTTCCAAATATTACAAAAAGAGTGTTTCAAACCTGCTCTATGAAAGGAAGTTTTCAACTCTATGAGTGGAATGCAAACATCACAGAGAAGTTTCTGAGAATGCATCTGTCTTGAGTTTATATGCAGAAATTCCCGTTTCCAACGAAATCTTAAAATCTATCCAAATATCCACCTGCAGATCCTACAAAAGGAGTGTTTCCAAAATGCTGTATCAAAACAAAGGTTCAACTGTGTTCGTTTAGGACACACATCACAAATAAGTTTCTGAGAATCCTTCTGTCTAGTTTTTATTTGAAGATATTTCCTTTCTCCCCGTAGGCCTGAAAGCGCTTGAAATGTCCACTTCCAGATACTACAGAAAGAGTGTTTCAAACCTGCACTCTGAAAAGGAATGTTCAATTCTGTGACTTGAATGCAAACATCAGAAAGAAGTTCCTGAGAATGCTTCTCTCTAGATTTTATACGTAATCCCGTTTCCAACGAAATCCACAAAGCTATCCAATTATCCACTTTCAGATTCCACAAAAAGAGTGTTTTAAAACTGCTCTGTAAAAAGAAATGTTCAACGCTCTTAGTTGAATACACACATCTCAAACAAGTTTCTGAGAAGGCTTCCGTCTAGTTTTTCTGGGAAGATATTTCCTTTTTCACCAATAGGCCTCAAAGCGCTCGAAATCTCCACTTCCAGGTAGTGCAGAAAGAGTGTTTCAAACCTGCTCTATAAAAGACTATTTAACTCTGTGACTTGAATGCAAACATCGCAAAGCAGTTTCTGACAATGCTTCCGTCCAGATTTTTTATGAAGATATTCCCGTTTCCATCGAAATCTTCAAAGCTATCTAAATATCCACTTGCAGATTCTACTAAAGGAATGTTTCCAAAATGCTGTATCCAAACAAAGGTTCAACTCTGTGAATTGAGGACATACAGCACAAAGAAGTTTCTGAGAATGCTTCTGTCTAGATTTTATATGAAGATATCCCGTTTCCAACGAAATCCTCAAAGCTATCCAAATATCCACTTGCAGATTCTACAAAAAGATTGTTTCAAAACTGCTGTGTCAAGAGGAAGGTTCAACTCTGTTACTTGAGTACACACATCAAAAAGAAGTTTCTGAGAATGCTTGTTTCTGGTTTTTATGAGAAGATATTTCCTTTTTCACCATAGGCCTCAAAGCGCTGCAAATGTCCACTTCCAAATATTACAAAAAGAGTGTTTCAAACCTGCTCTATGAAAGGAAGTTTTCAACTCTATGAGTGGAATGCAAACATCACAGAGAAGTTTCTGAGAATGCATCTGTCTTGAGCTTCTATGAAGAAATTCCCGTTTCCAACGAAATCTTAAAATCTATCCAAATATCCACCTGCAGATCCTACAAAAGGAGTGTTTCCAAAATGCTGTATCAAAACAAAGGTTCAACTGTGTTCGTTTAGGACACACATCACAAATAAGTTTCTGAGAATCCTTCTCTCTAGTTTTTATTTGAAGATATTTCCTTTCTCCCCATAGGCCTGTAAGCGCTTGAAATGTCCACTTCCAGATACTACAGAAAGAGTGTTTCAAACCTGCACTCTGAAAAGGAATGTTCAATTCTGTGACTTGAATGCAAACATCAGAAAGAAGTTCCTGAGAATGCTTCTCTCTAGATTTTATACGTCATCCCGTTTCCAATGAAATCCACAAAGCTATCCAATTATACACTTTCAGATTCCACAAAAAGACTGTTTTAAAATTGCTCTGTAACAGAAATGTTCAACTGCTGTTAGTTGAATACACACATCACAAACAAGTTTCTGAGACGGCTTCTGTCTAGTTTTTATGGGAAGATATTTCCTTTTAACCATAGGCCTCAAAGAGCTCGAAATATCCACTTCCAGGTAGTGCCGAAAGAGTGTTTCAAACCTACTCTATAAAAGGGAATATTCAACTCTGTGACTTGAATGCAAACATCACAAAGCAGTTTCTGAGAATGCTTCCGTCTAGATTTTCTATGAAGATATTCCCGTTTCCAACGAAATCTTCAAAGCTATCTAAATATCAACTTGCAGATTCTACTAAAGGAATGTCTCCAAAATGCTGTATCCAAACAAAGGTTCAGCTCTGTGAATTGAGGACATACAGCACAAAGAAGTTTCTGAGAATGCTCCTGTCTGGATTTTATAGGAAGATAACCCGTTTCCAACGAAATCCTCAAAGCTATCCAAATATCCACTTGCAGATTCTACCAAAAGAGTGTTTCAAAACTGCTCTGTCAAAAGGAAGGTTCAACACTGTTACTTGAGTACACACAACACAAAGAAGTTTCTGAGAATGCTTCTTTCTGGTTTTTATGAGAAGATATTTCCTTTTTCACCATAGGCCTCAAAGCGCTCGAAATGTCCGCTTCCAGGTAGTGCAGAAAGAGTGTTTCAAACCTGCTCTATGAAAGGAAGTGTTCAACTCCATGAGCTGAATGCAAACATCACAGAGAAGTTTCTGAGAATGCTTCTGTTTGATTTTACATGAAGAAATTCCCGTTTCCAACGAAATCTTCAAAGCTATCCACATATCCACCTGCAGATTCTACAAAAGGAGGGTTTCCAAAATGCTGTATCAAAACCAAGGTTCAACTCTGTTAGTTGAGGACACACATCACAAATAAGTTTCTGAGAATGCTTCTGTCTAGATTCTATATGAAGATATCCCCTTTCCAACGAATCCCTCTAAGCTATCCAAATATCCACCTGCAGATTCTACAAAAAGAGTGTTTCCAAAATGCTGTATCAAAACAAAGTTTCAACTCTGTTAGTTGAGGACACACATCACAAATAAGTTTGAGGATGCTTCTGTCTAGTTTTTATTCGAAGATATTTCCTTTCTCACCATAGGCCTGAAAGCGCTTGAAATGTCCACTTCCAGATACTACAGAATGAGTGTTTCAAACCTGCTCTATCAAAGTGAATGTTCAATTCTGTGACTTCAATGCAAACATCACAAAGAAGTTCCTGAGAATGCTTCTCTCTAGATTTTATATGTAATCCCGCTTCCAACGAAATCCTCAGAGCCATCCGAATATCCACTTTCTGATTCCACAAAAAGAGTGTTTTAAAACGGCTCTGTAAAAACAAAAGTTCAACTCTGTTAGTTGAATACACACATCACAAACAAGTTTCTGAGAATGCTTCTGTCTAGTTTTTATGGGAAGATATTTCCTTTTTCACCATAGGCCTCAAAGCGCTCGAAATGTCCACTTCCAGATAGCGCAGAAAGAGTGTTTCAAACGTGCTCTATAAAAGGGAATATTCAACTCTGTGACTTGAATGGAAACATCACAAAGCAGTTTCTGAGAATGCTTCCGTCTAGATTTTATATGAAGATATTCCCGTTTCCAACGAAATCTTCAAATCTATCTAAATATCAACTTGCAGATTCTACTAAAGGAATGTTTCCAAAATGCTGTATCCAAGCAATGGTTCAACTCTGTTAATTGAGGACATACAGCACAAAGAAGTTTCTGAGAATGCTTCTGTCTAGATTTTATATGAAGATATCCCGTTTCCAACGAAATCCTCAAAGCTATCCAAATATCCACTTGCAGATTCTACAAAAAGATTGTTTCAAAACTGCTGTGTCAAAAGGAAGGTTCAACTCTGTTACTTGAGTACACACATCAAAAAGCAGTTTCTGAGAATGCTTGTTTCTGGTTTTTATGAGAAGATATTTCCTTTTTCACCATAGGCCTCCAAGCGCTGCAAATGTCCACTTCCAAATATTACAAAAAGAGTGTTTCAAACCTGCTCTATGAAAGGAAGTTTTCAACTCTGTGAGTGGAATGCAAACATCACAGAGAAGTTTCTGAGAATGCATCTGTCTTGAGTTTATATGAAGAAATTCCCGTTTCCAATGAAATCTTAAAATCTATCCAAATATCCACCTGCAGATTCTACAAAAGAGTGCTTCCAAAATGCTATATCAAAACAAAGGTTCAACTGTGTTCGTTGAGAACACACATCACAAATAAGTTTCTGAGAATCCTTCTGTCTAGTTTTTATTTCAAGATATTTCCTTTCTCCCCATAGGCCTGAAAGCGCTTGAAATGTCCACTTCCAGATACTACAGAGTGTTTCAAACCTGCACTATGAAAAGGAATGTTCAATTCTGTGACTTGAATGCAAACATCAGAAAGAAGTTCCTGAGAATGCTTCTCTCTAGATTTTAAACGTAATCCCGTTTCCAACGAAATCCACAAAGCTATCCAATTATCCACTTTCAGATTGCACCAAAAGAGTGTTTTAAAACTGCTCTGTAAAAAGAAATGTTCAACGCTCTTAGTTGAATACACACATCTCAAACAAGTTTCTGAGAAGGCTTCTGTCTAGTTTTTATGGGAAGATATTTCCTTTTAACCATAGGCCTCAAAGAGCTCGAAATATCCACTTCCAGGTAGTGCCGAAAGAGTGTTTCAAACCTACTCTATAAAAGGGAATATTCAACTCTGTGACTTGAATGCAAACATCACAAAGCAGTTTCTGAGAATGCTTCCGTCTAGATTTTCTATGAAGATATTCCCGTTTCCAACGAAATCTTCAAAGCTATCTAAATATCAACTTGCAGATTCTACTAAAGGAATGTCTCCAAAATGCTGTATCCAAACAAAGGTTCAGCTCTGTGAATTGAGGACATACAGCACAAAGAAGTTTCTGAGAATGCTCCTGTCTGGATTTTATAGGAAGATAACCCGTTTCCAACGAAATCCTCAAAGCTATCCAAATATCCACTTGCAGATTCTACCAAAAGAGTGTTTCAAAACTACTCTGTCAAAAGGAAGGTTCAACACTGTTACTTGAGTACACACAACACAAAGAAGTTTCTGAGAATGCTCTTTCTGGTTTTTATGAGAAGATATTTCCTTTTTCACCATAGGCCTCAAAGCGCTCGAAATGTCCGCTTCCAGGTAGTGCAGAAAGAGTGTTTCAAACCTGCTCTATGAAAGGAAGTGTTCAACTCTACTGAGTTGAATGCAAACATCACAGAGATGTTTCCGAGAATGCTTCTGTCTTGATTTTATATGAAGATATTCCGGTTTCCAACGAAATCTTCAAAGCTATCCAAATATCCACCTGCAGATTCTACAAAAGGAGTGTTTCCAAAATGCTGTATCAAAACAAAGGTTCAACTCTGTTAGTTGAGGACACACATCACAAATAAGTTTCTGAGAATGCTTCTGTCTAGTTTTTATTTGAAGGTATTTCCTTTCTCTCCATAGGCCTGAAAGCGCTTGAAATGCCCACTTCCAGATACTAGAGAAAGAGTGTTTCAAACCTGCTCTATGAAAGGGAATGTTCAATTCTGTGACTTGAATGCAAACATCACAAAGAAGTTCCTGAGAATGCTTCTCTCTAGATATTATATGTCATCCCGTTTCCAACGAAATCCTCAAAGCTATCCAAATATCCACTTGCAGATTCTACAAAAAGAGTGTTTCAAAACTCCTCTGTCAAAAGGATGGTTCAACACTGTTACATGAGTACACACAACACAAAGAAGTTTCTGAGAATGCTTCTTTCTGGTTTCTATGAGAAGATATTTCCTTTTTCACCATAGGACTCAAAGCGCTCGAAATGTCCTCTTCCAGGTAGTGCAGAAAGAGTGTTTCAAACCGGCTCTATGAAAGGAAGTGTTCAACTCCATGAACTGAATGCAAACATCACTGGAGAAGTTTCTGAGAATGCTTCTGTTTGATTTTATATGAAGAAATTCCCGTTTCCAACGAAATCTTCAGAGCTATCCACATATCCACCTGCAGATTCTACAAAAGGAGTGTTTCCAAAATGCTGTATCAAAACCAAGGTTCAACTCTGTTAGTTGAGGACACACATCACAAATAAGTTTCTGAGAATGCTTCTGTCTAGATTTTATATGAAGATATCCCCTTTCCAACGAATCCCTCTAAGCTATCCAAATATCCACCTGCAGATTCTACAAAAAGAGTGTTTACAAAATGCTGTATCAAAACAAAGTTTCAACTCTGTTAGTTGAGGACACACATCACAAATAAGTTTCTGAGGATGCTTCTGTCTAGTTTTTATTTGAAGATATTTCCTTTCTCCCTATAGGCCTGAAAGTGCTTGAATTGTCCACTTCCAGATACTACAGAATGAGTGTTTCAAACCTGCTCTATCAAAGTGAATGTTCAATTCTGTGACTTCAATGCAAACATCACAAAGTAGTTCCTGAGAATGCTTCTCTCTAGATTTTATACGTAATCCCGCTTCCAACGAAATCCTCAGAGCCATCCGAATATCCACTTTCTGATTCCACAAAAAGAGTGTTTTAAAACGGCTCTGTAAAAACAAAAGTTCAACTCTGTTAGTTGAATACACACATCACAAACAAGTTTCTGAGAATGCTTCTGTCTAGTTTTTATGGGAAGATATTTCCTTTTTCACCATAGGCCTCAAAGCGCTCGAAATGTCCACTTCCAGATAGTGCAGAAAGAGTGTTTCAAACGTGCTCTATAAAAGGGAATATTCAACTCTGTGACTTGAATGGAAACATCACAAAGCAGTTTCTGAGAATGCTTCCCTCTAGATTTTATATGGAGATATTCCGTTTTCGAACGAAATCTTCAAATCTATCTAAATATCAACTTGCAGATTCTACTCAAGGAATGTTTCCAAAATGCTGTATGCAAGCAATGGTTCAACTCTGTTAATTGAGGTCATACAGCACAAAGAAGTTTCTGAGAATGCTTCTGTCTAGATTTTATATGAAGATATCCCGTTTCCAACGAAATCCTCAAAGCTATCCAAATATCCACTTGCAGATTCTACAAAAAGATTGTTTCAAAACTGCTGTGTCAAAAGGAAGGTTCAACTCTGTTACTTGAGTACACACATCAAAAAGAAGTTTCTGAGAATGCTTGTTTCTGGTTTTTATGAGAAGATATTTCCTTTTTCACCATAGGCCTCAAAGCGCTGCAAATGTCCACTTCCAAATATTACAAAAAGAGTGTTTCAAACCTGCTCTATGAAAGGAAGTTTTCAACTCTATGAGTGGAATGCACACATCACAGAGAAGTTTGCTGAGAATGCATCTGTCTTGAGTTTATATGAAGAAATTCCCGTTTCCAATGAAATCTTAAAATCTATCCAAATATCCACCTGCAGATTCTACAAAAGGAGTGTTTCCAAAATGCTGTATCAAAACAAAGGTTCAACTGTGTTCGTTGAGAACACACATCACAAATAAGTTTCTGAGAATCCTTCTGTCTAGTTTTTATTTCAAGATATTTCCTTTCTCCCCATAGGCTTGAAAGCGCTTGAAATGTCCACTTCCAGATACTACAGAGTGTTTCAAACCTGCACTATGAAAAGGAATGTTCAATTCTGTGACTTGAATGCAAACATCAGAAAGAAGTTCCTGAGAATGCTTCTCTCTAGATTTTAAACGTAATCCCGTTTCCAACGAAATCCACAAAGCTATCCAATTATCCACTTTCAGATTCCACCAAAAGACTGTTTTAAAACTGCTCTGTAAAAAGAAATGTTCAACGCTCTTAGTTGAATACACACATCTCAAACAAGTTTCTGAGAAGGCTTCTGTCTAGTTTTTATGGGAAGATATTTCCTTTTAACCATAGGCCTCAAAGAGCTCGAAATATCCACTTCCAGGTAGTGCCGAAAGAGTGTTTCAAACCTACTCTATAAAAGGGAATATTCAACTCTGTGACTTGAATGCAAACATCACAAAGCAGTTTCTGAGAATGCTTCCGTCTAGATTTTCTATGAAGATATTCCCGTTTCCAACGAAATCTTCAAAGCTATCTAAATATCAACTTGCAGATTCTACTAAAGGAATGTCTCCAAAATGCTGTATCCAAACAAAGGTTCAGCTCTGTGAATTGAGGACATACAGCACAAAGAAGTTTCTGAGAATGCTCCTGTCTGGATTTTATAGGAAGATAACCCGTTTCCAACGAAATCCTCAAAGCTATCCAAATATCCACTTGCAGATTCTACCAAAAGAGTGTTTCAAAACTGCTCTGTCAAAAGGAAGGTTCAACACTGTTACTTGAGTACACACAACACAAAGAAGTTTCTGAGAATGCTTCTTTCTGGTTTTTATGAGAAGATATTTCCTTTTTCACCATAGGCCTCAAAGCGCTCGAAATGTCCGCTTCCAGGTAGTGCAGAAAGAGTGTTTCAAACCTGCTCTATGAAAGGAAGTGTTCAACTCTACTGAGTTGAATGCAAACATCACAGAGATGTTTCCGAGAATGCTTCTGTCTTGATTTTATATGAAGATATTCCGGTTTCCAACGAAATCTTCAAAGCTATCCAAATATCCACCTGCAGATTCTACAAAAGGAGTGTTTCCAAAATGCTGTATCAAAACAAAGGTTCAACTCTGTTAGTTGAGGACACACATCACAAATAAGTTTCTGAGAATGCTTCTGTCTAGTTTTTATTTGAAGGTATTTCCTTTCTCTCCATAGGCCTGAAAGCGCTTGAAATGCCCACTTCCAGATACTAGAGAAAGAGTGTTTCAAACCTGCTCTATGAAAGGGAATGTTCAATTCTGTGACTTGAATGCAAACATCACAAAGAAGTTCCTGAGAATGCTTCTGTCTAGATTTAATATGAAGATAACCCGTTTCCAACGAAATCCTCAAAGCTATCCAAATATCCACTGGCAGATTCTACAAAAAGAGTGTTTCAAAACTGCTCTGTCAAAAGGATGGTTCAACACTGTTACATGAGTACACACAACACAAAGAAGTTTCTGAGAACGCTTCTTTCTGGTTTCTATGAGAAGATATTTCCTTTTTCACCATAGGACTCAAAGCGCTCGAAATGTCCTCTTCCAGGTAGTGCAGAAAGAGTGTTTCAAACCTGCTCTATGAAAGGAAGTGTTCAACTCCATGAGCTGAATGCAAACATCACTGAGAAGTTTCTGAGAATGCTTCTGTTTGATTTTATATGAAGAAATTCCCGTTTCCAACGAAATCTTCAAAGCTATCCACATATCCACCTGCAGATTCTACAAAAGGAGTGTTTCCAAAATGCTGTATCAAAACCAAGGTTCAACTCTGTTAGTTGAGGACACACATCACAAATAAGTTTCTGAGAATGCTTCTGTCTAGATTTTATATGAAGATATCCCCTTTCCAACGAATCCCTCTAAGCTATCCAAATATCCACCTGCAGATTCTACAAAAAGAGTGTTTCCAAAATGCTGTATCAAAACAAAGTTTCAACTCTGTTAGTTGAGGACACACATCACAAATAAGTTTCTGAGGATGCTTCTGTCTAGTTTTTATTTGAAGATATTTCCTTTCTCCCCATAGGCCTGAAAGCGCTTGAATTGTCCACTTCCAGATACTACAGAATGAGTGTTTCAAACCTGCTCTATCAAAGTGAATGTTCAATTCTGTGACTTCAATGCAAACATCACAAAGTAGTTCCTGAGAATGCTTCTCTCTAGATTTTATACGTAATCCCGCTTCCAACGAAATCCTCAGAGCCATCCGAATATCCACTTTCTGATTCCACAAAAAGAGTGTTTTAAAACGGCTCTGTAAAAACAAAAGTTCAACTCTGTTAGTTGAATACACACATCACAAACAAGTTTCTGAGAATGCTTCTGTCTAGTTTTTATGGGAAGATATTTCCTTTTTCACCATAGGCCTCACAGCGCTCGAAATGTCCACTTCCAGATAGTGCAGAAAGAGTGTTTCAAACGTGCTCTATAAAAGGGAATATTCAACTCTGTGACTTGAATGGAAACATCACAAAGCAGTTTCTGAGAATGCTTCCGTCTAGATTTTATATGAAGATATTCCCGTTTCCAACGAAATCTTCAAAGCTATCTACATATCAACTTGCAGATTCTACTCAAGGAATGTTTCCAAAAT
Source organism: Homo sapiens (assembly GCF_000001405.40). Taxonomy (NCBI): domain Eukaryota; kingdom Metazoa; phylum Chordata; class Mammalia; order Primates; family Hominidae; genus Homo; species Homo sapiens. The sequence goes on along the minus strand of NC_000004.12, from coordinate 51,455,708 downwards.
GCTGTATCCAAGCCATGGTTCAACTCTGTTAATTGAGGACATACAGCACAAAGAAGTTTCTGAGAATGCTTCTGTCTAGATTTTATATGAAGATATCCCGTTTCCAACGAAATCCTCAAAGCTATCCAAATATCCACTTGCAGATTCTACAAAAAGATTGTTTCAAAACTGCTGTGTCAAGAGGAAGGTTCAACTCTGTTACTTGAGTACACACATCAAAAAGAAGTTTCTGAGAATGCTTGTTTCTGGTTTTTATGAGAAGATATTTCCTTTTTCACCATAGGCCTCAAAGCGCTGCAAATGTCCACTTCCAAATATTACAAAAAGAGTGTTTCAAACCTGCTCTACGAAAGGAAGTTTTCAACTCTATGAGTGGAATGCAAACATCACAGAGAAGTTTCGGAGAATGCATCTGTCTTGAGTTTATATGAAGAAATTCCCGTTTCCAACGAAATCTTAAAATCTATCCAAATATCCACCTGCAGATACTACAAAGGGAGTGTTTCCAAAATGCTGTATCAAAACAAAGGTTCAACTGTGTTCGTTTAGGACACACATCACCAATAAGTTTCTGAGAATCCTTCTGTCTAGTTTTTATTTGAAGATATTTCCTTCCTCCCCAGAGGCCTGAAAGCGCTTGAAATGTCCCCTTCCAGATACTACAGAAAGAGTGTTTCAAACCTGCACTATGAAAAGGAATGTTCAATTCTGTGACTTGAATGCAAACATCAGAAAGAAGTTCCTGAGAATGCTTCTCTCTAGATTTTATTCGTAATCCCGTTTCCAACGAAATCCACAAAGCTATCCAGTTATCCACTTTCAGATTCCACAAAAAGAGTGTTTTAAAACTGCTCTGTAAAAAGAAATGTTCAATGCTCTTAGTTGAATACACACATCTCAAACAAGTTTCTGAGAAGGCTTCCGTCTAGTTTTTATGGGAAGATATTTCCTTTTTCACCATAGGCCTCAAAGCGCTCGAAATCTCCACTTCCAGGTAGTGCAGAAACAGTGTTTCAAACCTGCTCTATAAAAGACTATTTAACTCTGTGACTTGAATGCAAACATCACAAAGCAGTTTCCGACAATGCTTCCGTCTACATTTTTTATGAAGATATTCCCGTTTCCAACGAAATCTTCAAAGCTATCTAAATATCCACTTGCAGATTCTACTAAAGGAATGTTTCCAAAATGCTGTATCCAAACAAAGGTTCAACTCTGTGAATTGAGGACATACAGCACAAAGAAGTTTCTCAGAATGCTTCTGTCTAGATTTAATATGAAGATAACCCGTTTCCAACGAAATCCTCAAAGCTATCCAAATATGCACTTGCAGATTCTACAAAAAGACTGTTTCAAAACTGCTGTGTCAAAAGGATGGTTCAACACTGTTACATGAGTACACACAACACAAAGAAGTTTCTGAGAATGCTTCTTTCTGGTTTCTATGAGAAGATATTTCCTTTTTCACCATAGGACTCAAAGCGCTCGAAATGTCCTCTTCCAGGTAGTGCAGAAAGAGTGTTTCAAACCGGCTCTATGAAAGGAAGTGTTCAACTCCATGAACTGAATGCAAACATCACTGAGAAGTTTCTGAGAATGCTTCTGTTTGATTTTATATGAAGAAATTCCCGTTTCCAACGAAATCTTCAAAGCTATCCACATATCCACCTGCAGATTCTTCAAAAGGAGTGTTTCCAAAATGCTGTATCAAAACCAAGGTTCAACTCTGTTAGTTGAGGACACACATCACAAATAAGTTTCTGAGAATGCTTCTGTCTAGATTTTATATGAAGATATCCCCTTTCCAACGAATCCCTCTAAGCTATCCAAATATCCACCTGCAGATTCTACAAAAAGAGTGTTTCCAAAATGCTGTATCAAAACAAAGTTTCAACTCTGTTAGTTGAGGACACACATCACAAATAAGTTTCTGAGGATGCTTCTGTCTAGTTTTTATTTGAAGATATTTCCTTTCTCCCCATAGGCCTGAAAGCGCTTGAATTGTCCACTTCCAGATACTACAGAATGAGTGTTTCAAACCTGCTCTATCAAAGTGAATGTTCAATTCTGTGACTTCAATGCAAACATCACAAAGTAGTTCCTGAGAATGCTTCTCTCTAGATTTTATATGTAATCCCGCTTCCAACGAAGTCCTCAAAGCCATCCGAATAACCACTTTCTGATTCCACACAAAGATTGTCTTAAAACTTCTCTGTAAAAACAAAAGTTCAAGTCTGTTAGTTGAATACACACATCATAAACAAGTTTCTGAGAATGCTTCTGTCTAGTTTTTATGGGAAGATATTTCCTTTTTCACCATAGGCCTCAAAGCGCTCGAAATGTCCGCTTCCAGATAGTGCAGAAAGAGTGTTTCAAACGTGCTCTATAAAAGGGAATATTCAACTCTGTGACTTGAATGGAAACATCACAAAGCAGTTTCTGAGAATGCTTCCGTCTAGATTTTATATGAAGATATTCCCGTTTCCAACGAAATCTTCAAATCTATCTAAATATCAACTTGCAGATTCTACTAAAGGAATGTTTCCAAAATGCTGTATCCAAGCAATGGTTCAACTCTGTTAATTGAGGACATACAGCACAAAGAAGTTTCTGAGAATGCTTCTGTCTAGATTTTATATGAAGATATCCCGTTTCCAACGAAATCCTCAAAGCTATCCAAATATCCACTTGCAGATTCTACAAAAAGATTGTTTCAAAACTGCTGTGTCAAGAGGAAGGTTCAACTCTGTTACTTGAGTACACACATCAAAAAGAAGTTTCTGAGAATGCTTGTTTCTGGTTTTTATGAGAAGATATTTCCTTTTTCACCATAGGCCTCAAAGCGCTGCAAATGTCCACTTCCAAATATTACAAAAAGAGTGTTTCAAACCTGCTCTATGAAAGGAAGTTTTCAACTCTATGAGTGGAATGCAAACATCACAGAGAAGTTTCTGAGAATGCATCTGTCTTGAGCGTCTATGAAGAAATTCCCGTTTCCAACGAAATCTTAAAATCTATCCAAATATCCACCTGCAGATCCTACAAAAGGAGTGTTTCCAAAATGCTGTATCAAAACAAAGGTTCAACTGTGTTCGTTTAGGACACACATCACAAATAAGTTTCTGAGAATCCTTCTGTCTAGTTTTTATTTGAAGATATTTCCTTTCTCCCCGTAGGCCTGAAAGCGCTTGAAATGTCCACTTCCAGATACTACAGAAAGAGTGTTTCAAACCTGCACTCTGAAAAGGAATGTTCAATTCTGTGACTTGAATGCAAACATCAGAAAGAAGTTCCTGAGAATGCTTCTCTCTAGATTTTATACGTCATCCCGTTTCCAACGAAATCCACAAAGCTATCCAATTATCCACTTTCAGATTCCACAAAAAGAGTGTTTTAAAATTGCTCTGTAACAGAAATGTTCAACTCTGTTAGTTGAATACACACATCACAAACAAGTTTCTGAGACGGCTTCTGTCTAGTTTTTATGGGAAGATATTTCCTTTTAACCATAGGCCTCAAAGAGCTCGAAATATCCACTTCCAGGTAGTGCCGAAAGAGTGTTTCAAACCTACTCTATAAAAGGGAATATTCAACTCTGTGACTTGAATGCAAACATCACAAAGCAGTTTCTGAGAATGCTTCCGTCTAGATTTTCTATGAAGATATTCCCGTTTCCAACGAAATCTTCAAAGCTATCTAAATATCAACTTGCAGATTCTACTAAAGGAATGTCTCCAAAATGCTGTATCCAAACAAAGGTTCAGCTCTGTGAATTGAGGACATACAGCACAAAGAAGTTTCTGAGAATGCTCCTGTCTGGATTTTATAGGAAGATAACCCGTTTCCAACGAAATCCTCAAAGCTATCCAAATATCCACTTGCAGATTCTACCAAAAGAGTGTTTCAAAACTACTCTGTCAAAAGGAAGGTTCAACACTGTTACTTGAGTACACACAACACAAAGAAGTTTCTGAGAATGCTTCTTTCTGGTTTTTATGAGAAGATATTTCCTTTTTCACCATAGGCCTCAAAGCGCTCGAAATGTCCGCTTCCAGGTAGTGCAGAAAGAGTGTTTCAAACCTGCTCTATGAAAGGAAGTGTTCAACTCTACTGAGTTGAATGCAAACATCACAGAGATGTTTCCGAGAATGCTTCTGTCTTGATTTTATAGGAAGATATTCCGGTTTCCAACGAAATCTTCAAAGCTATCCACATATCCACCTGCAGATTCTACAAAAGGAGTGTTTCCAAAATGCTGTATCAAAACAAAGGTTCAACTCTGTTAGTTGAGGACACACATCACAAATAAGTTTCTGAGAATGCTTCTGTCTAGTTTTTATTTGAAGGTATTTCCTTTCTCTCCATAGGCCTGAAAGCGCTTGAAATGCCCACTTCCAGATACTAGAGAAAGAGTGTTTCAAACCTGCTCTATGAAAGGGAATGTTCAATTCTGTGACTTGAATGCAAACATCACAAAGAAGTTCCTGAGAATGCTTCTCTCTAGATATTATATGTCATCCCGTTTCCAACGAAATCCTCAAAGCTATCCAAATATCCACTTGCAGATTCTACAAAAAGAGTGTTTCAAAACTCCTCTGTCAAAAGGATGGTTCAACACTGTTACATGAGTACACACAACACAAAGAAGTTTCTGAGAATGCTTCTTTCTGGTTTCTATGAGAAGATATTTCCTTTTTCACCATAGGACTCAAAGCGCTCGAAATGTCCTCTTCCAGGCAGTGCAGAAAGAGTGTTTCAAACCTGCTCTATGAAAGGAAGTGTTCAACTCCATGAGCTGAATGCAAACATCACTGAGAAGTTTCTGAGAATGCTTCTGTTTGATTTTATATGAAGAAATTCCCGTTTCCAACGAAATCTTCAGAGCTATCCACATATCCACCTGCAGATTCTACAAAAGGAGTGTTTCCAAAATGCTGTATCAAAACCAAAGTTCAACTCTGTTAGTTGAGGACACACATCACAAATAAGTTTCTGAGAATGCTTCTGTCTAGATTTTATATGAAGATATCCCCTTTCCAACGAATCCCTCTAAGCTATCCAAATATCCACCTGCAGATTCTACAAAAAGAGTGTTTCCAAAATGCTGTATCAAAACAAAGTTTCAACTCTGTTAGTTGAGGACACACATCACAAATAAGTTTGAGGATGCTTCTGTCTAGTTTTTATTCGAAGATATTTCCTTTCTCACCATAGGCCTGAAAGCGCTTGAAATGTCCACTTCCAGATACTACAGAATGAGTGTTTCAAACCTGCTCTATAAAAGTGAATGTTCAATTCCGTGACTTCAATGCAAACATCAGAAAGAAGTTCCTGAGAATGCTTCTCTCTAGCATTTTATATGTAATCCCGCTTCCAACGAAATCCTCAGAGCCATCCGAATATCCACTTTCTGATTCCACAAAAAGAGTGTTTTAAAACGGCTCTGTAAAAACAAAAGTTCAACTCTGTTAGTTGAATACACACATCACAAACAAGTTTCTGAGAATGCTTCTGTCTAGTTTTTATGGGAAGATATTTCCTTTTTCACCATAGGCCTCAAAGCGCTCGAAATGTCCGCTTCCAGATAGTGCAGAAAGAGTGTTTCAAACGTGCTCTATAAAAGGGAATATTCAACTCTGTGACTTGAATGGAAACATCACAAAGCAGTTTCTGAGAATGCTTCCCTCTAGATTTTATATGGAGATATTCCCTTTTCCAACGAAATCTTCAAATCTATCTAAATATCAACTTGCAGATTCTACTCAAGGAATGTTTCCAAAATGCTGTATCCAAGCAATGGTTCAACTCTGTTAATTGAGGACATACAGCACAAAGAAGTTTCTGAGAATGCTTCTGTCTAGATTTTATATGAAGATATCCCGTTTCCAACGAAATCCTCAAAGCTATCCAAATATCCACTTGCAGATTCTACAAAAAGATTGTTTCAAAACTGCTGTGTCAAAAGGAAGGTTCAACTCTGTTACTTGAGTACACACATCAAAAAGAAGTTTCTGAGAATGCTTGTTTCTGGTTTTTATGAGAAGATATTTCCTTTTTCACCATAGGCCTCAAAGCGCTGCAAATTTCCACTTCCAAATATTACAAAAAGAGTGTTTCAAAACTGCTCTATGAAAGGAAGTTTTCAACTCTATGAGTGGAATGCAAACATCACAGAGAAGTTTCTGAGAATGCATCTGTCTTGAGCTTCTATGAAGAAATTCCCGTTTCCAACGAAATCTTAAAATCTATCCAAATATCCACCTGCAGATCCTACAAAAGGAGTGTTTCCAAAATGCTGTATCAAAACAAAGGTTCAACTGTGTTCGTTTAGGACACACATCACAAATAAGTTTCTGAGAATCCTTCTGTCTAGTTTTTATTTCAAGATATTTCCTTTCTCCCCATAGGCTTGAAAGCGCTTGAAATGTCCACTTCCAGATACTACAGAGTGTTTCAAACCTGCACTATGAAAAGGAATGTTCAATTCTGTGACTTGAATGCAAACATCAGAAAGAAGTTCCTGAGAATGCTTCTCTCTAGATTTTAAACGTAATCCCGTTTCCAACGAAATCCACAAAGCTATCCAATTATCCACTTTCAGATTCCACCAAAAGACTGTTTTAAAACTGCTCTGTAAAAAGAAATGTTCAACGCTCTTAGTTGAATACACACATCTCAAACAAGTTTCTGAGAAGGCTTCCGTCTAGTTTTTATGGGAAGATATTTCCTTTTTCACCATAGGCCTCAAAGCGCTCGAAATCTCCACTTCCAGGGAGTGCAGAAAGAGTGTTTCAAACCTGCTCTGTAAAAGAATATTTAACTCTGTGACTTGAATGCAAACATCACAGAGCAGTTTCTGACAATGCTTCCGTCTAGATTTTATATGAAGATATTCCCGTTTCCAACGAAATCTTCAAATCTATCTAAATATCAACTTGCAGATTCTACTAAAGGAATGTTTCCAAAATGCTGTATCCAAGCAATGGTTCAACTCTGTTAATTGAGGACATACAGCACAAAGAAGTTTCTGAGAATGCTTCTGTCTAGATTTTATATGAAGATATCCCGTTTCCAACGTAATCCTCAAAGCTATCCAAATATCCACTTGCAGATTCTACAAAAAGATTGTTTCAAAACTGCTGTGTCAAAAGGAAGGTTCAACTCTGTTACTTGAGTACACACATCAAAAAGAAGTTTCTGAGAATGCTTGTTTCTGGTTTTTATGAGAAGATATTTCCTTTTTCACCATAGGCCTCAAAGCGCTGCAAATTTCCACTTCCAAATATTACAAAAAGAGTGTTTCAAACCTGCTCTATGAAAGGAAGTTTTCAACTCTATGAGTGGAATGCAAACATCACAGAGAAGTTTCTGAGAATGCATCTGTCTTGAGTTTCTATGCAGAAATTCCCGTTTCCAACGAAATCTTAAAATCTATCCAAATATCCACCTGCAGATCCTACAAAAGGAGTGTTTCCAAAATGCTGTATCAAAACAAAGGTTCAACTGTGTTCGTTTAGGACACACATCACAAATAAGTTTCTGAGAATCCTTCTGTCTAGTTTTTATTTGAAGATATTTCCTTTCTCCCCGTAGGCCTGAAAGCGCTTGAAATGTCCACTTCCAGATACTACAGAAAGAGTGTTTCAAACCTGCACTCTGAAAAGGAATGTTCAATTCTGTGACTTGAATGCAAACATCAGAAAGAAGTTCCTGAGAATGCTTCTCTCTAGATTTTATACGTCATCCCGTTTCCAACGAAATCCACAAAGCTATCCAATTATCCACTTTCAGATTCCACAAAAAGAGTGTTTTAAAACTGCTCTGTAAAAAGAAATGTTCAACGCTCTTAGTTGAATACACACATCTCAAACAAGTTTCTGAGAAGGCTTCCGTCTAGTTTTTATGGGAAGATATTTCCTTTTTCACCATAGGCCTCAAAGCGCTCGAAATCTCCACTTCCAGGGTGTGCAGAAAGAGTGTTTCAAACCTGCTCTGTAAAAGAATATTTAACTCTGTGACTTGAATGCAAACATCACAAAGCAGTTTCTGACAATGCTTCCGTCTAGATTTTCTATGAAGATATTCCCGTTTCCAACGAAATCTTCAAAGCTATCTAAATATCAACTTGCAGATTCTACTAAAGGAATGTCTCCAAAATGCTGTATCCAAACAAAGGTTCAGCTCTGTGAATTGAGGACATACAGCACAAAGAAGTTTCTGAGAATGCTCCTGTCTGGATTTTATAGGAAGATAACCCGTTTCCAACGAAATCCTCAAAGCTATCCAAATATCCAATTGCAGATTCTACCAAAAGAGTGTTTCAAAACTGCTCTGTCAAAAGGAAGGTTCAACACTGTTACTTGAGTACACACAACACAAAGAAGTTTCTGAGAATGCTTCTTTCTGGTTTTTATGAGAAGATATTTCCTTTTTCACCATAGGCCTCAAAGCGCTCGAAATGTCCGCTTCCAGGTAGTGCAGAAAGAGTGTTTCAAACCTGCTCTATGAAAGGAAGTGTTCAACTCTACTGAGTTGAATGCAAACATCACAGAGATGTTTCCGAGAATGCTTTCTGTCTTGATTTTATATGAAGATATTCCGGTTTCCAACGAAATCTTCAAAGCTATCCAAATATCCACCTGCAGATTCTACAAAAGGAGTGTTTCCAAAATGCTGTATCAAAACAAAGGTTCAACTCTGTTAGTTGAGGACACACATCACAAATAAGTTTCTGAGAATGCTTCTGTCTAGTTTTTATTTGAAGGTATTTCCTTTCTCTCCATAGGCCTCAAAGCGCTTGAAATGCCCACTTCCAGATACTAGAGAAAGAGTGTTTCAAACCTGCTCTATGAAAGGGAATGTTCAATTCTGTGACTTGAATGCAAACATCACAAAGAAGTTCCTGAGAATGCTTCTCTCTAGATATTATATGTCATCCCGTTTCCAACGAAATCCTCAAAGCTATCCAAATATCCACTTGCAGATTCTACAAAAAGAGTGTTTCAAAACTGCTCTGTCAAAAGGATGGTTCAACACTGTTACATGAGTACACACAACACAAAGAAGTTTCTGAGAATGCTTCTTTCTGGTTTCTATGAGAAGATATTTCCTTTTTCACCATAGGACTCAAAGCGCTCGAAATGTCCTCTTCCAGGTAGTGCAGAAAGAGTGTTTCAAACCTGCTCTATGAAAGGAAGTGTACAACTCCATGAGCTGAATGCAAACATCACTGAGAAGTTTCTGAGAATGCTTCTGTTTGATTTTATATGAAGAAATTCCCGTTTCCAACGAAATCTTCAGAGCTATCCACATATCCACCTGCAGATTCTACAAAAGGAGTGTTTCCAAAATGCTGTATCAAAACCAAAGTTCAACTCTGTTAGTTGAGGACACACATCACAAATAAGTTTCTGAGAATGCTTCTGTCTATATTTTATATGAAGATATCCCCTTTCCAACGAATCCCTCTAAGCTATCTAAATATCCACCTGCAGATTCTACAAAAAGAGTGTTTCCAAAATGCTGTATCAAAACAAAGTTTCAACTCTGTTAGTTGAGGACACACATCACAAGTAAGTTTCTGAGGATGCTTCTGTCTAGTTTTTATTCGAAGATATTTCCTTTCTCACCATAGGCCTGAAAGCGCTTGAAATGTCCACTTCCAGATCCTACAGAATGAGTGTTTCAAACCTGCTCTATCAAAGTGAATGTTCAATTCTGTGACTTCAATGCAAACATCACAAAGAAGTTCCTGAGAATGCTTCTCTCTAGATTTTATATGTAATCCCGCTTCCAACGAAATCCTCAGAGCCATCCGAATATCCACTTTCTGATTCCACAAAAAGAGTGTTTTAAAACGGCTCTGTAAAAACAAAAGTTCAACTCTGTTAGTTGAATACACACATCACAAACAAGTTTCTGAGAATGCTTCTGTCTAGTTTTTATGGGAAGATATTTCCTTTTTCACCATAGGCCTCAAAGCGCTCGAAATGTCCGCTTCCAGATAGTGCAGAAAGAGTGTTTCAAACGTGCTCTATAAAAGGGAATATTCAACTCTGTGACTTGAATGGAAACATCACAAAGCAGTTTCTGAGAATGCTTCCCTCTAGATTTTATATGGAGATATTCCCTTTTCCAACGAAATCTTCAAATCTATCTAAATATCAACTTGCAGATTCTACTCAAGGAATGTTTCCAAAATGCTGTATCCAAGCAATGGTTCAACTCTGTTAATTGAGGACATACAGCACAAAGAAGTTTCTGAGAATGCTTCTGTCTAGATTTTATATGAAGATATCCCGTTTCCAACGAAATCCTCAAAGCTATCCAAATATCCACTTGCAGATTCTACAAAAAGATTGTTTCAAAACTGCTGTGTCAAGAGGAAGGTTCAACTCTGTTACTTGAGTACACACATCAAAAAGAAGTTTCTGAGAATGCTTGTTTCTGGTTTTTATGAGAAGATATTTCCTTTTTCACCATAGGCCTCAAAGCGCTGCAAATGTCCACTTCCAAATATTACAAAAAGAGTGTTTCAAACCTGCTCTATGAAAGGAAGTTTTCAACTCTGTGAGTGGAATGCAAACATCACAGAGAAGTTTCTGAGAATGCATCTGTCTTGAGCGTCTATGAAGAAATTCCCGTTTCCAACGAAATCTTAAAATCTATCCAAATATCCACCTGCAGATCCTACAAAAGGAGTGTTTCCAAAATGCTGTATCAAAACAAAGGTTCAACTGTGTTCGTTCAGGACACACATCACAAATAAGTTTCTGAGAATCCTTCTGTCTAGTTTTTAATTTGAAGATATTTCCTTTCTCCCCATAGGCCTGAAAGCGCTTGAAATGTCCACTTCCAGATAGTACAGAAAGAGTGTTTCAAACCTGCACTATGAAAAGGAATGTTCAATTCTTTGACTTGAATGCAAACATCAGAAAGAAGTTTCTGAGAATGCTTCTCTCTAGATTTTATACGTAATCCCGTTTCCAACGAAATCCACAAAGCTATCCAATTATCCACTTTCAGATTCCACAAAAAGAGTGTTTTAAAACTGCTGTGTAGAAGGAAATGTTCAAAGCTCTTAGTTGAATACAAACATCTCAAACAAGTTTCTGAGAAGGCTTCCGTCTAGTTTTTATGGGAAGATATTTCCTTTTTCACCAAAGGCCTCAAAGCGCTCGAAATCTCCACTTCCAGGGAGTGCAGAAAGAGTGTTTCAAACCTGCTCTGTAAAAGAATATTTAACTCTGTGACTTCAATGCAAACATCACAAAGCAGTTTCTGACAATGCTTCCGTCTAGATTTTCTATGAAGATATTCCCGTTTCCAACGAAATCTTCAAAGCTATCTAAATATCAACTTGCAGATTCTACTAAAGGAATGTCTCCAAAATGCTGTATCCAAACAAAGGTTCAGCTCTGTGAATTGAGGACATACAGCACAAAGAAGTTTCTGAGAATGCTCCTGTCTGGATTTTATAGGAAGATAACCCGTTTCCAACGAAATCCTCAAAGCTATCCAAATATCCACTTGCAGATTCTACCAAAAGAGTGTTTCAAAACTGCTCTGTCAAAAGGAAGGTTCAACACTGTTACTTGAGTACACACAACACAAAGAAGTTTCTGAGAATGCTTCTTTCTGGTTTTTATGAGAAGATATTTCCTTTTTCACCATAGGCCTCAAAGCGCTCGAAATGTCCGCTTCCAGGTAGTGCAGAAAGAGTGTTTCAAACCTGCTCTATGAAAGGAAGTGTTCAACTCTACTGAGTTGAATGCAAACATCACAGAGATGTTTCCGAGAATGCTTCTGTCTTGATTTTATATGAAGATATTCCGGTTTCCAACGAAATCTTCAAAGCTATCCAAATATCCACCTGCAGATTCTACAAAAGGAGTGTTTCCAAAATGCTGTATCAAAACAAAGGTTCAACTCTGTTAGTTGAGGACACACATCACAAATAAGTTTCTGAGAATGCTTCTGTCTAGTTTTTATTTGAAGGTATTTCCTTTCTCTCCATAGGCCTGAAAGCGCTTGAAATGCCCACTTCCAGATACTAGAGAAAGAGTGTTTCAAACCTGCTCTATGAAAGGGAATGTTCAATTCTGTGACTTGAATGCAAACATCACAAAGAAGTTCCTGAGAATGCTTCTGTCTAGATTTAATATGAAGATAAACCGTTTCCAACGAAATCCTCAAAGCTATCCAAATATCCACTTGCAGATTCTACAAAAAGAGTGTTTCAAAACTGCTCTGTCAAAAGGATGGTTCAACACTCTTACATGAGTACACACAACACAAAGAAGTTTCTGAGAACGCTTCTTTCTGGTTTTTATGAGAGGATATTTCCTTTTTCACCATAGGCCTCAAAGCGCTCGAAATGTCCACTTCCAGGTAGTGCAGAAAGAGTGTTTCAAACCTGCTCTATGAAAGGAAGTGTTCAACTCCATGAGCTGAATGCAAACATCACAGAGAAGTTCCTGAGAATGCTTCTGTTTGATTTTATATGAAGAAATTCCCGTTTCCAACGAAATCTTCAAAGCTATCCACATATCCACCTGCAGATTCTTCAAAAGGAGTGTTTCCAAAATGCTGTATCAAAACCAAGGTTCAACTCTGTTAGTTGAGGACACACATCACAAATAAGTTTCTGAGAATGCTTCTGTCTAGATTTTATATGAAGATATCCCCTTTCCAACGAATCCCTCTAAGCTATCCAAATATCCACCTGCAGATTCTACAAAAAGAGTGTTTCCAAAATGCTGTATCAAAACAAAGTTTTAACTCTGTTAGTTGAGGACACACATCACAAATAAGTTTCTGAGAGATGCTTCTGTCTAGTTTTTATTCGAAGATATTTCCTTTCTCACCTTAGGCCTGAAAGCGCTTGAAATGTCCACTTCCAGATACTACAGAATGAGTGTTTCAAACCTGCTCTATCAAAGTGAATGTTCAATTCTGTGACTTCAATGCAAACATCACAAAGAAGTTCCTGAGAATGCTTCTCTCTAGATTTTATATGTAATCCCGCTTCCAACGAAATCCTCAAAGCCATCCGAATATCCACTTTCTGATTCCACAAAAAGATTGTTTTAAAACTGCTCTGTGAAAACAAAAGTTCAAGTCTGTTAGTTGAATACACACATCACAAACAAGTTTCTGAGAATGCTTCTGTCTAGTTTTTATGGGAAGATATTTCCTTTTTCACCATAGGCCTCAAAGCGCTCGAAATGTCCACTTCCAGATAGTGCAGAAAGAGTGTTTCAAACGTGCTCTATAAAAGGGAATATTCAACTCTGTGACTTGAATGGAAACATCACAAAGCAGTTTCTGAGAATGCTTCCGTCTAGATTTTATATGAAGATATTCCCGTTTCCAACGAAATCTTCAAATCTATCTAAATATCAACTTGCAGATTCTACTAAAGGAATGTTTCCAAAATGCTGTATACAAGCAATGGTTCAACTCTGTTAATTGAGGACATACAGCACAAAGAAGTTTCTGAGAATGCTTCTGTCTAGATTTATATATGAAGATAATCCCTGTTTCGCAACGAAATCCTCAAAGCTATCCAAATATCCACTTGCAGATTCTACAAAAAGATTGTTTCAAAACTGCTGTGTCAGAAGGAAGGTTCAACTCTGTTACTTGAGTACACACATCAAAAAGAAGTTTCTGAGAATGCTTGTTTCTGGTTTTTATGAGAAGATATTTCCTTTTTCACCATAGGCCTCAAAGCGCTGCAAATGTCCACTTCCACATATTACAAAAAGAGTGTTTCAAACCTGCTCTATGAAAGGAAGTTTTCAACTCTATGAGTGGAATGCAAACATCACAGAGAAGTTTCTGAGAATGCATCTGTCTTGAGCTTCTATGAAGAAATTCCCGTTTCCAACGAAATCTTAAAATCTATCCAAATATCCACCTGCAGATCCTACAAAAGGAGTGTTTCCAAAATGCTGTATCAAAACAAAGGTTCAACTGTGTTCGTTTAGGACACACATCACAAATAAGTTTCTGAGAATCCTTCTGTCTAGTTTTTATTTGAAGATATTTCCTTTCTCCCCATAGGCCTGAAAGCGCTTGAAATGTCCACTTCCAGATACTACAGAAAGAGTGTTTCAAACCTGCACTCTGAAAAGGAATGTCAATTCTGTGACTTGAATGCAAACATCAGAAAGAAGTTCCTGAGAATGCTTCTCTCTAGATTTTATACGTCATCCCGTTTCCAACGAAATCCACAAAGCTATCCAATTATCCACTTTCAGATTCCACAAAAAGAGTGTTTTAAAACTGCTCTGTAAAAAGAAATTTTCAACGCTCTTAGTTGAATGCACACATCTCAAACAAGTTTCTGAGAAGGCTTCCATCTAGTTTTTATGGGAAGATATTTCCTTTTTCACCATAGGCCTCAAAGCGCTCGAAATCTCCACTTCCAGGGAGTGCAGAAAGAGTGTTTCGAACCTGCTCTGTAAAAGATTATTTAACTCTGTGACTTGAATGCAAACATCACAAAGCAGTTTCTGACAATGCTTCCGTCTAGATTTTTTATGAAGATATTCCCGTTTCCAACGAAATCTTCAAAGCTATCTAAATATCAACTTGCAGATTCTACTAAAGGAATGTTTCCAAAATGCTGTATCCAAACAAAGGTTCAACTCTGTGAATTGAGGACATACAGCACAAAGAAGTTTCTGAGAATGCTTCTGTCTAGATTTAATATGAAGATAACCCGTTTCCAACGAAATCCTCAAAGCTATCCAAATATCCACTTGCAGATTCTACAAAAAGAGTGTTTCAAAACTGCTCTGTCAAAAGGATGGTTCAACACTGTTACATGAGTACACACAACACAAAGAAGTTTCTGAGAGCGCTTCTTTCTGGTTTTTATGAGAGGATATTTCCTTTTTCACCATAGGCCTCAAAGCGCTCGAAATGTCCACTTCCAGGTAGTGCAGAAAGAGTGTTTCAAACCTGCTCTATGAAAGGAAGTGTTCAACTCCATGAGCTGAATGCAAACATCACAGAGAAGTTCCTGAGAATGCTTCTGTTTGATTTTATATGAAGAAATTCCCGTTTCCAACGAAATCTTCAAAGCTATCCACATATCCACCTGCAGATTCTTCAAAAGGAGAGTTTCCAAAATGCTGTATCAAAACCAAGGTTCAACTCTGTTAGTTGAGGACACACATCACAAATAAGTTTCTGAGAATGCTTCTGTCTAGATTTTATATGAAGATATCCCCTTTCCAACGAATCCCTCTAAGCTATCCAAATATCCACCTGCAGATTCTACAAAAAGAGTGTTTCCAAAATGCTGTATCAAAACAAAGGTTCAACTCTGTTAGTTGAGGACACACATCACAAATAAGTTTGAGGATGCTTCTGTCTAGTTTTTATTCGAAGATATTTCCTTTCCCACCATAGGCCTGAAAGCGCTTGAAATGTCCACTTCCAGATACTACAGAATGAGTGTTTCAAACCTGCTCTATCAAAGTGAATGTTCAATTCTGTGACTTCAATGCAAACATCACAAAGAAGTTCCTGAGAATGCTTCTCTCTAGATTTTATATGTAATCCCGCTTCCAACGAAATCCTCAGAGCCATCCGAATATCCACTTTCTGATTCCACAAAAAGAGTGTTTTAAAACGGCTCTGTAAAAACAAAAGTTCAACTCTGTTAGTTGAATACACACATCACAAACAAGTTTCTGAGAATGCTTCTGTCTAGTTTTTATGGGAAGATATTTCCTTTTTCACCATAGGCCTCAAAGCGCTCGAAATGTCCACTTCCAGATAGTGCAGAAAGAGTGTTTCAAACGTGCTCTATAAAAGAGAATATTCAACTCCGTGACTTGAATGGAAACGTCACAAAGCAGTTTCTGAGAATGCTTCCGTCTAGATTTTATATGAAGATATTCCCGTTTCCAACGAAATCTTTAAAGCTATCTACATATCAACTTGCAGATTCTACTCAAGGAATGTTTCCAAAATGCTGTATCCAAGCCATGGTTCAACTCTGTGAATTGAGGACATACAGCACAAAGAAGTTTCTGAGAATGCTTCTGTCTAGATTTTATATGAAGATATCCCGTTTCCAATGAAATCCTCAAAGCTATCCAAATATCCACTTGCAGATTCTACAAAAAGATTGTTTCAAAACTGCTGTGTCAAAAGGAAGGTTCAACTCTGTTACTTGAGTACACACATCAAAAAGAACTTTCTGAGAATGCTTGTTTCTGGTTTTTATGAGAAGATATTTCCTTTTTCACCATAGGCCTCAAAGCGCTGCAAATGTCCACTTCCAAATATTACAGAAAGAGTGTTTCAAACCTGCTCTATGAAAGGAAGTTTTCAACTCTATGAGTGGAATGCAAACATCACAGAGAAGTTTCTGAGAATGCATCTGTCTTGAGCTTCTATGAAGAAATTCCCGTTTCCAACGAAATCTTAAAATCTATCCAAATATCCACCTGCAGATCCTACAAAAGGAGTGTTTCCAAAATGCTGTATCAAAACAAAGGTTCAACTGTGTTCGTTTAGGACACACATCACAAATAAGTTTCTGAGAATCCTTCTCTCTAGTTTTTATTTGAAGATATTTCCTTTCTCCCCGTAGGCCTGAAAGCGCTTGAAATGTCCACTTCCAGATACTACAGAAAGAGTGTTTCAAACCTGCACTCTGAAAAGGAATGTTCAATTCTGTGACTTGAATGCAAACATCAGAAAGAAGTTCATGAGAATGCTTCTCTCTAGATTTTATACGTCATCCCGTTTCCAACGAAATCCACAAAGCTATCCAATTATCCACTTTCAGATTCCACAAAAAGAGTGTTTTAAAACTGCTCTGTAAAAAGAAATGTTCAACGCTCTTAGTTGAATACACACATCTCAAACAAGTTTACTGAGAAGGCTTTCTGTCTAGTTTTTATGGGAAGATATTTCCTTTTAACCATAGGCCTCAAAGAGCTCGAAATATCCACTTCCAGGTAGTGCCGAAAGAGTGTTTCAAACCTACTCTATAAAAGGGAATATTCAACTCTGTGACTTGAATGCAAACATCACAAAGCAGTTTCTGAGAATGCTTCCGTCTAGCATTTTATATGAAGATATTCCCGTTTCCAACGAAATCTTCAAAGCTATCTAAATATCAACTTGCAGATTCTACTAAAGGAATGTTTCCAAAATGCTGTATCCAAGCAATGGTTCAACTCTGTTAATTGAGGACATACAGCACAAAGAAGTTTCTGAGAATGCTTCTGTCTAGATTTTATATGAAGATATCCCGTTTCCAATGAAATCCTCAAAGCTATCCAAATATCCACTTGCAGATTCTACAAAAAGATTGTTTCAAAACTGCTGTGTCAAAAGGAAGGTTCAACTCTGTTACTTGAGTACACACATCAAAAAGAAGTTTCTGAGAATGCTTGTTTCTGGTTTTTATGAGAAGATATTTCCTTTTTCACCATAGGCCTCAAAGCGCTGCAAATGTCCACTTCCAAATATTACAGAAAGAGTGTTTCAAACCTGCTCTATGAAAGGAAGTTTTCAACTCTATGAGTGGAATGCAAACATCACAGAGAAGTTTCTGAGAATGCATCTGTCTTGAGTTTCTATGAAGAAATTCCCGTTTCCAACGAAATCTTAAAATCTATCCAAATATCCACCTGCAGATTCTACAAAAGGAGTGTTTCCAAAATGCTGTATCAAAACAAAGGTTCAACTGTGTTCGTTTAGGACACACATCACAAATAATTTTCTGAGAAGCCTTCTGTCTGGTTTTTATTTGAAGAGATTTCCTTTCTCCCCGTAGGCCTGAAAGCGCTTGAAATGTCCACTTCCAGATACTACAGAAAGAGTGTTTCAAACCTGCACTCTGAAAAGGAATGTTCAATTCTGTGACTTGAATGCAAACATCAGAAAGAAGTTCCTGAGAATGCTTCTCTCTAGATTTTATACGTCATCCCGTTTCCAACGAAATCCACAAAGCTATCCAATTATCCACTTTCAGATTCCACAGAAAGAGTGTTTTAAAATTGCTCTGTAACAGAAATGTTCAACTCTGGTAGTTGAATACACACATCACAAACAAGTTTCTGAGACGGCTTCTGTCTAGTTTTTATGGGAAGATATTTCCTTTTAACCATAGGCCTCAAAGAGCTCGAAATATCCACTTCCAGGTAGTGCCGAAAGAGTGTTTCAAACCTACTCTATAAAAGGGAATATTCAACTCTGTGACTTGAATGCAAACATCACAAAGCAGTTTCTGAGAATGCTTCCGTCTAGATTTTATATGAAGATATTCCCGTTTCCAACGAAATCTTCAAAGCTATCTAAATATCAACTTGCAGATTCTACTAAAGGAATGTTTCCAAAATGCTGTATCCAAGCAATGGTTCAACTCTGTTAATTGAGGACATACAGCACAAAGAAGTTTCTGAGAATGCTTCTGTCTAGATTTTATATGAAGATATCCCGTTTCCAACGAAATCCTCAAAGCTATCCAAATATCCACTTGCAGATTCTACAAAAAGATTGTTTCAAAACTGCTGTGTCAAAAGGAAGGTTCAACTCTGTTACTTGAGTACACACATCAAAAAGAAGTTTCTGAGAATGCTTGTTTCTGGTTTTTATGAGAAGATATTTCCTTTTTTCACCATAGGCCTCAAAGCGCTGCAAATGTCCACTTCCAAATATTACAAAAAGAGTGTTTCAAACCTGCTCTATGAAAGGAAGTTTTCAACTCCTATGAGTGGAATGCAAACATCACAGAGAAGTTTCTGAGAATGCATCTGTCTTGAGTTTCTATGCAGAAATTCCCGTTTCCAATGAAATCTTAAAATCTATCCAAATATCCACCTGCAGATTCTACAAAAGGAGTGTTTCCAAAATGCTGTATCAAAACAAAGGTTCAACTGTGTTCGCTTAGGACACACATCACAAATAAGTTTCTGAGAATCCTTCTGTCTAGTTTTTATTTGAAGATATTTCCTTTCTCCCCGTAGGCCTGAAAGCGCTTGAAATGTCCACTTCCAGATACTACAGAAAGAGTGTTTCAAACCTGCACTCTGAAAAGGAATGTTCAATTCTGTGACTTGAATGCAAACATCAGAAAGAAGTTCCTGAGAATGCTTCTCTCTAGATTTTATACGTCATCCCGTTTCCAACGAAATCCACAAAGCTATCCAATTATCCACTTTCAGATTCCACAAAAAGAGTGTTTTAAAATTGCTCTGTAACAGAAATGTTCAACTCTGGTAGTTGAATACACACATCACAAACAAGTTTCTGAGACGGCTTCTGTCTAGTTTTTATGGGAAGATATTTCCTTTTAACCATAGGCCTCAAAGAGCTCGAAATATCCACTTCCAGGTAGTGCCGAAAGAGTGTTTCAAACCTACTCTATAAAAGGGAATATTCAACTCTGTGACTTGAATGCAAACATCACAAAGCAGTTTCTGAGAATGCTTCCGTCTAGATTTTCTATGAAGATATTCCCGTTTCCAACGAAATCTTCAAAGCTATCTAAATATCAACTTGCAGATTCTACTAAAGGAATGTCTCCAAAATGCTGTATCCAAACAAAGGTTCAGCTCTGTGAATTGAGGACATACAGCACAAAGAAGTTTCTGAGAATGCTCCTGTCTGGATTTTATAGGAAGATAACCCGTTTCCAACGAAATCCTCAAAGCTATCCAAATATCCACTTGCAGATTCTACCAAAAGAGTGTTTCAAAACTACTCTGTCAAAAGGAAGGTTCAACACTGTTACTTGAGTACACACAACACAAAGAAGTTTCTGAGAATGCTTCTTTCTGGTTTTTATGAGAAGATATTTCCTTTTTCACCATAGGCCTCAAAGAGCTCGAAATGTCCGCTTCCAGGTAGGGCAGAAAGAGTGTTTCAAACCTGCTCTATGAAAGGAAGTGTTCAACTCTACTGAGTTGAATGCAAACATCACAGAGATGTTTCCGAGAATGCTTCTGTCTTGATTTTATATGAAGATATTCCGGTTTCCAACGAAATCTTCAAAGCTATCCAAATATCCACCTGCAGATTCTACAAAAGGAGTGTTTCCAAAATGCTGTATCAAAACAAAGGTTCAACTCTGTTAGTTGAGGACACACATCACAAATAAGTTTCTGAGAATGCTTCTGTCTAGTTTTTATTTGAAGGTATTTCCTTTCTCTCCATAGGCCTGAAAGCGCTTGAAATGCCCACTTCCAGATACTAGAGAAAGAGTGTTTCAAACCTGCTCTATGAAAGGGAATGTTCAATTCTGTGACTTGAATGCAAACATCACAAAGAAGTTCCTGAGAATGCTTCTGTCTAGATTTAATATGAAGATAACCCGTTTCCAACGAAATCCTCAAAGCTATCCAAATATCCACTTGCAGATTCTACAAAAAGACTGTTTCAAAACTGCTCTGTCCAAAGGATGGTTCAACACTGTTACATGAGTACACACAACACAAAGAAGTTTCTGAGAACGCTTCTTTCTGGTTTTCATGAGAAGATATTTCCTTTTTCACCATAGGTCTGAAAGCGCTCGAAATGTCTACTTCCTGGTAGTGCAGAAAGAGTGTTTCAAACCTGCTCTATGAAAGGAAGTGTTCAACTCCATGGGCTGAATGCAAACATCACAGAGAAGTTTCTGAGAATGCTTCTGTTTGATTTTATATGAAGAAATTCCCGTTTCCAACGAAATCTTCAAAGCTATCCACATATCCACCTGCAGATTCTACAAAAGGAGTGTTTCCAAAATGCTGTATCAAAACCAAGGTTCAACTCTGTTAGTTGAGGACACACATCACAAATAAGTTTCTGAGAATGATTCTGTCTAGATTTTATATGAAGATATCCCCTTTCCAACGAATCCCTCTAAGCTATCCAAATATCCACCTGCAGATTCTACAAAAAGAGTGTTTCCAAAATGCTGTATCAAAACAAAGTTTCAACTCTGTTAGTTGAGGACACACATCACAAATAAGTTTCTGAGGATGCTTCTGTCTAGTTTTTATTTGAAGATATTTCCTTTCTCCCCATAGGCCTGAAAGCGCTTGAATTGTCGGCTTCCAGATACTACAGAATGAGTGTTTCAAACCTGCTCTATCAAAGTGAATGTTCAATTCTGTGACTTCAATGCAAACATCACAAAGTAGTTCCTGAGAATGCTTCTCTCTAGATTTTATATGTAATCCCGCTTCCAACGAAATCCTCAAAGCCATCCGAATATCCACTTTCTGATTCCACAAATGGATTGTCTTAAAACTGCTCTGTAAAAACAAAAGTTCAAGTCTGTTACTTGAATACACACATCACAAACAAGTTTCTGAGAATGCTTCCGTCTAGTTTTTATGGGAAGATATTTCCTTTTTCACCATAGGCCTCAAAGCGCTCGAAATCTCCACTTCCAGGGAGTGCAGAAAGAGTGTTTCAAACCTGCTCTATAAAAGAATATTTAACTCTGTGACTTGAATGCAAACATCACAAAGCAGTTTCTGACAATGCTTCCGTCTAGATTTTTTATGAAGATATTCCCGTTTCCAACGAAATCTTCAAAGCTATCTAAATATCAACTTGCAGATTCTACTAAAGGAATGTTTCCAAAATGCTGTATCCAAACAAAGGTTCAACTCTGTGAATTGAGGACATACAGCACAAAGAAGTTTCTGAGAATGCTCCTGTCTGGATTTTATATGAAGATAACCCGTTTCCAACGAAATCCTCAAAGCTCTCCAAATATCCACTTGCAGATTCTACCAAAAGAGTGTTTCAAAACTGCTCTGTCAAAAGGAAGGTTCAACACTGTTACTTGAGTACACACAATGCAAAGAAGTTTCTGAGAATGCTTTTTTCTGGTTTTTATGAGAAGATATTTCCTTTTTCACCATAGACCTCAAAGCGCCCGAAATGTCCGCTTCCAGGTAGAGCAGAAAGAGTGTTTCAAACCTGCTCTATGAAAGGAAGTGTTCAACTTTACTGAGTTTAATGCAAACATCACCGAGATGTTTCCGAGAATGCTTCTGTCTTGATTTTATATGAAGATATTCCGGTTTCCAACGAAATCTTCAAAGCTATCCAAATATCCACCTGCAGATTCTACAAAAGGAGTGTTTCCAAAATGCTGTATCAAAACAAAGGTTCAACTCTGTTAGTTGAGGACACACATCACAAATAAGTTTCTGAGAATGCTTCTGTCTAGTTTTTATTTGAAGGTATTTCCTTTCTCTCCATAGGCCTGAAAGCGCTTGAAATGCCCACTTCCAGATACTAGAGAAAGAGTGTTTCAAACCTGCTCTATGAAAGGGAATGTTCAATTCTGTGACTTGAATGCAAACATCACAAAGAAGTTCCTGAGAATGCTTCTGTCTAGATTTAATATGAAGATAACCCGTTTCCAACGAAATCCTCAAAGCTATCCAAATATCCACTGGCAGATTCTACAAAAAGAGTGTTTCAAAACTGCTCTGTCAAAAGGATGGTTCAACACTGTTACATGAGTACACACAACACAAAGAAGTTTCTGAGAACGCTTTCTTTCTGGTTTCTATGAGAAGATATTTCCTTTTTCACCATAGGACTCAAAGCGCTCGAAATGTCCTCTTCCAGGTAGTGCAGAAAGAGTGTTTCAAACCTGCTCTATGAAAGGAAGTGTTCAACTCCATGAGCTGAATGCAAACATCACTGAGAAGTTTCTGAGAATGCTTCTGTTTGATTTTATATGAAGAAATTCCCGTTTCCAACGAAATCTTCAAAGCTATCCACATATCCACCTGCAGATTCTTCAAAAGGAGTGTTTCCAAAATGCTGTATCAAAACCAAGGTTCAACTCTGTTAGTTGAGGACACACATCACAAATAAGTTTCTGAGAATGCTTCTGTCTAGATTTTATATGAAGATATCCCCTTTCCAACGAATCCCTCTAAGCTATCCAAATATCCACCTGCAGATTCTACAAAGAGTGTTTCCAAAATGCTGTATCAAAACAAAGTTTCAACTCTGTTAGTTGAGGACACACATCACAAATAAGTTTCTGAGGATGCTTCTGTCTAGTTTTTATTCGAAGATATTTCCTTTCTCACCATAGGCCTGAAAGCGCTTGAAATGTCCACTTCCAGATACTACAGAATGAGTGTTTCAAACCTGCTCTATCAAAGTGAATGTTCAATTCTGTGACTTCAATGCAAACATCACAAAGAAGTTCCTGAGAATGCTTCTCTCTAGATTTTATATGTAATCCCGCTTCCAACGAAATCCTCAGAGCCATCCGAATATCCACTTTCTGATTCCACAAAAAGGGTGTTTTAAAACGGCTCTGTAAAAACAAAAGTTCAACTCTGTTAGTTGAATACACACATCACAAACAAGTTTCTGAGAATGCTTCTGTCTAGTTTTTATGGGAAGATATTTCCTTTTTCACCATAGGCCTCAAAGCGCTCGAAATGTCCACTTCCACATAGTGCAGAAAGATTGTTTCAAACGTGCTCTATAAAAGGGAATATTCAACTCTGTGACTTGAAGGGAAACATCATAAAGCAGTTTCTGAGAATGCTTCCCTCTAGATTTTATATGGAGATATTCCCTTTTCCAACGAAATCTTCAAATCTATCTAAATATCAACTTGCAGATTCTACTCAAGGAATGTTTCCAAAATGCTGTATCCAAGCAATGGTTCAACTCTGTTAATTGAGGACATACAGCACAAAGAAGTTTCTGAGAATGCTTCTGTCTAGATTTTATATGAAGATATCCCGTTTCCAACGAAATCCTCAAAGCTATCCAAATATCCACTTGCAGATTCTACAAAAAGATTGTTTCAAAACTGCTGTGTCAAAAGGAAGGTTCAACTCTGTTACTTGAGTACACACATCAAAAAGAAGTTTCTGAGAATGCTTGTTTCTGGTTTTTATCAGAAGATATTTCCTTTTTCACCATAGGCCTCAAAGCGCTGCAAATGTCCACTTCCAAATATTACAAAAAGAGTGTTTCAAACCTGCTCTATGAAAGGAAGTTTTCAACTCTATGAGTGGAATGCAAACATCACAGAGAAGTTTCGGAGAATGCATCTGTCTTGAGTTTATATGAAGAAATTCCCGTTTCCAACGAAATCTTAAAATCTATCCAAATATCCACCTGCAGATTCTACAAAGGGAGTGTTTCCAAAATGCTGTATCAAAACAAAGGTTCAACTGTGTTCGTTTAGGACACACATCACCAATAAGTTTCTGAGAATCCTTCTGTCTAGTTTTTATTTGAAGATATTTCCTTTCTCCCCATAGGCCTGAAAGCGCTTGATATGTCCACTTCCAGATACTACAGAAAGAGTGTTTCAAACCTGCACTATGAAAAGGAATGTTCAATTCTGTGACTTGAATGCAAACATCAGAAAGAAGTTCCTGAGAATGCTTCTCTCTAGATTTTATACGTCATCCCGTTTCCAACGAAATCCACAAAGCTATCCAATTATCCACTTTCAGATTCCACAAAAAGAGTGTTTTAAAACTGCTCTGTAAAAAGAAATGTTCAACGCTCTTAGTTGAATACACACATCTCAAACAAGTTTCTGAGAAGGCTTCTGTCTAGTTTTTATGGGAAGATATTTCCTTTTAACCATAGGCCTCAAAGAGCTCGAAATATCCACTTCCAGGTAGTGCCGAAAGAGTGTTTCAAACCTACTCTATAAAAGGGAATATTCAACTCTGTGACTTGAATGCAAACATCACAAAGCAGTTTCTGAGAATGCTTCCGTCTAGATTTTCTATGAAGATATTCCCGTTTCCAACGAAATCTTCAAAGCTATCTAAATATCAACTTGCAGATTCTACTAAAGGAATGTCTCCAAAATGCTGTATCCAAACAAAGGTTCAGCTCTGTGAATTGAGGACATACAGCACAAAGAAGTTTCTGAGAATGCTCCTGTCTGGATTTTATAGGAAGATAACCCGTTTCCAACGAAATCCTCAAAGCTATCCAAATATCCACTTGCAGATTCTACCAAAAGAGTGTTTCAAAACTACTCTGTCAAAAGGAAGGTTCAACACTGTTACTTGAGTACACACAACACAAAGAAGTTTCTGAGAATGCTTCTTTCTGGTTTTTATGAGAAGATATTTCCTTTTTCACCATAGGCCTCAAAGCGCTCGAAATGTCCGCTTCCAGGTAGTGCAGAAAGAGTGTTTCAAACCTGCTCTATGAAAGGAAGTGTTCAACTCCATGAGCTGAATGCAAACATCACAGAGAAGTTTCTGAGAATGCTTCTGTTTGATTTTACATGAAGAAATTCCCGTTTCCAACGAAATCTTCAAAGCTATCCACATATCCACCTGCAGATTCTACAAAAGGAGGGTTTCCAAAATGCTGTATCAAAACCAAGGTTCAACTCTGTTAGTTGAGGACACACATCACAAATAAGTTTCTGAGAATGCTTCTGTCTAGATTTTATATGAAGATATCCCCTTTCCAACGAATCCCTCTAAGCTATCCAAATATGCACCTGCAGATTCTACAAAAAGAGTGTTTCCAAAAGGCTGTATCAAAACAAAGTTTCAACTCTGTTAGTTGAGGACACACATCACAAATAAGTTTCTGACGATGCTTCTGTCTAGTTTTTATTCGAAGATATTTCCTTTCTCACCATAGGCCTGAAAGCGCTTGAAATGTCCACTTCCAGATACTACAGAATGAGTGTTTCAAACCTGCTCTATCAAAGTGAATGTTCAATTCTGTGACTTCAATGCAAACATCACAAAGAAGTTCCTGAGAATGCTTCTCTCTAGATTTTATACGTAATCCCGCTTCCAACGAAATCCTCAGAGCCATCCGAATATCCACTTTCTGATTCCACAAAAAGAGTGTTTTAAAACGGCTCTGTAAAAACAAAAGTTCAACTCTGTTAGTTGAATACACACATCACAAACAAGTTTCTGAGAATGCTTCTGTCTAGTTTTTATGGGAAGATATTTCCTTTTTCACCATAGGCCTCAAAGCGCTCGAAATGTCCGCTTCCAGATAGTGCAGAAAGAGTGTTTCAAACGTGCTCTATAAAAGGGAATATTCAACTCTGTGACTTGAATGGAAACATCACAAAGCAGTTTCTGAGAATGCTTCCCTCTAGATTTTATATGGAGATATTCCCTTTTCCAACGAAATCTTCAAATCTATCTAAATATCAACTTGCAGATTCTACTCAAGGAATGTTTCCAAAATGCTGTATCCAGGCAATGGTTCAACTCTGTTAATTGAGGACATACAGCACAAAGAAGTTTCTGAGAATGCTTCTGTCTAGGTTTTATATGAAGATATCCTGTTTCCAACGAAATCCTCAAAGCTATCCAAATATCCAATTGCAGATTCTACAAAAAGATTGTTTCAAAACTGCTGTGTCAAAAGGAAGGTTCAACTCTGTTACTTGAGTACACACATCAAAAAGCAGTTTCTGAGAATGCTTGTTTCTGGTTTTTATGAGAAGATATTTCCTTTTTCACCATAGGCCTCAAAGCGCTGCAAATGTCCACTTCCAAGTATTACAAAAAGAGTGTTTCAAACCTGCTCTATGAAAGGAAGTTTTCAACTCTGTGATTGGAATGCAAACATCACAGAGAAGTTTCTGAGAATGCATCTGTCTTGAGCTTCTATGAAGAAATTCCCGTTTCCAACGAAATCTTAAAATCTATCCAAATATCCACCTGCAGATCCTACAAAAGGAGTGTTTCCAAAATGCTGTATCAAAACAAAGGTTCAACTGTGTTCGTTTAGGACACACATCACAAATAAGTTTCTGAGAATCCTTCTGTCTAGTTTTTAATTTGAAGATATTTCCTTTCTCCCCATAGGCCTGAAAGCGCTTGAAATGTCCACTTCCAGATAGTACAGAAAGAGTGTTTCAAACCTGCACTATGAAAAGGAATGTTCAATTCTGTGACTTGAATGCAAACATCAGAAGGAAGTTTCTGAGAATGCTTCTCTCTAGATTTTATACGTCATCCCGTTTCCAACGAAATCCACAAAGCTATCCAATTATCCACTTTCAGATTCCACAAAGAGTGTTTTAAAATTGCTCTGTAACAGAAATGTTCAACTCTGTTAGTTGAATACACACATCACAAACAAGTTTCTGAGACGGCTTCTGTCTAGTTTTTATGGGAAGATATTTCCTTTTAACCATAGGCCTCAAAGAGCTCGAAATATCCACTTCCAGGTAGTGCCGAAAGAGTGTTTCAAACCTACTCTATAAAAGGGAATATTCAACTCTGTGACTTGAATGCAAACATCACAAAGCAGTTTCTGAGAATGCTTCCGTCTAGATTTTCTATGAAGATATTCCCGTTTCCAACGAAATCTTCAAAGCTATCTAAATATCAACTTGCAGATTCTACTAAAGGAATGTCTCCAAAATGCTGTATCCAAACAAAGGTTCAGCTCTGTGAATTGAGGACATACAGCACAAAGAAGTTTCTGAGAATGCTCCTGTCTGGATTTTATAGGAAGATAACCCGTTTCCAACGAAATCCTCAAAGCTCTCCAAATATCCACTTGCAGATTCTACCAAAAGAGTGTTTCAAAACTGCTCTGTCAAAAGGAAGGTTCAACACTGTTACTTGAGTACACACAACACAAAGAAGTTTCTGAGAATGCTTCTTTCTGGTTTTTATGAGAAGATATTTCCTTTTTCACCATAGGCCTCAAAGCGCTCGAAATGTCCGCTTCCAGGTAGTGCAGAAAGAGTGTTTCAAACCTGCTCTATGAAAGGAAGTGTTCAACTCTACTGAGTTGAATGCAAACATCACAGAGATGTTTCCCGAGAATGCTTCTGTCTTGATTTTATATGAAGATATTCCGGTTTCCAACGAAATCTTCAAAGCTATCCAAATATCCACCTGCAGATTCTACAAAAGGAGTGTTTCCAAAATGCTGTATCAAAACAAAGGTTCAACTCTGTTAGTTGAGGACACACATCACAAATAAGTTTCTGAGAATGCTTCTGTCTAGTTTTTATTTGAAGGTATTTCCTTTCTCTCCATAGGCCTGAAAGCGCTTGAAATGCCCACTTCCAGATACTAGAGAAAGAGTGTTTCAAACCTGCTCTATGAAAGGGAATGTTCAATTCTGTGACTTGAATGCAAACATCACAAAGAAGTTACCTGAGAATGCTTCTGTCTAGATTTAATATGAAGATAACCCGTTTCCAACGAAATCCTCAAAGCTATCCAAATATCCACTTGCAGATTCTACAAAAAGAGTGTTTCAAAACTGCTCTGTCAAAAGGATGGTTCAACACTGTTACATGAGTACACACAACACAAAGAAGTTTCTGAGAACGCTTCTTTCTGGTTTTTATGAGAAGATATTTCCTTTTTCACCATAGGCCTCAAAGCGCTCGAAATGTCCACTTCCTGGTAGTGCAGAAAGAGTGTTTCAAAGCTGCTCTATGAAAGGAAGTGTTCAACTCCATGAGCTGAATGCAAACATCACAGAGAAGTTTCTGAGAATGCTTCTGTTTGATTTTATATGAAGAAATTCCCGTTTCCAACGAAATCTTCAGAGCTATCCACATATCCACATGCAGATTCTACAAAAGGAGTGTTTCCAAAATGCTGTATCAAAACCAAGGTTCAACTCTGTTAGTTGAGGACACACATCACAAATAAGTTTCTGAGAATGCTTCTGTCTAGATTTTATATGAATTTATCCCCTTTCCAACGAATCCCTCTAAGCTATCCAAGTATCCACCTGCAGATTCTACAAAAAGAGTGTTTCCAAAATGCTGTATCAAAACAAAGTTTCAACTCTGTTAGTTGAGGACACACATCACAAATAAGTTTCTGAGGATGCTTCTGTCTAGTTTTTATTCGAAGATATTTCCTTTCTCACCATAGGCCTGAAAGCGCTTGAAATGTCCACTTCCAGATACTACAGAATGAGTGTTTCAAACCTGCTCTATCAAAGTGAATGTTCAATTCTGTGACTTCAATGCAAACATCACAAAGAAGTTCCTGAGAATGCTTCTCTCTAGATTTTATACGTAATCCCGCTTCCAACGAAATCCTCAGAGCCATCCGAATATCCACTTTCTGATTCCACAAAAAGAGTGTTTTAAAACGGCTCTGTAAAAACAAAAGTTCAACTCTGTTAGTTGAATACACACATCACAAACAAGTTTCTGAGAATGCTTCTGTCTAGTTTTTATGGGAAGATATTTCCTTTTTCACCATAGGCCTCAAAGCGCTCGAAATGTCCGCTTCCAGATAGTGCAGAAAGAGTGTTTCAAACGTGCTCTATAAAAGGGAATATTCAACTCTGTGACTTGAATGGAAACATCACAAAGCAGTTTCTGAGAATGCTTCCCTCTAGATTTTATATGGAGATATTCCCTTTTCCAACGAAATCTTCAAATCTATCTAAATATCAACTTGCAGATTCTACTCAAGGAATGTTTCCAAAATGCTGTATCCAAGCAATGGTTCAACTCTGTTAATTGAGGACATACAGCACAAAGAAGTTTCTGAGAATGCTTCTGTCTAGATTTTATATGAAGATATCCCGTTTCCAACGAAATCCTCAAAGCTATCCAAATATCCACTTGCAGATTCTACAAAAAGATTGTTTCAAAACTGCTGTGTCAAGAGGAAGGTTCAACTCTGTTACTTGAGTACACACATCAAAAAGAAGTTTCTGAGAATGCTTGTTTCTGGTTTTTATGAGAAGATATTTCCTTTTTCACCATAGGCCTCAAAGCGCTGCAAATGTCCACTTCCAAATATTACAAAAAGAGTGTTTCAAACCTGCTCTATGAAAGGAAGTTTTCAACTCTATGAGTGGAATGCAAACATCACAGAGAAGTTTCTGAGAATGCATCTGTCTTGAGTTTCTATGAAGAAATTCCCGTTTCCAACGAAATCTTAAAATCTATCCAAATATCCACCTGCAGATCCTACAAAAGGAGTGTTTCCAAAATGCTGTATCAAAACAAAGGTTCAACTGTGTTCGTTTAGGACACACATCACAAATAAGTTTCTGAGAATCCTTCTGTCTAGTTTTTATTTGAAGATATTTCCTTTCTCCCCATAGGCCTGAAAGCGCTTGAAATGTCCACTTCCAGATACTACAGAAAGAGTGTTTCAAACCTGCACTATGAAAAGGAATGTTCAATTCTGTGACTTGAATGCAAACATCAGAAAGAAGTTCCTGAGAATGCTTCTCTCTAGATTTTATACGTCATCCCGTTTCCAACGAAATCCACAAAGCTATCCAATTATCCACTTTCAGATTCCACAAAAAGAGTGTTTTAAAATTGCTCTGTAACAGAAATGTTCAACTCTGTTAGTTGAATACACACATCACAAACAAGTTTCTGAGACGGCTTCTGTCTAGTTTTTATGGGAAGATATTTCCTTTTAACCATAGGCCTCAAAGAGCTCGAAATATCCACTTCCAGGTAGTGCCGAAAGAGTGTTTCAAACCTACTCTATAAAAGGGAATATTCAACTCTGTGACTTGAATGCAAACATCACAAAGCAGTTTCTGAGAATGCTTCCATCTAGATTTTCTATGAAGATATTCCCGTTTCCAACGAAATCTTCAAAGCTATCTAAATATCAACTTGCAGATTCTACTAAAGGAATGTCTCCAAAATGCTGTATCCAAACAAAGGTTCAGCTCTGTGAATTGAGGACATACAGCACAAAGAAGTTTCTGAGAATGCTCCTGTCTGGATTTTATATGAAGATAACCCGTTTCCAACGAAATCCTCAAAGCTATCCAAATATCCACTTGCAGATTCTACCAAAAGAGTGTTTCAAAACTGCTCTGTGAAAAGGAAGGTTCAACACTGTTACTTGAGTACACACAACACAAAGAAGTTTCTGAGAATGCTTCGTTCTGGTTTTTATGAGAAGATATTTCCTTTTTCACCATAGGCCTCAAAGCGCTCGAAATGTCCGCTTCCAGGTAGTGCAGAAAGTGTGCTTCAAACCTGCTCTATGAAAGGAAGTGTTCAACTCTACTGACTTGAATGCAAACATCACAGAGATGTTTCCGAGAATGCTTCTGTCTTGATTTTATACGAAGATATTCCGGTTTCCAACGAAATCTTCAAAGCTATCCAAATATACACCTGCAGATTCTACAAAAGGAGTGTTTCCAAAATGCTGTATCAAAACAAAGGTTCAACTCTGTTAGTTGAGGACACACATCACAAATAAGTTTCTGATAATGCTTCTGTCTAGTTTTTATTTGAAGGTATTTCCTTTCTCTCCATAGGCCTGAAAGCGCTTGAAATGTCCACTTCCAGATACTAGAGAAAGAGTGTTTCAAACCTGCTCTATGAAAGGGAATGTTCAATTCTGTGACTTGAATGCAAACATCACAAAGAAGTTCCTGAGAATGCTTCTCTCTAGATTTTATATGTCATCCCGCTTCCAACGAAATCCTCAAAGCTATCCAAACTTCCACTTTCAGATTCCACAAAAAGAGTGTTTTAAAACTGCTCTGTAAAAAGAAATGTTCAACTCTCCTAGGTTGAATACACACATCTCAAACAAGTTTCTGAGAAGGCTTCCGTCTAGTTTTTATGGGAAGATATTTCCTTTTTCACCATAGGCCTCAAAACGCTCGAAATGTCCACTTCCAGGAAGTCCGGAAAGAGTGTTTCAAACCTGCTCTATAAAAGCGAATATTCAACTCTGTGACTTGAATGCAAACATCACAAAGCCGTTTCTGAGAATGCTTCCGTCTAGATTTTCTATGAAGATATTCCCGTTTCCAACGAAATCTTCAAAGCTATCTAAATATCAACTTGCAGATTCTACTAAAGGAATGTCTCCAAAATGCTGTATCCAAACAAAGGTTCAGCTCTGTGAATTGAGGACATACAGCACAAAGAAGTTTCTGAGAATGCTCCTGTCTGGATTTTATAGGAAGATAACCCGTTTCCAACGAAATCCTCAAAGCTATCCAAATATCCACTTGCAGATTCTACCAAAAGAGTGTTTCAAAACTGCTCTGTCAAAAGGAAGGTTCAACACTGTTACTTGAGTACACACAACACAAAGAAGTTTCTGAGAATGCTTCTTTCTGGTTTTTATGAGAAGATATTTCCTTTTTCACCATAGGCCTCAAAGAGCTCGAAATGTCCGCTTCCAGGTAGGGCAGAAAGAGTGTTTCAAACCTGCTCTATGAAAGGAAGTGTTCAACTCTACTGAGTTGAATGCAAACATCACAGAGATGTTTCCGAGAATGCTTCTGTCTTGATTTTATATGAAGATATTCCGGTTTCCAACGAAATCTTCAAAGCTATCCAAATATCCACCTGCAGATTCTACAAAAGGAGTGTTTCCAAAATGCTGTATCAAAACAAAGGTTCAACTCTGTTAGTTGAGGACACACATCACAAATAAGTTTCTGAGAATGCTTCTGTCTAGTTTTTATTTGAAGGTATTTCCTTTCTCTCCATAGGCCTGAAAGCGCTTGAAATGCCCACTTCCAGATACTAGAGAAAGAGTGTTTCAAACCTGCTCTATGAAAGGGAATGTTCAATTCTGTGACTTGAATGCAAACATCACAAAGAAGTTCCTGAGAATGCTTCTCTCTAGATATTATATGTCATCCCGTTTCCAACGAAATCCTCAAAGCTATCCAAATATCCACTTGCAGATTCTACAAAAAGAGTGTTTCAAAACTCCTCTGTCAAAAGGATGGTTCAACACTGTTACATGAGTACACACAACACAAAGAAGTTTCTGAGAATGCTTCTTTCTGGTTTCTATGAGAAGATATTTCCTTTTTCACCATAGGACTCAAAGCGCTCGAAATGTCCTCTTCCAGGTAGTGCAGAAAGAGTGTTTCAAACCTGCTCTATGAAAGGAAGTGTACAACTCCATGAGCTGAATGCAAACATCACTGAGAAGTTTCTGAGAATGCTTCTGTTTGATTTTATATGAAGAAATTCCCGTTTCCAACGAAATCTTCAAAGCTATCCACATATCCACCTGCAGATTCTACAAAAGGAGTGTTTCCAAAATGCTGTATCAAAACCAAGGTTCCACTCTGTTAGTTGAGGACACACATCACAAATAAGTTTCTGAGAATGCTTCTGTCTAGATTCTATATGAAGATATCCCCTTTCCAACGAATCCCTCTAAGCTATCCAAATATCCACCTGCAGATTCTACAAAAAGAGTGTTTCCAAAATGCTGTATCAAAACAAAGTTTCAACTCTGTTAGTTGAGGACACACATCACAAATAAGTTTGAGGATGCTTCTGTCTAGTTTTAATTTGAAGATATTTCCTTTCTCCCCATAGGCCTGAAAGCGCTTGAAATGTCCACTTCCAGATACTACAGAATGAGTGTTTCAAACCTGCTCTATCAAAGTGAATGTTCAATTCTGTGACTTCAATGCAAACATCACAAAGTAGTTCCTGAGAATGCTTCTCTCTAGATTTTATATGTAATCCCGCTTCCAACGAAGTCCTCAAAGCCATCCGAATATCCACTTTCTGATTCCACAAAAAGATTGTCTTAAAACTGCTCTGTAAAAACAAAAGTTCAAGTCTGTTAGTTGAATACACACATCACAAACAAGTTTCTGAGAATGCTTCCGTCTAGTTTTTATGGGAAGATATTTCCTTTTTCACCACAGGCCTCAAAGCGCTCGAAATCTCCACTTCCAGGGAGTGCAGAAAGAGTGTTTCAAACCTGCTCTGTAAAAGAATATTTAACTCTGTGACTTGAATGCAAACATCACAAAGCAGTTTCTGACAATGCTTCCGTCTAGATTTTTTATGAAGATATTCCCGTTTCCAACGAAATCTTCAAAGCTATCTAAATATCAACTTGCAGATTCTACTAAAGGAATGTTTCCAAAATGCTGTATCCAAACAAAGGTTCAACTCTGTGAATTGAGGACATACAGCACAAAGAAGTTTCTGAGAATGCTTCTGTCTAGATTTAATATGAAGATAACCCGTTTCCAACGAAATCCTCAAAGCTATCCAAATATCCACTTGCAGATTCTACAAAAAGAGTGTTTCAAAACTGCTCTGTCAAAAGGATGGTTCAACACTGTTACATGAGTACACACAACACAAAGAAGTTTCTGAGAACGCTTCTTTCTGGTTTTTATGAGAGGATATTTCCTTTTTCACCATAGGCCTTAAAGCGCTCGAAATGTCCACTTCCAGGTAGTGCAGAAAGAGTGTTTCAAACCTGCTCTATGAAAGGAAGTGTTCAACTCCATGAGCTGAATGCAAACATCACAGAGAAGTTTCTGAGAATGCTTCTGTTTGATTTTATATGAAGAAATTCCCGTTTCCAACGAAATCTTCAAAGCTATCCACATATCCACCTGCAGATTCTTCAAAAGGAGTGTTTCCAAAATGCTGTATCAAAACCAAGGTTCAACTCTGTTAGTTGAGGACACACATCAGAAATAAGTTTCTGAGAATGCTTTCTGTCTAGATTTTATATGAAGATATCCCCTTTCCAACGAATCCCTCTAAGCTATCAAAATATCCACCTGCAGATTCTACAAAAAGAGTGTTTCCAAAATGCTGTATCAAAACAAAGTTTCAACTCTGTTAGTTGAGGACACACATCACAAATAAGTTTCTGAGGATGCTTCTGTCTAGTTTTTATTCGAAGATATTTCCTTTCTCACCATAGGCCTGAAAGCGCTTGAAATGTCCACTTCCAGATACTACAGAATGAGTGTTTCAAACCTGCTCTATCAAAGTGAATGTTCAATTCTGTGACTTCAATGCAAACATCACAAAGAAGTTCCTGAGAATGCTTCTCTCTAGATTTTATATGTAATCCCGCTTCCAACGAAATCCTCAAAGCCATCCGAATATCCACTTTCTGATTCCACAAAAAGATTGTCTTAAAACTGCTCTGTAAAAACAAAAGTTCAAGTCTGTTAGTTGAATACACACATCACAAAGAAGTTTCTGAGAATGCTTCTGTCTAGTTTTTATGGGAAGATATTTCCTTTTTCACCATAGGCCTCAAAGCGCTCGAAATGTCCACTTCCAGATAGTGCAGAAAGAGTGTTTCAAACGTGCTCTATAAAAGGGAATATTCAACTCTGTGACTTGAATGGAAACATCACAAAGCAGTTTCTGAGAATGCTTCCCTCTAGATTTTATATGGAGATATTCCCTTTTCCAACGAAATCTTCAAATCTATCTAAATATCAACTTGCAGATTCTACTCAAGGAATGTTTCCAAAATGCTGTATCCAAGCAATGGTTCAACTCTGTTAATTGAGGACATACAGCACAAAGAAGTTTCTGAGAATGCTTCTGTCTAGATTTTATATGAAGATATCCCGTTTCCAACGAAATCCTCAAAGCTATCCAAATATCCACTTGCAGATTCTACAAAAAGATTGTTTCAAAACTGCTGTGTCAAGAGGAAGGTTCAACTCTGTTACTTGAGTACACACATCAAAAAGAAGTTTCTGAGAATGCTTGTTTCTGGTTTTTATGAGAAGATATTTCCTTTTTCACCATAGGCCTCAAAGCGCTGCAAATGTCCAGTTCCAAATATTACAAAAAGAGTGTTTCAAACCTGCTCTATGAAAGGAAGTTTTCAACTCTATGAGTGGAATGCAAACATCACAGAGAAGTTTCTGAGAATGCATCTGTCTTGAGTTTATATGAAGAAATTCCCGTTTCCAATGAAATCTTAAAATCTATCCAAATATCCACCTGCAGATTCTACAAAAGGAGTGTTTCCAAAATGTTGTATCAAAACAAAGGTTCAACTGTGTTCGTTTAGGACACACATCACAAATAAGTTTCTGAGAATCCTTCTGTCTAGTTTTTATTTCAAGATATTTCCTTTCTCCCCATAGGCCTGAAAGCGCTTGAAATGTCCACTTCCAGATACTACAGAGTGTTTCAAACCTGCACTATGAAAAGGAATGTTCAATTCTGTGACTTGAATGCAAACGTCAGAAAGAAGTTCCTGAGAATGCTTCTCTCTAGATTTTAAACGTAATCCCGTTTCCAACGAAATCCACAAAGCTATCCAATTATCCACTTTCAGATTCCACCAAAAGAGTGTTTTAAAACTGCTCTGTAAAAAGAAATGTTCAACGCTCTTTGTTGAATACACAGTTCTCAAACAAGTTTCTGAGAAGGCTTCTGTCTAGTTTTTATGGGAAGATATTTCCTTTTAACCATAGGCCTCAAAGAGCTCGAAATATCCACTTCCAGGTAGTGCCGAAAGAATGTTTCCAACCTACTCTATAAAAGGGAATATTCAACTCTGTGACTTGAATGCAAACATCACAAAGCAGTTTATGAGAATGCTTCCGTCTAGATTTTCTATGAAGATATTCCCGTTTCCAACGAAATCTTCAACGCTATCTAAATATCAACTTGCAGATTCTACTAAAGGAATGTTTCCAAAATGCTGTATCCAAACAAAGGTTCAGCTCTGTGAATTGAGGACATACAGCACAAAGAAGTTTCTGAGAATGCTCCTGTCTGGATTTTATATGAAGATAACCCGTTTCCAACGAAATCCTCAAAGCTATCCAGATATCCACTTGCAGATTCTACCAAAAGAGTGTTTCAAAACTGCTCTGTCAAAAGGAAGGTTCAACTCTGTTACTTGAGTACACAAATCAAAAAGAAGTTTCTGAGAATGCT